>NC_000023.11:16076881-16379912 GCF_000001405.40 Homo sapiens
GAATCATTAGGTTAAATCTAGGGATTAGATAAGGCAAAGGTTTATGTTAGAAAGTTTTATAGACCACTTGGCTTTTCTTGAAGATAGTAAATGGGCAGTCTGCTTCTCTGACGTCAGCCAGCTAATGGGCACACCTGTGTGTCTTTATTTCAAGTGAGATCAAGCAACTGTTTGGAAGGACAATACCAATACATGTGTTGATGGTGAGTCAGCAGCATGATATTCAAAAGCAAAGGATTGCATCTTTTGTAGGGGCTATAGTTAGCTGCCTTGGGTATTTATGGCATAATATTAAGAAACATAGCAGCAAAACAACCTCACATAGGATAATTTTGGTAAAATATGCAATACAAATAATCCATTAACAAAAGACAAGCAACACCTGGTGTTTATCAGTAGTAATATATGAAATGAGACACAATTTCCTGTTGGGATTCCTTGCTTGTAATGAGATCAGATGCTGTCTTTTTAGAGCCTTTGTGTTTTATGTGTTGAGAGTAAGTGAAGGTCCTTAGCGCGAAGGAGGAACTTCTATGGAAATATGCTAACTGTGAAGGGAAAGGGGAAGGAAAACTAGGGAAGAACATAGATCCTCAGGAAGCTATAGATGCATTTCTAATAGGTAGCCAGTCTGAAAAATGAATCTGCCTTCATTTACCAATTGATGTAACATTTTAAAAGTAAGGTATCTGAAGAAAATTTAGGCTTTATGATATAAGAATATCATCTTGAATAATTTAACCGGAAAATCTGTGTTTTAGGATAAAATAATAACTTGATCAAATATTGCTAATATTTTTACAAACTTTAGATTTTGCTAGAATATGCTTGTTTGGCACAACAATTAAAGGTTAAATTGAAGCTAGACAGACTTCACAGAACTAAAAATTAATTTGATTTCTATCATCTACTTTCCCCAATGTTCTATAAGAGCTACCCCTGTCATACCATATTTTGTTACATGAGGTAGAAGCACGGCTTTTAGCAATGATCTGGGAAGAAGGGAATTGATAAAGAAAAGCAGTAGAAGCAACAACTGAATAGGAAATGGAATATAAATCATGGTAGCAGAGCAACAGAGCAACTCTGCAGGGTATCTGTGGATTAGTGCTTTCATAATACACAGTTCAGGACTCATGAGATTCAGCTTTGCAAGTCATTAGGTTTCATTAAGTCTATTTCCTTGCTAAAATGATGCCACAGTGAGGTTTATGAAGCAAGGGCCCTAAAAGGGAAAGGGAAGAATCTAGTTGGCATAAAAAGCGGACATCTTCAGGAGAAAAAATAGGAAAATCTGGCTAAGGTGGCAAGCCACCAATCTTGTCTCTCTCCAATTTTCTAATGAGATATACACAATCCTGTGATTTTGCAACTCCCACCCAAAAGTTTTGATGGAACGTCGTCCAGATGGGGATAATTCCCATTCCCAAGAAATATTATCTTATGTGGCTGACTGGCCATTTTCAGTCAGCAGAATGAATGGATCACGTACTAGGAAAATTGAGTTACTTTAGAGTAATACTCAGCTCTCTTTATTGAATGCTTGCATTCAAAAGCTTCTCTGTTATTGAGCTTTAAAGACACACATTATGATATATATCAATGCTACTGTGCTAGAACCAAAGCAAGCTAACTGTGCCTGCCCCCAACATAGGCCATTTGCTACCCTTGGTGTAGTTTTGCTTCAGATTTGTGAACAAAGTATTTGACTGACTGCCTTTTGAAACCCAATCAGTTTGCCTGTAAAGGAGCAGCCAATCTAGTTTTTTCATTTGTTTCTCTATTTTATATGCTGTTTTTAAACATCTCAGTGTGGTTCTAGCCATCAACAAGGACTGTGATTGGCCCACCTGCAATTTTCCTGATTCAGTTTATTTATTATACACTTTAGTATATGCTGGGAAGTGTTGTATGTGTTACAAATATTGATTCATTTAATCCTTACAAGGACCTTGAGGTAAGTTCTATCATTATCTCCATTTTACAGATGGAGAAACTAAAGTACCGAGAGGTTAAGTAACTTGCTCAAGGTCATACAACTAGAAAGTGATGAAGTCGGGAACTGAACCCAGGACACCTAGTTCTAGAATCTAAACCTAACCACCATGTCCACTGTCCTTTGCTTGTCTTCTCTTTACACTCATTTCTTTACACTCCCTTTCACCATTACACTTGATGGAGATGTTCTGCTTTTTGCTGTCATTAGTCTATTATTCAGCTAGAGCAATTTCATTAACATATTGGTGCTTGGCTTCTAGTTAGACGGGGCAGGCGGAGGTAAGATGGTGTGAGATTTCAGTGAGACAGGTGCACATTAAACTGTAAGTCCTGGAAGTGCCATGATTATCATGTAGTCATTGCAGCAGGTTTTCTACCATAGATTTTTCTTCAATGTGGAGTCAGAGGCCTGGATTCAAATCCTGCTGCCATCACTTACTAAATTCTGTGGCCTTGTGCTAATTGCTTACCTCTTCATTTCACAGAATCCTCAACTACAAAATGGAAATTAATCAGAGTACCTACGTTATAAGATTGTCATGGAGGTTAAAGGGGACAATACACATAAACTGCTTAATATGTGCCTGGCACATGATAATTGCTCAGTAAACATTGGCTAAGATTATGATTATTGTGATTGCTATATCAATTTTAACCATGGTTTATCATATAAGACCCAAGCATCAGATAATAGATTGGGTTTATTTTTCAGCTAAGGCCACTCTCAGGCCAAATTCTCTGGGAAAAGTTGGCATCTGATGTTGGTTTATTGAGAAGGAAAGTGGAAGTCATATAGTCTTGGGAAAAAGAACGCTCTGTTTCTACATTCTAATTGTGAAATGTCTCACTCTCCAACATACTGATTTGGGGGAGTAAGAAATAGTACTTGAAATTGGCATGCTGAAATGATTCTCAAAATGGCCTGACACATAGTAGGTACTCAACAAATGTTACCTTCTTACCTTATGTAACCCACACTTATTGTCACTTGCTTGTCACTCTTATTTTTCATATGCTCAAACCTTGGATTTAATCAAACTACAGTCATTGCATTACTTTTCTCTATGCTTTCATTCACCTTATTCCTACATTGAATATCCTCAACTGTCTTTCCATGCTTCCAAGTCCTACACATACCCCAAGGACCAAGTCAAGTATGGTGTCCTCCATGAAGCGTTTCTGAGCCACATGAGCTTACTTACAGGCAAAGAGAAACTGAGAGCAGGAACTGTGTGTGCAAGAACTGAATGTATGACCTTCCAGAGACCCCAAGGTCAACTGTCCTTTCAGAAAGAACAATGACAAGACAGCAACAGTAAACCCAGAAGAACTTAGGACAAGATGACCCAATAGTTGATTACATCCTCCTCCTGAAGATGCTTGGCTGTAGTTTTTCACAGTGTTCTTCAGGTTTTGGAACCAGTGCCAGAGAAGATGGGGAGGGAGCCTGCGTGGCAGAGTCACTGGATTAGAAAGCATTTACCTGGCATCATCCAGAATAAGTTGACTGTCAGGGATCAGGCTGGAGGTCCACAGTCAAAAGTCCATTCTGGAAATAATACTTTTGCTCAAGAGAATTTTGAAGACTGTGAAACTATGAAATTCCCTGCCTATTGCTAATCAAAAATACTCTTTAGATATAAAATTTAGATAGAAAAATTATCTAAAACCTTGGAAATAAGGCAAAAGGATGACTGTATGTTCTTTCAGTGACGTACGGGAGCTCTTCCTAACAGGCCCATCCAAGGATTACTTAATTTTAGAAGGAAATGTACTTTCACTCGATTTACTATTTATTCCTTTTATTTTTTCTTTTTGAGAGACAGGGTCTCAGTTTGTTGCCCAGGCTGGAGTGCAGAGACGTAATCATGGCTCACTGCAGCCTTGATCTTCTGGTCTCAAGCGATCCTCCCACCTCAGCCTCCCTAGTAGCTGGGACTACAAGCATGTGCCACCATGCCTGGCTAATTTTTTTAATTTTCTGTAGACATGGAGTCTTGCTATGTTGCCTAGGCTGGTCTCCACCTCCTGGTCTGAAACGATCCTCCTGCCTTGGCCTCCCAAAGTGCTGGGATTACAGACATGAGCCACTGCACCTGGCCTAATTTACTATTTTGATTAAGAGCCAGACTCTGAGAGGGAACCATTTTTTGTCTGGTTGAGATGTAAATAATTTCTGTCCCGTAAAATAAATAGCCCCAAAAGATATTTTTGTTGCTCTGTAGGGTATTAGCTACTTTTGTATCTAAGTAAGTAAGTTTTTTTCTTTTTCCCTGTATTAGGAATTCATAATTTAGTAATCTTATTCCTGCATTCCCTCTTTCAGTGCCTGTGTATACTTGGTCTCTCAAATTCTGCTTTGAACCAGCTTTACTATCCTGTTATTATCTGATTAATGAGATAAATAAATCAATATGTGCTCACTTTGTATTCATATGAGAGTCATGTTTTCAATGTTTAGAGTATCATGCTTTGATAAACGCCGGTCTGAAAGTTAGAATTTTTACAGAGAAGTATTAATGCCTCTGAGAAAGAATTTTAAAAATAAAACTCAGTGTGAAAGTTTTTCTTCTTCTAGCAAATTTGGAACAGTCAGATGAGAGGTAAACAGCCAGAACATTTAGTTGCTAATGATAGACAGTGAGTCCAGACAGCACTGTTCTGAATGTTGCAAATGTGATCATCAGAAAAAAGTATTAGGAGTGAGGTAGTGCATAACAAAGAGCTGAGCTGGATAATTTGCCAGGTGAGTGTTTGACTTTTTTGAAAAAAAAAAAAAAGAAAAAAAAAGAAAGAAAATTGGATTCATTTAACTTTAAAATCTGTGTCAGTTTTGAATGTAAGATAAACTATTACTTGACAGTTCTTCCTACCTAACAGAAACCCATAAAAATGAATTGAGATGAAAATGCTCTAGCTCTTTTATTCTTTTGGTTGAACATGTAATTTTCAACAATCCTCTCAATTCTTTTCATTGTTTGCCATGTATCCATGGGTATGTGTCAAGGTTAAAAAACTTACTTGGAGATACTACTATCTTTTGTTCTGAGATATTTGACAGGTTTCAGGTGTGTTTTTCCTCATAAACTTCTGGAAGAGACATTGGTGCTCCCATAATGGAGATGTGTGGGGGTTTGGAGACTGGAGGCAGTGTGATGTGGTGGTAAAAAGTTCAGGCTCACCAGGCAAATTGTCTGGTTCAAATCCAGGGCCTACTACTTTCCAGATATATGCCAATTATTTAACCTCTCTAAGCTTTAGTTTCTTCTCCTGTTAAATGAGGATAATAATAGAACTTCTCAGAGTCCTTCTGGGGGGCTTGGCATAGTGACTGGCAAATGGCAAGCATTCAATAAGAGGGTGCTATTATTATTTATTGGGTAAGTAACATGTGAATGTGCAAATTTTCCCCATTTTGTATATGGCTTACTTTTTGGGTGTCTCTTTAACCATTTCTCCTCTTTCTCCCCCTTACCCATTACGGCCAAAGGGAAAAATCAATAGGATTTTAGTATCCATTTATGTTTATCAAATAACGTTGTTACCCTATCTTATTTGAAAGCAAAACAAAACAAATATCAGAAAAGTTAAATATCTCCTATTTCTGAAGGAAAGAATTTATTGTTACATTCTTTCCCATAAGTGTATCGTTAACTTTTTCTTTGTGGACCACAATGTCCTTTCCCCAGTCCCGTAGGATTGTTTGACTTTTGCTGAAACTTCTAGCCCAGTTGTGCGGAGTAGGTCACTGCTCTCTCTTCATTCCTACAGTGGCAGTCTGGGAGTAACCTGATGCTTTAGCTTTACTTGAGAAGGAAGAAACATCCACGTCAGTCATGGTTTAAGCTGCGTTCCCAGCCCTGGTTTTATCAAGTATGACAGCCTAATTATAAGGCTTCCTACACGAGTTAATGTAGGCAACCAAGATCTTCTTGTCCTAATGTGGGTCTCTTGTGTTGTAATGCAGTCCTTTTCTAGCATGTTCATAGAACGTGTTTATTTGAGACTAATCCTTCAAGAGACTCTGGATAATTTCACCCTCAAATTTCCTAACGTTGTCTGAGATAATCTACTTATATGACAACGCCAGGGGCCTTGGACAGCGTATGAAGGAGGAAATCTAAAGACATCAGAAGTGTTAGTGCTTAATGCAAATATTAATCATGATAAGGTGCACAACTGGACAGGGGCATTCAGGGTTGACAAGAATTCATATGAGAAATCCCAGCTGGTGGAGGTAAGAATTTTTGTTAACTGCCAGCCCAACATGTGCCAGCAGCATAGTTCAGCTGAGGATGTCAGAAAAGAGAATAGACTGGGCTATAATTTTGTGTTTTCCCTACTATAAAGTGCAAGTTGGAGCTTAGCAGTCATTCACTTGGGCTGTTGTATGAAATTTTCTGGCATCAAAATGGAGGAGATTAAGCTAAAATGATCCTTGTGGTCCCTTAAAACTGTAAAATTGGATGCTGCGATGTTTCTTTCTCTAATTTTTTAAATAATAAAGTATAATTTATCTTTAACAAAATGTACAGATACTAAACGTAATGTTTGATGAGGTCTGACAAAGGTATACACCTGTGTAACCCCTCCTCAGTCAATATATAGAACATTTTCATCACCCCATAACGTTTCTTGTGGCCATCTACCATCAATGTCCCTTCCCCATAGGTAATCACTGTTATGATTCCTATTAACATAGATTCTCGAACTTTATGTAAATGGAACTATAATAGTACAGTCATACATTGCTTAACAATGGGGATGCATTCTGAGAAATGCATCATTAGGCAATTTTGTCATTGTGTGAACATCATAGAGTGTATTTACATGGACCTACATGGTATATCCTCCTACACACCTAGACTAGATGGTATAGCCTATTGCTCCTAGGCTACAAACCTGTACAGCATGTTACTGTACTACTATAGGCAAATGCAACACAATGGTAAGTATGTGTGCATCTAAGCATATGTAAACATTGAAAAGGTGCAGTAATAATATGGTATTATGATTTTTATGAGACCACTGTCATATATGCTGTCATTGACCAAAATGTCATTATGTGGTGCCTGAGTATATGTACTTATTTATATCTGGCTTCTTTCACTTAACATAGTGTTTGTGAGATTCATTCATGTTGTTAAATGTACCGTGGTTCTTTCTGTTTTATTGCTGAGTTGTATTCCATTGTATGGGTATACCAAAATTTGTTTATCCATTCTCCTATTGATAGACATTTGAGTTTTGGGCTATTATGAATGAAGCAGAATAAATATTCTTGTACAAATCTTTAGGTAGACATATTTTTTTTCCTCTTGGATAAATACCTGGGAGTGGAGTTTCTGGGTCATAGGGTAGAGGGATTTAACTTTATAAGGAGCTGCAAAGTTCCTTACTGAAGTTTTCAAAAGTGATCGTATCATTTTACATTTCCACCAGCCATGAATGAGAGTCCAGGTGTCCTACATCCTGGCCACTCTGGTTTTCTTGTCATCACGTGCATCCATTTCCTCTGGGTGTGTTCCTAAGGAAACCAGAGAGATGACCACTGTTACTAGCAAAAGTTCACTTGAAAAGTTACCCTAAGCTAGACCAAATTAAAATAAAGAGTTTCTGCTCAGCAAAAGAAACTCAACAGAGTAAACAGACAACCTACAGAATGGAGAAAATATTCAAACTACACATCCAACAGAAGTCTAATATCCAGAGTCTATAAGGAACTTGAAACAATTGAGCAAGTGAAATACAAATAACCTCATTAAAAAGTGGGCAAAAGACATAAACAGACACTTTTCAAAAGAAGACATGCAAGCAGCCAACAAACATATGAAAACATGCTCTGCATCATGCATCGTCAGAGAAATACAAATCAAAACCACAATGAGATACCACCTCACACCAATCAGAATGACTGTTATTAAAAAGTCAAAAACCAACAGAATGCCTATACACTGTTGATGGGAAGGTGAATTAGTTCAGCTACTATGAAACGCAGTTTGGAAATTTCTCAAAGAACTTACAACAGAACTACCATTCATCACAGAAACCCTATTACTGGTATATATCTAAAAGAAAACAAATTCTTTTACCCAAAAGACACATGCACTAGCATCTTCATCACAGCACTATTCACAATAGCAAAGCCATGGAATCAAGTAGGTTCCCATTAATGGTGGATTGGATAAAGAAAATGTGGCTTATATACACCATAGAATACTACGCAGCCATAAAAAGAATAAGGTCATGTCCTCTGCGGCAACATGGATGCAAGTGGAAACCATTATCTTAAGTGAATTAATGTAGGAACAGAAAACCAAATACCACATGTTCTCACTTATAAGCGGGAGCTAAACAATAGGTACACATGGACATAAAGATGGGAACAATAGAAACTGGGGACTAGACAGGGGAGGTGGGGAGAAGGGCGAAGGTTAAAAAACTAACTGGTGGGTATTATGCTCAGTACCTGGGTGACAGGATCATTCGTATCCCAAACCTCAGCATCACATAATATACCCAGTAACAAACCTGCACACGTACCCCCTGAATCTCAAATAAAAGTTGAAAAAAGTTACCCTAAGCTGATAGGATGACCAGAAAATAGCATGCATTGATCACACTGGAGGTGACTTTTGAGTAAGGTTTAACTATTAATCATCTTAAGGTAAATTAAAGCTGCATTGTGATTTACAAATAACCATGTGGGGAAAAACATGTGTATGCTAGTGTATCATTTCCTCTAAGTGTCTTAGAATGACCTGAAAGCTGTAGTTGCTAGTGTTTTTGCATGAAGTACTTTGGAAGTTTGTTCTGGCAATGGGCAGATAGGAAGAAAGTAGCAAATTACTTGTCCATCAATCTGAGGTACTTTTAGAAAAAGAATCCCTGGCAAACTGGTAGTCTGTGTTAAGGGCTGCTTGGGGCTCAGAAAAGAATTCCCCAATAAATGGTACTTTGTCATGTGGAACTACAAAAACAGCCTCAAGATCTCTCTGCTCTCTGACACCCCCCTCCCCACGCCCCCATCTCAATCCTCTGTCTCTCTCAAAGCATAAGATGAAGCTGTTCTCAGAAGTTCTGTTATCTACCTGGAAACCTGACTGCCAAAGAGGGACACAGTTACCCCAATCTCCTGCCTGAAATTTCATTAACCAGAGAACTTTAAACTCAAATCACAGAGGAAGAGACTGAAAATTAAACACCACACCTAAAGCCCAGATAAACTTTGTCCCAAACTATCGTCTGTTCTCAGGTTCCGTTCAATTTCCAAAGATAATTATTTACTAACCATTGTCTGAGCAATGGGTGCATTCATTCCCCTTAATAATTATTTACTACCCCTCAAAATAGCCACATTCCTCCCGTCTCCCTTTCCCCATAAAAAAGGGCATATAAGCATCTGGACTTCACTGAGTTATTGGGTAATCATTCTCTTGCAACTGCCTCATGCTTATACACATTAATACATTTGTACGTCCTTTTCTCCTATTAATCTGTCTATTTTCAGTTCATTTTCAGTGATCCTTTAGAGTTCAGAGGAGAAGCCTTCCCTTGGCCTCCACAGCTTTAGGCATAAAAAAGCAGGGTTGGACAAAATATCATGGATCTAGCATATATGGAAGAAAATGTTGTACAAGGTGACTCTTATATTGTGAGTGAAGAGGTATTTTGCATGGTAGATTAATAATTTGCCATTATTTATTAAATGATTATTACATGCTAGGCACTGGACTCAGTATTTTCATATATTGATTCATTTAATCCTTGCAACAACCCTACAAAATATGCAATGTTAATTTCCCAGTATTATGGAAGAGGAAAATGAAGTTAACCCATGGACAGAACTATTACACAGTACAGCTAGGATTTGAACCCAACAGTCCATGATCAAGCTACACTTTGTTAAGAAAGTTAAGCTGAATAGTCATGTGAAAAAAAGTTTTGTGTGTATGGGTGTTATAGGGTGACCAGCAAGTCTTCAAGCACAAAAAACAATTTCATTAGGATAAAATTCTATGGGAGAAGTGGAATGAAATATGAGATTGATGATGAGAAGAAACATAAAGTTTCTTTCTATATTTAAGAAAATGAATGATAAGTATCTAAATGGTATTTAGATTCTATTGGACACATCACATTTAAATGAATGATGTGTGTTTTATTTGTAAACATCCATATTTATACTGCACTGGTAATTCTATTCTTTATAATTACTTAAGTTTATGATGAAAATCTTGAGATGTCGACTTAAAAATGGGTAAAGAGGTTACATGGGTTTTCAAACTCCTTAAGTGATACAGCAGTTAAATTCTGAAGACTATGACTTTTGAAGGGCAGGGATCCCGACTTAGTTACATTTTAATCTTTGCACTTGGCACAGTGCCCAGAATCTACAAAGTTTTCAGTCCACATTTGGAGAATGAAGATTCAAGGAAAACGATGTATTGTGAAAGGCTATGCACAAAAGTCCCAGAGCCACAGAAAAGACTTCATGCATCATCAGTGTCAATGAGGAGAAGCTTCTAATCTTCCAGACTTATTTCCTCTGCTCAGAAAATAGAATTCTAAAATAGTTATCTCATACCAACAAGCAAATACTTTTAATAATGATGACTATTGTGATCATGGTATTTTACAGCTTAGAAACTCTTTTGTGGACATCAGCTCATTATAGTCCTGGGTGGGGAGTGCAGCAGTTCCTTTCTTTCAGTCCTCATTGTCTATAAACTTTCATCAGGTTGATTTTTTTTGCCTCAGACAAGCAGTTAAGTCTTGGAATGCTACATGGCTGTGCAAGGACTGACATTTACTCAAGAAGGTGAAAGCAAGGGAGGGGAGGCAAGAAGGGGACTTCTCAACCTGAGTATTCTTTAGTTCCAAGACTATTATGAGATGCCTGCAACATGGGGTCATAGATTTCTGTCTACACAGGAGATAAGTGGACGTTCCCTGTGGTTCGTCCATCCATCCATTCAAAAAACATAAACACCCACTTTGTGCAAGATCTTGGGATAGGAGGTAAAGAGGTAAATAATGCTCACAAGGACACTTTCTCCTGCCTCAGCCTCCCTAGTAGCTGGGATTACAGGTGTGTGCCACCACACTTGGCTAATTATTTTGTATTTTTAGTAGACATAGGGTTTTGCCATGTTGGCCAGGCTGGTCTCAAACTCCTGACCTCAAGTGATCCACCTGCCTCAGCCTCCCAAAGTGCTGGGATTACAGGCGTGAGCCACCACACCCGGCCTAAAGCAAATACTTTAATGGGAAAATACTTATTTCAAAAAGCTGTCAGGCAGAATTATTGTTCCCCATATAAGTTAATATTTTCTGTAGTAGAGATGAATGCCAACCTTCCCCTCTATCCACTGAAGGTTTTCTGGAATGAACTGACAATAGACAGGCTAATAGGAGAAAAAGGCATACAAAATTTAATAATGTATGTAAGCATGGATGTCCCACAAATATGAAACTCAAAGAAGGGCCAGATTGTTGAGGCTTAAATACTCTCTTCATAACAAAGAGGGGAAATGGGAGATGTATGTAATTTTGAGGGATAGTTAATGATTTTTAGGGGAAATGCATGAAACCAAAGAACAGACAATTGGCCTGGGACAAAGTTCCACTGAGCTTTGGGGGAAGTGGAGATAAATTGCAGGAAGGTGAGGGACAGAACTTCGCTGTGAACAAAAATTGTCTTATTATGTAGATGAAGTCTCCCAGGTAATCTCTTAGAGCTGCCTTTGGAAGAATAGATGAAGTCTGTCTGGGTATGGTGATGACTTCTAGTCTTTTCTCTTCTCCAGTGGTTAATCTTTCCTTCTTTCTTGGTTATTTGATAAAATCCCTGGGGTGGAGGGTGGGGGGTGCAGGAAGGCCGGGGTGCTGTCCTTAAGATAATTACATTTCTTTTGGAAAAAAGTTGCCTTAGTTAGGAAATTCCAGAAAGAGTCCCTTTATGCCCTTGGAGGGGGAAAGAAACAAGGTAACCTAGATATCCTTAATTCTGAGGCAGCTTCTAAGGCCTTCCAATTTCAATTCAAAGTGCTCAGCATTCCAAAGCACCATACTTCTGAGTATTGTTCTGCATCCCAACACTATGAACAGAATATTCCTTCTACATAAATGGTATTAAATCTGAAATGTTAGTCCATAACTTCATGACAGATAATGAGTCATATGGATTGCTGTTTTTACCTGTTGCCCAAGTGGAAAACAGAAAGAAGAGAGGACCTTAAAATTATTTCTGTAAAACTTGTAATCTACCTTTAAAGTGATATGCCTGAGTATGATTTTTTTTGTAAACAGGAAGGGACAATGCTGGACTGCACATAAGCATCAGCTGCAGGGGTTGTTTATAATTCAATAGCTGTGGGGTGGGGCCCAGACAAGCTCTTTGGTGATGCTGTTACTGCTGGTATGAAAACCACATTTTGAGAGCCATTGGTTTAATCTCAAGGATATTTATGCTTCATTAGGATTCAGGAACTCCCAGGCTCAGTGGTAACATGGTTTCTTTGGCCTGATCTTTCCCCAGTCTCCAGTCTGTGATCCTTTTCCTCCTCTCTTCACTTCCCATTTCACTATGTACCCAACACTCTCATGCTCCCTTGACCCTCCTCTATCAAACATTGCTCTCAGGAAAGGGTTTTATATAAAATATTAGCATGATGTTATAGCAATGTTTTACCCTTTACAAGGTAATTGTCATTAGAGCTTATCCCTGCTTGTGGAATGGGACATATGTCCATGTTAACTTTTTAGGGCCAATTTGTGCAAATCACCTCTATATAGGTATCCTTATTGCCCAAGATCTATTGGTCCAGGTGCAACACACATCAAGGAGTTTCTGCCATATGGTGTACACAAACACACAAACACCAAATGAAGCAAACAAACAAACAACTGTCTGTATAATGAGGGGATGATTGTTAAGGCAACTTCCAGCCCTACTCTTCTATAATGATTTAAGCAAGTTCAGGGGCAAGGTAAACCTTTCTGAAGTGTTGGAATAGTCCTCTCTCCTACTTAGGTGCTAATGACACTTAAAAGACCCCACTGCCACCACAACCACCATCCTTTTCTTTATACCCATCAGTTGGCGAGAGAGCAAAACAGGTATCCACATTCCCGCTACTGAGATTATGAAAATTAATCTAAACGTGAAGTTGTATCCAGAATGAAAAATTTTAAATGATACTTTTGACTTAAGAATTGTTATTACAGTTAAACTCTGTTGCATTTAAAGCAATCACTAAGTATTAATGTAAGAAAGAAATACTTCCTTTTTATAATTTTGATGGTTGCCTTCTCTTCACCCCCCGAATTACAGGGTTTAATTTTTGGTAGATAAAGGGAGACAACCTATGATTACTTCTGGTGTGTGAAACTGAGAGAAATTCAACATTAACAATCTACCTACCAATGAGTTTGTAGCAGGTCATGTGTCTATTCATCTGGGTTAAGGTCAGGTGCAATTAATGACTGGATAGTCTAATTATTTCTTAATCTAGTTAACTTTTCAGTTGAGTGGTTGGACCTGAATTTCAATTAGAGCAGTCAGTGGAGAATAACAAATGTGTAAATGCTGTAGCCAGTGAATTTGAGAAATAAGAAGAAAAAAGCAAATGCTTTTGTCTCTAGAAAGGAGGGGCACAACTGGAAACTTTCCTGCTTTCTTTCAATGCTCTATCCCTGCCCTAAGGAGGAGCAGGGTGGAGCTTTGGTGATGTGGGGACAGGAAGGAAGGAGGGAGGCAATTTCTCCCAGGCCTAGAGATTATGTTTCAAGCAACATATTCTTATATTCCTCTACATTTCTTCTTCATACTTTAAAAAGTAGCCCCCCCAAACCCCTTACCCACACACCTCCACTTACCATCTGACCATTATTGAAGGCTGGTACATGATGGTGATACAGAGTTGGCAGTCAGATAAAAGCAATGCTGGGTGCAGATTCTTGACATATTACTGGTAGCCTTAACATGCTCTGAAACTGCAAAGAAAAGGAGGATGAACTATTTAATCAGAATGAGTTCAAGTACCTTAGAACAATAATGGAAATGATGTCAGCTACTGATTATAAGGCTTCACAATGCATTCCTTTTTTGATTAGTACATTTTACCCCTTTGGTTCGTCAGAGTAATTCACTGAAAGATTGTGGGAGGTAGTGAAGCTTAATGCACAGCGAGTATACCAATTAGGAATGCATTCAACTGCTGGTAACAGATCTCAGCTTACCTCCTAAATGCTAGGCAAAATATGAAGCTCTTTTCAAATATGATTTCTTATCTTCACAGCAACCTTGCAAGATAGTTTTTTTTTTAATAAGTTAATTTTTTTAGATAATGAAGCTGAAGCCCAGAGTAGTTAAGTAACTTGCTCAAGGACACAACCTTAAAATAATAGCCTCTCCTGATAGTTTCCAAATCAGTAAACATTATAGCATTACTTGAGAATATAAAATGTGTAAATCAATTCGTAAAACTCAGGATCAATTTCCATGTGGCCTGATGAAAAACACAGAGGGGCATGTTCCTAAGTGGAAAAGAGGTCCAGGGACAGGGTTATCTTTTAGTTAGGGAGTATCCACGGGTTGTACATTTTGTACTTGCTACAAATGGATAGATACTTAGAGGTAAGCATTACTTAGAGGGAGAGGGGTTGGGTACAAAGGACGAGTGTGTTCCCTGTGGTATATACTGTAGGTTGTCTCAACATTCCCTTCCAACAGCCTTCACCCCTCCTTTTGCTATAAAGGCTATAATGCTGAAAACCTTATTTTCTAATGAGATACAAACGGACAGCTATTGAGGGTGGTTCTGGGAAAGGTTTTCTTTCTGAACACAAGGGGAGACTGTGTCAGCTGTCATGGTCCCTGGCCTTTTTTTGTCTTGAATGTAGACTTGACATATGAAGCTGCGCTAGCCATCTTACAGTCATGAAGACAAAAGCCAGTACACTAAAAATCATGGATCAAAAGAAGAGAAATAACTGAGTCTTTTGATCATATTACCAACCCAAGATTGTCTGCCTTTGAATTGCTCATCATGTGAGAAAAATAAATTCCTATTTGTTCCAGCAACTGTAAGTTGAGTTTCATGTTATTTACTGTTGAATATATTCCCAATTGACATCACCTCCATGGTATAAACCTCACCCCAAACCCCATAATGTTTTGCTATAATAGCCTGATAATCCCAAGGAAAAAATAGTGTACCTGTCAGAAAAGTGATAGAGAGTAAAGCCTTGTAATGCATGAAATCAGCATTGTAAATAGTGAAACATAAGCCATGCTTGCAAATTGTGAAATGCAAGTTTATATTTTTCTACAGCAGTATAAGAATCATAAATGTATAGGAAAAGATGAAAAGAAAAGTGAAAAACAACCTGCAGATCAGACTATTGTTCAGCATGTATTCATTCCTTCCTACTCCACCTCCCAAAAACTTCTTGGGAGGAGTATACCTACCTTCCCCATTGATGTTAGGCTTTGCCATATGATTGCTTTGGCCAATGGGATGTGGGCAGAAGTGAGAGGGTACCAGTTCTGAGTCTAGGTCTTAAGAGATATAATGTGTTTCTGACCTATGGCATTTTTGCTAGCACCATGACAAGAGTACACCTAAGGTAAGCTGCTGGTCTAAGGAGGATGAGAGATGTGTGGAGCAAAGTTGAACTAAACCCACACATTGGAGCTAAGCCCAGCCAAGATCAGCCAAACTCTAGCTAACCCCAGGATACCACATGAGGGAGAAATACATGTTATTGTACAGCACTAGGTATTGAAGTGGCATGTTATGCAGCATTAGTATGTCAAATAGCTAACTGATACAGAACCCCGACAGCATAATCTCATGGAGAGAGATACCATAATAGCAGAAGATAGTCCTGCTCAACTACACTATTCACACTAAAACACTGACCCAAATTAGCAAAATTATACTGTCCTGACTGGTTTTTAATCTCTGTAGGCTTTGAAGAGGGTTATTGATATAGGAAAGAGTCAATACAGTTTTCGACTTTGGAGAGAACTGGGAAAAGATGTAAATAGGCATAGGAGCAGGAATGGCGTCCTGATTTTACCAATAAAAACAGAGAAAATATTAAGGGGTTCTCAGCCACCATCTCAGAAGAGATTTGGGAAAAAAAAACACAGTCATGACTATAAGCGCTTAGCATGACCCTGAAACTTCATAACTTTCTCATATTTGCTATTTTCTGCCTGTTTCTCCATATGAGTAGTAGCAAAATCTTTGAAATCAGCAGAAAAGTGTTTGTCCTAATTTTGAGGGGAAAATGAAAGAGAGGTACAAGAAAGACTGCTCCTACTCCATAGCTAGTCTTGCGGAGAATTACCAAGAGATTGTAGTAAGAGTAGAGGAAGGAAAAGCAAACTGAGGCACTGATAATTGAAGTATGAGGTATTAGGCAAAAGGAAGAAATAAAGGATATACAAATTGGAAAGGAAGAAGTCAAATTGTCCTGGTTGCAGATGACGTGATCTTATAGATAGAAAAACCTAAAGACTCCACCAAAAAACTCTTACAACTGATAAACAAATTCAGTAAAGTTGAAGGACACAAAATCAGCAAAAATCAGTAGTGTTTCTATATACTGACAAACTAGTTGAAAAAGAAATCAAGAAAGCAATTTGTGTTTCAAAAATATTTGGGTACATAGTAGGTGTATATATTTATGGGGTATATGAAATACTTTATATGTAAAAATCACATCATAGAAAGTGGGGTATCCATCCCCTCAAGTATTTATCCTTTGTGTTACAAACAATCCAGTTATACTTTTAGGTATTTTAAACTGTACAATTAAATTATTATTGATGCTAGTCCCTCTGTTGTGCTATCAAATCTAGATCTTATTCATTCTTTCTAACTATTTTTTTTTTGTACCCATTAACCAGCTCCGCCTCCTTCCCCCTCCTCACTACTGTTCTCAGCCTCTGGTAACCATCCTTCTATTCGCTATCTTCATGAGGTCAATTGTTTTGATTTTTAGATCCCACAAATAAGTGATAACATGTAATGTTTGTCTTTCTGTGCCTGGCTTATTTCACTTAACATAATAATCTCCAGTTCCATCCATGTTGTTGCAAATGACAGGATCTCATTCTTTCGTATGGCTTAATAGTACTCCATTGTGTATAAGTACCAAAATTTCTTTATCCATTCATCTGTTGATGGACGCTTAGGTTGCTTCCAAATCTTGGCTATTGTGAACAGTGCTGCAACAAACATGGGAGTGCAGATATCTCTTCTATATGCTGGCTTCCTTTCCTTTGGGTATATATCCAGCAGTGGGATTGCTGGGTCATATGGTAGCTCTATTTTTAGTTTCTTGAGGAACCTCCAAACTGTTCTTCATAGTGATTTTACTAATTTACATTCCCACCAACAGTGTGCAAGTGTTCCCTTTTATCCACATCCTTGCCAGCATTTGTTATTGACTGTCTTTATAAGCCATTTTAACTGGGGTGAGATATTGTAGTTTTGATTTGCATTTCTTTGATGATCAATGATGTTGAGCACCTTTCCATATACTTGTTTGCCATTTGTATGTTTTCTTTTGAGAAATGTCTATTCAAATGTTTTGCTCATTTTTTGATGGGTTTATTAGATTTTTTTCCTATAGAGTTGTTTGAGCTCCTTATATATTCTGATTATTAATCCCTTGTCAGATGGATAGTTTGCAAATATTTTCTCCCATTTTGTGGGTTGTCTCTTGACTTCATTGATTGTTTCCTTTGCTGTGAAGAAGCTTTCTAATTTGATGCCATCCCATTTGTCCATTTTTGCTTTGGTTTCTTGTGCTTGTGGGTTATTATGCAAGAAATTTTTACCCAGACAAATGTCCTGGAGAGTTTCCCCAATTCTTTTGTAGTAGTTGCATAGTTTGAGGTATCTGATTTAATTTTTTAATCCATATTGATTTGATTTTTGTATATGGTAAGAGACAGGGATCAAGTTTCATTCTTCTGCATATGGACATCCAGTTTTCCCAGCACCATTCATTGAAGAGACCGTTTCTTTCCCCAGTGTATGTTCTTGGCACCTTTGTCAAAAATGAGTTCATTGTAGGTGTGTGGATTTGCTTCCAGGTTCTCTATTCTGTTTCATTGGTCTATGTGTCTGTTTTTATGCCAGTACCATGCTGTTTTGGTTACTGTAGCTCTGCAGTATAATTTGAAGTCAGATAATATGATCCCTCCAGGTTTGTTATTTCCATTTAGGATAGCTTTGGCTATTCTTTTCTTCTTTTCTGTTTTTTTGGAGACAGAGTCTCACTCTGTCACCCAGGCTGGAGTGCAATGGTGTGATCTTGGCTCACTGCAACCTCTGCCTCCCGGGTTCAAGCGATTCTCCTGTCTCAGCCTCCCAAGTAGCAGGGATTACAGACACGTGCCACCATGCCCAGCTAATTTTTTGTATTTTTAGTGGAGACGGTTTCTCTGTGTTAGCCAGGATGGTCTCGATTTCCTGATCTCGTGATCCACCTGCTTCAGCATCCCAAAGTGCTAGGATTATAGGCATGAGCCACTGCGCCTGGCCAGCTTTGGCTATTCTAAAATTATGTGATTCCACTTACATTTTAGGATTGTTTTTTCTATTTCTGTGTATAATGACATTGGCATTTTGACAGGGTATGCATTGAATCTGGTAGATTGCTTTGAATAGTATGGACATTTTAATAATGTTGATTCTTCCAGTCCATGAACATGAAATATCTTTCAATTTTTTGGTTTTCTCTTCAATTTCTTCCATCAGTGTTTTATAGTTTTCATTATAGAGCTATTTCACTTCTTTGGTTAATTCCTAGGTATTTTTTTTTGTGTGTGGCTATTGTCCTTCCCACTCTTTCCTCCCCTTTCCATAGGCAGAGGATCCTCTCTCCATGGCTACCACCACCAGCCCACAGAGAGTTCTGTCAGGCCACTACTGATGTTCACTTAACGGCTCCTCAGTCAGCTTGTGGTGAATATGGCCCTGGGACTCACCCTTCAAGGCAGTGGGATCCTTTCTGGCCCAGGGCATGTCCAAAAATGCTGTCCAAGAGCCTAGGCCTAGATTCCAAGTGCCTTCTTGGTGCTCTACTTCACTGTGGCCAAGGTGGTACCTGAAGCCAACACATCTCAGATTCTCTCACCCAAGGCCCATGGCATACTATTTGGGTAGTACTGTTGGTTATTCATGCTCTTCAGTCAGCAGGTCATGAATACTGCCAGGACTGAGTACTTCCTTTCAAGGTAGCATGTTTCCTTTTGGTCCAGGGTATGTGTAGAAATGTTTTCCATGAGCTAGGACCTGGGATGGGGGTCTCATGAATCTGCCTGGTGCTCTATCCTATTGTGACTAAGCTGGTATCCAAGATGCAAGACAAAGTCCCCTTTAATCATCTCTCTCCTCTCCTCAAGAAGAAGAAAGAAGTCACTTTCATTGCTGCAAGCTGGAGTTGGGGGAGGGGCGTGCAAGCACTCCTGCAGTGAAAGCAATCTGTCTTGTGTCTGCGAACCCTACGGGCTTACTTCTTCCCCCAATATCTTTGAATAGAGGCACTGAATTGCAGAACAGCAAACTTAAGCTCACATGGAGTCCAGCATTTTTTGTTTGGGCAACTGAATAAGATTTTTAGGAATTCAGATGACAGGATAACTACTTTTGTCTATGTTCTATTTCTTTGCTTTTTCTGTATGATTATGCCACCATTCATTTTTTATGACATGGTATGTCATCCATCACTTTTAAAACAGTTTTTCAAGGCAACATTGACATATAATAAACTGTACATATTTAAAGTGTACAAGGTGATAGGTTTTGACATATGTATACATCTATGAAGTCATCACCATAATTAAGATAACGAACATATCCATCACTGTCAAAAAAAATTTTTTATGCTTACTTATAATGACTCCCTCCTGCCCCTCTCTACCCCCATTCCTAGGCAACCATTGATTTGCTCTCTGATATTACAGATTGGTTTCCATTTTCTAGAATTTGTGCCCATCAAATCATAAAGTATGCACTCTTTTTGTCTGGGCTCTTTCACTCAGCATAATTATTTTGATATTCACAGATCTTATGTGTAGCAACAGTTCATTCCTTTTTATCACTGAGTAGTATTTCATCATATGAATATACCATGATTTGCTTATCCATTAATTATTCATCATTCTTTAATGGTTTGAGAAAATTATTTTGTGGGCAAGGAAATTTTAGCAGTAAGGAAATTCTGTCCCTCAAATTTATTCTTATATGAGAGGGACAGTTTATGCACCATTTTAAGAAACATCAGTGGACAAATAATCTGGCAATTGCATGGTTATATAAACTGCAGGTATAGATGTCACACAAAATAAACTGTGATTATTTTACATTTTTAAACAAGGACTAATGTTGTAATGACCTACGAAGATATTCTAAATGGAACCCAATTTATTAAAAAATAAAATCCAACATTTACAAAGATAAAACAAGCATTTATCCAGTAAATTAAGTGTTTATTTGCTTAATCCCATTATTTTAGGAATTAGGGATATCCCTATGCTTAGCCAATCCAAGGAAGCTTTCTGTTTCTTCCTAACAAAAGGTCTAGCTTTATCTTTTGACCTGCTTCTGTCTTCCTTCTGTTAATATGCTATGATCCATAGTACTCTACCCTTAAGATTTTAATAAGAAAAGTAACAAAGAATGTCTCTCTGATTAAACAAATATTGGATAGACAAATGTTTTCTTTGCTCAAAATTGATATTTGTTCTAAGTTCTATTAATTATCTATTGCTGTATTACCCCAAAACTTAGAGGCTTAAAAAATAATAAACTCTAACAAACAATATGCAATTTTAGTACATCAGGAATTCAAGAGTGGCTTGATGGGTGTTTCTGGCTTTGGGTCCCTGATGAAGTTGTAGTCAAGAAGTCATCCAGGGCCGTAGTCATCTCATAGCTTGACAGGAGCTGGAAGATCCACATCCAACATGGATCTCATGAGGCTCTTGCCATGTGAACCTCTCCACAGGGCTTGTGAGTGTCCTCATGATATGGCAGCTAGTTTTCCCTTAGAGCAAGTAATCTAAAAGATCAATGGTCTTATTGAAACCCTTTTGCAGAATTGTACATAATGAGAGAAATCTAACATGACTGACTCCATCTTGCTTCTAACCTCACAAGCTAAATTGTTGTTTTGCTTACTGTAGCACAGACAAGATAATTATGAGAATTTAGTGTATAGTTAAACACTGAGGCAAGGGAAATTGACCCCCTCTTTGTCCAGAGCTTGAAGCCACATTGATATAGTTGGGATCTGTGTCCCTGTTCAAATCCATGTTGAATTGTGATCCCCAATGTTGGAAGTGGGACCTTGTGGGAGGTGACTGGATCATGGCGTGTATCCCTCATGAATGGTGTAGTACCATCCTCTTGGTGGTGTTCTCATGATAATGAGTGAGTTCTTACAAGATCTGTTTTTTGTTTTGTTTTGTTTTGTTTTTTTAAATGAGGTCTCGCTCTCGTCCTCCTGGCTGGAGTGCAATGGCGTGATCTCTGCTCACTGCAACCTCCACCTCCCGGGTTCAAGCGATTCTCCTGCCTCGGCCTCCCAAGTAGCTGGGATTACAGGCGCCTGCCACCATGGCCAGCTAATTTTTGTATTTTTAGTAGAGATGGGGTTTCAACATGTTGGCCAGGCTGGTCTCAAACTCCTGACCTCAGGTGATCCACCCATCTCGGCCTCCCAAAGTGCTGGGATTACAGGCATGAGCCACTGTGCCTGGCCAAGATCTGGTTTTTTAAAAGTGTGAGGCAACTCCTGTCTCTTTCTCTCTTGCTTCTGCTTTCACCATGTGACATATAAGCTCCAGCTTGGCCTTGTGCCATGATTGTAAGCTTCCAGGGGCCTCCTCAGAAGCAGACACTGCTATGCTTCTTGTACGTACAGCCTGCAGAACCGTGAGCCAATTAAATCTCTTTTTAACATAAATTACCCAGTCTCAGGTATTTCTTTATAGCAATGCAAGAATGGCCTAACACAAGCGTTCATAAGGCAAGGTTAAAATTACAGTAGAGCCTTAAACTTTGCTAAAGAATAGACATAGTTAAAAAAGGACCTGCCATCATTTAGCGTGTTTCCCAGAGTTATGTAACAAGGGGTTGCAAGATTTGTGATTTACTCAACTACTCCTATAGATAGCATCACTGTTGTGAAACCTAGAGAACTGATCTTTGAGATATTTTTCAGACTTAGCATTTCAATACACCAAGAGACACCACTTGGTCCTGAACTTTCACTCCTGGGAACTGACTGAGCTGCATGAAGACAATTTTAGATGCCCTTGTGATTTCATCCCCAGCCAATCAGTTGTTCCAGTTCCCCACCCCGCTGCCCACCAAAATACACTTAAAAACCCTGCCTTTGAATTCTCAGGGAGACAAGTTTGAGAAATTTCTCCCTGTTCTCCCCACTTGGCCAGTTCCGTGATTATTAAACTCTTTCTTTGCTACAACACCTGCTGTTCACATTGTTTTTGGTGGTGGAGGGCAGCAGTCAAGACGAACCCATCAGGTTGTGGCATTATGACCTAGCTTGAAGAAAATCATACTGTGTCAGTTCCACCATGTTCTATTGGTTACATAGGTCAGCCCTATTCAGTCGGTGGGGAGGCTTATATAAAGGCATGAATACCAGAGAGCAGGACCATTGAGTGCTATCTTGGAGGCTGGCTACCAAATTTTCTAATACACATTTTCAACACGGTCTCTCTTGGACTGCTCTGAGAATCTTTTAAAAAATGAATTGACAATTTAAACTAGTGGTTCTCCCCTGCCCAGCCCCTGCCCCAGAAACATTTGCCAATATCTGGGGACATTTATGGCTGTCCCAAACGAGGGGAAGGGGTGCTACTGGCACATTTGTGCATCTAGTGGGTAGAAGCTAGGAATGATGCTAAACATCCTAAAATATACAAGACATTCCCCCCAACAACAAAGAATTATGCAGCCAAAATATCAACAGTGACAAGCCTAAGAAACCCTGCATTAAACTGTTACAATCTGCTAGGATAAACAGTTTTTCCTTACAAATCCTTCAATATATCATATAGATTCTGCTTTTCATTTTTAGTCAAGTGTAATCAGATTAAGCAAAATTGAGTTATTACAGTGCAAAATCAAATTGCAGGTGCACAACCAAAAGGGAGTGGGCAGCAGAAATGAGTTGGGCCAAGAAATACATACACACACACACACACACACACACACACACACACACATACACGCTCACACACACATACACACACATACACACATACACACATGCACATGCTCTCACAGACGCTCTCACACATACACACACACACATACATACACACGCTCTCACACACACATATACACACGCTCTCACACACACATACACACACATGCTCTCACATACATACACACACATATACACACACGCTCTCGCACACACACACACGCTCTCACACACACACACACAAGTCCCTTTCCCCAGAAGAGCTGTATGTGCGTTGGGGGGAGGGCTTCCCTTTTAGGTGATAGACTTGCTGAATTTGCAAAAGCGGCATCACATTATGCTATTTTATTAACAACTCCTTAATAAAGTAACTAGAAACAGCATTACCTGGGTGACACTGTGAATTCTGCAAAAATCAATCTGGGATTTTAAAGACAAGCAGAAGAATGAGAATGTGAATTCGATTGAGTTTTGTTGACAACATATAGTTTATAGAGCTTTCCTCTAACCCTTGAAAAGTCTTCTTTGCATCTGTAGTTTATCCGAGCACTCAGAAGGGGTTAAGTTAATAAATCCATAACAAAGTAGCTGGGTCTGCCAGTGACTGATCTCCTCCTTCCTCAAAAGTGCTTAGAAGCTGAGGAGTGATTATTAAGCAGACTGCCAGATTCGGGGACAGCCTCAGGACTCCTTGTGCTCTCTAACAATTAGGGAGATAAAAAAAGATAAGCCTGAACTCTAATTGTCCTTGAACAAACCATGCAGAACTGAATTGGCTTCTGGGCAATGTTCAGAGCCACTGGGACAATGGACAAAAGCTGGATTGAACCATACCTCCTGAGTGTCTCTAGGCTAGGACATGAGTAATGATTCTTAAAAAAAAAAAATGTAAATGTATCTTTGCGTTGTAAGTTCCGCCAGTTGAAGAATACATATACCTATATTCTTAATCTTGTTTTAGAAAACAAGACTTGGCCCGGCGTGGTGGCTCACACCTGTAATCCCAGCACTTTGGGAGGCAGAGGCAGGTGGATCACTTGAGGTTAGGAGTTCGAGACCAGCCTGGCCAACATGGCAAAACCCCATCTCTACTAAAAATACAAAAATTAGTCTTGCGTGGTGGCACATGCCTGTAATCCCAGCTACTTGGGAGTCTGAGGCACGAGAACTGCTTGAACCCGGGAGGCAGAAGTTGCAGTGAGCTGAGATTACGCCACTGCACTCCAGCCTGGGTGACAGAGTGAGACTCTGTCTCAAAACAAAAAACAACAAAAAACCCCCACAAACTTAAGAAATAACTGTAAAATGTTTTCCTCTCTTCCACATGGGAAACCATGTGAAGTGTTGGGAGGAGAGGAATAAAATAATTCCTAGAGATTAGCATACCTAAAAGTAGGGGAATCCATTATCTCATCCCCCAGTTTAGCATCTGCTTGGGCAGCAGATAAGAGAGAGACACAAAGAGAAATAAGAAAGAAAGAGACAGACGAGAGAGAGAAAGAGAGGAAGAGAGAGAGGAGAGAGAAATGTTATCTTCTATGGAAACAGGATCTTTGCAGATGTGATTGAGTTAAGAATCTTGACAGTCTCATTGGGCTGAAATCAAGGTGTCAGCAGGGTCAGACTCTGTCTGGAGTCTCTAGAGGGGGTCCATTCCTTGCCTCTTCCAGCTTCTGGTGGCTGCCTTCTTCTTTAGCTTGTGGCCTTATCACTCCAATCTCTGCCTCTGTGGTCACATTGCCTTCTCTGCTTGTCTGTCAAACCCTCCTCTACCTCTTTCTTATAAGGATCCATATGATTGCATTTAGTGCCCACCGTGATAATTCAAGATAATCTCCCCATCTCAAGATCCTTAGCTTAATCACGTCTGAAAAGATCCTATTTCTATATAGGTTAACAACATTTACAGGTTCCAGGGATTAGAACATAATATATTTGGGGTGGGGGAGACATTTTCCAGCCTAATGTATCTTGCCCTGCCTTCCCCTAGTCCTTCCAGGGTCTAACTCCACACCCTGTTTATCTGCACACACACACACACACACACACACCCCTCCCCCAGCCTGTTTTCTTCCTCAATAAAGTTTGATGACCCCAAATCTTTAACAACTGAAAACTTATTAGTCTGAAGAGCTAAACTCCAGCAGGAGAGGGCTGTGTTTGCATTCCACTAGTGGTGGTGCTAATGGTGAAGTAGGTTTTGGTAGATCTTTCTCATGGAGCAAAGACAAGGAAGAAAAACAAAGGAGAATGTTAACTTTCCATATTGAAAGAGATTGAATACTCTTATTTTTCTATGTGAAGAAATCATATGATTTCTTCACATAGAAAATCATATGTAAATCATATGATTAGTCAAGGAGCTGTTATAAAAATGAGTATAGAGATATCTTGCCAGAGAAATGGCTAATCATTGTTGGTCCTCAAAGGTAAACCTTGGTTGGATATTTTTGGCTTGAATTCTATAAGCCAAAAATATAAATGCTTCCCAAAAGTCTAGAAGATGCTGTCCTTCCTTTCCCTTGCACCTGTCTGTCTAGGAGACCTCCTTGTTTTCATTCAATAAAAACCTAAGGGGCTCACTCTGAAGCTTTTACTTTGAAAGCTAGAAATTAAATGTATACTGTTTATCTGAGGCTCAACCTCTGCATATTTTATATGGCTCTTCAGCTTTGGTTAAAAGACTTTCTGCTACCTAGTGGGTGTCATTAAATACAGACCTGATGTATCTAGCTAGAGGAACAATACTTCTGAAATCAGTGTGCTTTAGGTTTATAAGAAAAGATTTTTTAAAAATTCAGCTACATATACATAAGGAGGAATTTGTTTTAGAAAAAAGATTAAAGCTAGAAGAGATCTGAAGTTAAATGGTAAACTTGTTCAGTTTACAGATAAAGAAACTGAGGTCCAGAAAGATAACAAGATGTATCAGTTAGCTATTGCTGTGTAACAACCAACCAGACAATTTTAGCAGCTTATAATAAGCATGTATTTAGCTAATGCGTCTCTGAACTAGCTGAGTTTTGGCTGATCTAGGCTTTTGTGGCTTGGGCAGTTCTGTGGTTTGTTGCCCATGACTCTCATCTTCCTCGAACCAGTGGGCCAACTAGATGGTGGTGTTGAGGTGATGGTGAAGGCACAAGAGGGCAAGTGGACATGTACAAGGCCTTTTAAAGCCTACACTTGGAACTGAAGTAATTTCTGCTCATATGTCATTGGCCAAGGTATATCACATGGCCAAAACCAAAGTTAAGGGGCAGGGAAATAGTCTCTGCCCACAGTGAGGTCCTGCCAAGGGTATTGATTGGAGGTGGGGTGATGAATTGGAGGCAATCAATTAATCCTGCACCCAAAATTTGCCTAAGGTCAAAAAGCGATTGGCCCAATTAGGACACCAGAATTCGGGGCTCCTAACCCCCAAATCCACAGTTTCCCCATTAACCAAGCAGGCACTTAGTGGAACAAATAATAGATATATTTAAAATATCTCTTTGGAAAATGTAATTTATCAAGATGACAACACTGCACAACTGATTGCATTTATATTATCTGGATTTACTATTTTCTGTCTATGTAATTATTAAGAGCCATTCATAGATTTCTATAATTATGATCTGCAAAGGCTTATGAAACCTTGACGCATGTTAAACTTGGTACTGTTTTCATTCATTGTCAACCCAAGTTTCTCCAGCCTGTGAGTACTAAAGTGGTCATATTAAAAACAAAAGTCCAGATTTCGCCGGTTTTACAAAATCCCTTTCTGGCAGCTTGTAAGAAGCCTTCCCATTGTCTTCTCCTTGAATCCCTCAAGGGTATCTGCTACTTGGCGCTGCTGATCACCACAGCTAGCACCTCTGGGAGAGTGCTGATGTCCCAGGTACTCCAGAACTGTGAACCCTCTAGTCACCAAAGTTACATTATATTCCCTGCAGCCTTCATTCACTGTCCTCAGCAGAGCTATAGTACAATGCTGCTTGTGACCTGTGCATTCAGGATTTCTCACTAAAATGGGTTCCTCAGATTTTCTTTCTTTCTTTCTTTTTTTTTTTTTTTTTTTGGAGACAGAGTCTCGCTCTGTTGCTCTGTTGCCCAGGCTGAAGTGTAGTGGTGCAATCTTGGCTCACTGCAGCCTCTGCCCCTCGAGTTTAAGTGGTTCTTCTACCTCAGCCTCCTGAGTAGCTGGGATTACAGGCACCTGCCACCACGCCTGGCTAATTTTTGTATTTTTAGTAGAGACAGTGTTTCACCATGTTGGCCAGGCTGGTCTTGCACTCCTGACCTCAGGTGATCCTCGTGCCTCAGCCTCCCAAAGTGCTGGGATTATAGGCATGAGCCACCGCACCTGGCCATGGGTTCCTCAGATTTTCTTATTAGCCCATCTCTCCAGAAAGCTCAGACATCAAGCCAGAGGCCTATATTCAAAAGACTATTTTTGACTCTTCCCCAGGTGCTAAGCAAACTTCCTCTTCCTTCAGCCAAGGATGCTTATGCAAATCACTTTATAGATATAAATTGACTAGAGATATTTATATCAAAGTTTACACCTGAACTAAGACCTTATCAGTATATTTTGTTTGAAGAATGAACTCTTAGATTAACATTAAAAATATTGTTGCCCAAAATGGAATTCAGCAAATGAGTGAGTCAGTCACTCCCATTAAGAAAGAAAAATTAATGATGAATAGCTGATTTTAGTGACTTTCTCTGTAGTTCTTTTGATTTTTCTTTTTTAGAAATTATTACTTGAGGATTTTTAATGGGTTTCTAAAATGCAATTTATAGAAAACTTCTCAATTTCATGGGGCATAACTAAGTTGAATTAGAACATGGCAAATCCATTTAATTTTGCTGAGAATGTATTTAGAAACTGAATCTTCTGCTAAATGCTTCTGCCAAAGGCCATTTTTTTCTCTGCGCTGAAATACATTTTCAACATGGCTCTAAAGATGTGGATGAAATGGCAATCCCAATTTCAGCTTTTCTTTTCAGTTTATATATCTGTACCTTATTTACCCTTGGGTAGAAAAACAAAATGGAAGAACCTCTTTAGCAAATACTTTCCTCATTAGGTAGCACATTGTAATGAGGGATCTGGCTTAGCCCCTCGCAAACATTTTAAGCCAAAAGCAAACATGAGCATTTCAAATGACCCTTCTGAAACTCATCTGTCTCAATGTTATAATTTTATGCTGAACTCTTTTGAAACTTACTATCTTCTCTCTATATTTACCAACCAAAGAGATAAAAACCCAAAGTATTGCTATTTTATAAACATAAAATTATGTTATATTAAATATGGTTTTTAAAACTATACATACCTCCGAGATATTCTGATTCGCCCTTGTACAAAAGCACTGCCCCCAGTCATTTTTATAAGTGCTGTTCTTCTAGACTCTACTGGTAAAGCATCTACTGTCTATCTCCCCATATCTACTTGGGCCTTACCATTTTAGTGGGCAGGCTTAATTTCTAACTGCCAATATGTCATCTCTTTTCCTGAGGATTTTCTGTGGCCACTGAAGCCCTCTCTATCCATGCACATGGAAGGCCAAAAGTGCCAGGAAATTACCATCTTCCTAGGAACAGTTCTCAACCAATGTCCAATGAAAGTTGACATATAAACACCCCCACTCCCTTCCCTCTCCAGTAGAATAATTCTCAGACATTTGTTTATTTTATACTGACTCCCAGAGTTTCCCAGTGTGATTGAATTCTAGTTACTCACAGAGGAAATTTGCTTGATAATATAGCCTTTATTGGCCCTTTCCCTTCCCTGACGTGCTACCCTACTCACCTACCAGAACTTCCTAGATTATCTGCCAAATAAATTATTTGAAGTCAAATCTGTGTCTCAAGGTCAGCTTCTTTAGAAACTAAACTTATTAATGGTATCAAGAAGACCATCATGCCCTGATACCAAGAAGTGGGCTGCTGCTGTAATAAATACCTAAAAATGTGGAAGCAGTTTTAGAACTGGGTAACGTGTAGATGCTGGAAGAGTTTTGAGGTGCATGCTAGAAAGAGCCAACATTGCCATGAATGAACTCTGTATTAGTCTGTTCTCACACTGCTAATAAAGACATACCTTAGACTGGGTAATTTATAAAGAAAAAGAGGTTTAATGGACTCATGGTTCCACATGGCTGGGGAGGCCTCACGATCATGCCAGAAGACAAAGGAGGAGCAAAGCCGCGTCTTACATGGTGGCAGTCAAGAGAGCATGTGCAGGGGA
This sequence comes from Homo sapiens, assembly GCF_000001405.40. Taxonomy (NCBI): domain Eukaryota; kingdom Metazoa; phylum Chordata; class Mammalia; order Primates; family Hominidae; genus Homo; species Homo sapiens. The sequence continues at coordinate 16,106,376 of NC_000023.11, forward strand.
ACTGCCCTTTATAAAACCATCAGATCTCATAAGACATATTCACTATCAAGAATAGCACAGGAAAAACCCACCCCCAGGATTCAATGACCTCCCACTGGGTCCCTCCCACAACACATGAAGATTATGGGAGCTACAATTCAAGATGAGATTTTGGTGGGGACACAGCCAAACCATATCAAACTTTTAAAGATAATTCTGCTGAGGGATCAGAAAAAAAAAAATGAGTAGAGCTGTAGAGAAAGCCTCAGTCTTCTTAGAAAATACCTAAATGGTTATAAACATAATATTGGTAGAAATATCAACAGTAAAGGCTATTTTGATATGGTTTCAGATGGAAATACAGAACACGTTATTGGAAACTGGAGAAAAGGCAAACCTTGTTATAAAGTGGCAAACACCTTGGCTGAATTACATTGTGGGCTCTGCTCCCTGTGCTCTACTGCCACCTTCCTCAGTTGCCCTAGGTGTGGCTTGAGTGGGTGCAACAAACTGTGTTGCACCCAAAAAAGCCGTGGGAACAGAGCTTCCTGGAGTCTTGCAGGTCCAACTGATGCCCAGCAAAGCTGCAGAGGCAGGACCTCCAGCCCAGTGCGTCGGGAAAATGGGCCTTTTTCTCCAGTGTGTCCGTAAGTTGGGACCTTCACCCTGGTGGATCTGGAAGGCAAAGCATTGAGGCAAAGAAGATTATTCTCAAGCCTTAAGGTTTTGGACTCGCTCAGGACATGGTACTCCTTTCTTCTTTTCTATTCCTGTTTTGGAATGGGAATGTCTGCCCTGTGCCTATCTCACCATTGTATTTCGGAAGCACATAACTTGTTTGATAACACAGGCTCACTGTTGAAGAGGAATTTACCTTAAATCTCACCCATATCTGATTTAGATTATATTTATGTTGGTTTTTGTTTGTTTGTTTGTTTTTATTTTGTTTGTTTGTTTTGAGACAGAGTCTCACTCTGTAGTCCATGCTGGAGTGAAGTGGTGTGATCTTGGCTGACTGCAACCTCCGCCTCCTGGGGCAATTCTCGTGTCGCAGTTTCCCAAGTAGCTGGGGTTACAGGTGTGTGCCACCATGCCTGACTAATTTTTGTATTTTTAGTAGAGATGGGGTTTCGCCATGTTGGCCAGGCTGGTCTCAAACTCCTGGCCTCAAGTGATCCACCTGCCCGGCTTCCCAAAGTGTTGGGATTACAGGCATGAGCCACTGTGCCCAGCCTGGATTATATTTAGGTGAGACTTTGGACTTAGGCTTGTGAGTTGATGCTATAATGAGTTAATACTCTGGGGGCTATTGGAATAGGATGAATGCATTTTTGCATTTGAGAAGGGAATGAATTTTGAGGGCCAGGAGCAGAATGCTATAGCATGAATATTTATACCTCCACCCCCAAATTTATATTTTGACATTTTAACCCCTAGCATGATGGTATAAGGAAATGGGGACTTTGGGGAGGTGATAGGGTCATGAGGGCAGAGCCTTCATGAATGGGATTAGTGTCATTTTAAAAGAGACTCCAGAGAACTTGTTCACCCCTTCCATTATGTGAAATTACAGTGAGAAAATGGTTATCTATGAATGAGAAAATGAGCTGTCACCAGATGCCAAATCTGTAGACACCTTGATCTTGAACTTTCCAGCCTGTATTTTGTATAGTAGCTAGTTTAAGGTATTTTGTATAGTAGCTTGAAAAGACTAGGACAGGTGTTATACCTATTCTTCAAGAATCTTCAATGTCTAAAGTAAATTTTGTCTCTTCTGTCCAAGAAGTTTTTCTTTCTCGCCCTTAAGATATAATTTCTCATGCCTGGGAACTCTCTAGATGTATTATACAACTCTTGGGGTGATTTAGCTCATATTTCCTCTTATCTTCTGTTCTCCCCTAATACATAGAAAGTTTCCATATGGTAAAGACCATTTCTTATATATGTTTACATGCACTGCATTGTTATTACCTTGAGTAGGTCAGTGGAATGAGTGGGTGAAAGGAAGGATGGATGCATTGATAGATGAATAGCTGGATAATAAATTGATGGATGGGTGGAAAGATGGATGCATGGATGGAGGACAGATGAATAATAGACGAAGAAGTACATGGATGAGTGAGTGGATGTGTGAATAAATGTAATAGCAGTTTAAAAAGTCATTTTTCCGTGATACTTTAGTTCCTTATAGGCATAAATTACCCAAGAGTCGCATTCAATTAATAGTCATTTTACCATTCCATGCCTTATTAGAACTTTAACATCCCTTCTCATCATATCATGAATTAGAACAAAATTTATCTTATTCACCAGTAAGATGTATTTCTCCCAGTCAAATTTATTAATACACATAAACCTCCTTATCAAATAATTTGTTTTGTCTGTCCAAAAAAAGAGTACTGATTATGGCTTTGTATTAGGTCGTTCTTGCATTGCCATAAAGAAATACCCGAGGCTGAGTAATTTATTAAAAAAAGAGGTTTAATTGGCTCATGGTTCTGCAGGATTTACAGGAAGCATGGTGCCAACATCTGCTCAGCTTCTGGGGAGGCTTCAGCAAGCTTACAATCATGGCAGAAGGCAAAGGTGGAGCAGGCACATCACATGGTAAAAGCAGGAGCAAGAAAGAGAGAGAGCGCGAGGTGCTACACTTGTTTTGTTGTTGTTGTTGTTGTTTGTTTTTTTTTTTAGGGGGGACGGAGTTCTGCTCTTGTTTCCCAGGCTGGAGTGCAATGGCGTGATCTCAACTCACTGCAACCTCCGCCTCCCGGGTTCAAGAGATTCTCCTGCCTCAGCCTCCCAAGTAGCAGGGATTACAGATATGTGTCACCACGCCCGGCTAATTTTGTATTTTTAGTAGAGACAGGGTTTCTCCATGTTGGTCAGGCTGGTCTTGAACTCCTGACCTCAGGTGATCCTCCCGCCTCAGCCTCCCAAAGTGCTGGGATTACAGGCATGAGCCACTGCGCCTGGCCTTAGGTACTACACTTTTAAACAGCCAGATCTCATGAGAAGTCACTCACTATCTCAAGGACAGCATGAAGAGAATGATGCTAAACCATTCATGAGAAATCCACCTCCATGATCCAATTACCTCCCATCAGGCCCCACCTCCAATACTGGGAATTAAAATTCAACATGAGATTTGGGCGGGGACACATATGCAAACTATATAAGGCATATAATTTTTATTATATATATTTTATATATTTATATATTTTATATTTATTTATTATTTAGTCACATAAATACAGTGTGCTTATAGAGAAAAAAACAAACTTTCCCATAAAAGATGGGAAAAGCTAATTTTATACAAATGTGGCTCAAAAGACCACAATGGAGTTGGCTGAATATCAAGTGCAAAATTTGACAATGATACTGGGAAAAAGAGCTACTGTTTATTGAATATTTCTACGTGTCATTTAATTTTCACAACTACCTTGTGAGTTAGAGATTATTTCTACTTTATAAATAATAAGATGATATCATTTATAGATAAAGAAATATAAATACATAGAGATTCTGAATCTTGCTGAAAGTCACACATGGGGAAACCAAGATTGACAGTTGCAGTATTGTTGCCAATTCAACATAGTTCAGACTTGTGCTTTTTCCTCCTTTTCTTGGGATGCACACATGGCCACCACCAAGGAGGAAGAACTAGGAAGTAATTACATTGTTCCTATACCAAAGCTTTAAACAGAGAAAAATTGGAGTAAGTGTGTCCCCACTCCCCAGTCCACAGGCCCTAATAACATCAACAGCTTGAAGCTAGAAGTCATAACTATCTCAGTTTTCCACTTTGCAAATCAGGGACTAGAAAGGAGAGGAGACTGAGGAGAGAGGAAAATAAAGGGAATGGAAGAGAAGAGGGCTCTGGGAAATCTCAGGATTAACTTTAACAAAGGCAAAACCAGAGTCTTTCCTTCTTACTCTTTCTCCTGCCGGGCCTATTGACTATTAATCAGATTTAACTGCAAGTCATTCACTTCTTAAGAAGAGGTGTCTAGGAAAAGAAAAGAACATGGCCTGCTGTTTTCAGATACAGCATATTCCATAGCATTGTACTTAAGAGATAGGCTGAGTTTGCATCCCAGCCCTATTCCGTTTTAGATATGTGACTTTTAACCTCTCTGTACCTCTGATGCCTCATCTGTGAAATGGATGCAATTATACTACCTACTTCATTGTGTTGCTGTAAGGATCAAATAAATAATTCACATGTAGCTTTAAGCCAAGACCTGTCATTAATATTCAGTAGATGTCAATAGTGATAATAATGATCATGATGGAAAAAAAAGATCACGATGGTGGTTGTGATGCGATGGGACAATTTTGTCTGAAGAACTCTAGGAAGGCTTTGTAGAAGAGTGACATTTCAGCTTGGCATAAAACAATGAGAAGCTTGCCAGCTGAAGGAGAGAGTGAAGAATATTTAGGGCATTTCAAGCAGCATGTGAGAAAAAATTATAGGGCAGTAAAAGAGCCTACCTAAAAATAACAAGCACTTCTGTGTGGCTGCATTCACTACATTTTTGATTGTCTTAGGAATTTCTTTTCTCTTCTTTCTTTCTTTTCTTTTCTTTTCTTTTTTCTTTTCTTTTTTTTTTTTTTTGAGACAGGTTCTCACTTTGTTGCCCAGGCTGGAGTACAGTAGCACAATCTTGGCTCACTGCAACCTCTGCCTCCTGGGTTCAAGAGATTCTCCTGCCTCAGTCTCCCAAGTAGCTGGGACTACAGGCGTGTGCCACCACACCCGCTAACTTTTGTATTTTTAGTAGAGACAGGGTTTCACCATGTTGGCCAGGCTGGTCTCCAACTCCTGACCTCAAGTGATCCACTCACCTTGGCCTCTCAAAGTGCTGGGATTACAGGTGTGAGCCATCGCGCCTGGATGATTGTCTTAGGAATTTCTTAAAGGGGAATATTAACTTGAGAATCACCTTCATGGAAGAGGCTATTGAAAACACGAATGTTTTACCTTAATAGAGATGCTCTTTAACTTACTATGGGGTTACTTCCTGATAAACCCATCTTAAGTTGAAAATATCATTAAGTGAAAAATACATTAAATACTCCTAGCTTACTGAACATCATAGCTTTAGTCTAGCCTATCTTGAACGTGCTCAGAACACTTTCATTAGCCTATAGCTGGGAAAAATCATCTAACACAAAGCCTATTTTATAACAAAGTGTCGAGTAGCTCATGTAATTTATTGAATATCATGCTGAAAGTTAAAAAGAGAATGGCTGTATAGGTACTGGAGGTGTGGTTTCTACTGAACGCATATTGTTTTTGCAGCATCGTAAAGTAAAAAAGTTGTTAAGTCGAACCATCTTAAGTCAGGGATCATCTGTACTGAGAGACCTCACATACAAGAAAGACAAGGGAGGAGCAAAGACATTGTTCAAATGATTGGCCTTGAAATTTGATTATTTTCCTCCACCTTCAATGTTAGAAGTATCAGCAAAGTAGATTTTATTCCTGTGCCAGGTAGGTCCTCCCTGGAAAGCAGAAACTGAATTAGAATTAGGTAAGAAAGCGGTATGTTGCACAGGTGATAACTGTGAAAGATAAAAGGGTTATGAAGCAGATTTGGCTAGGGAGAGCCTTGGACAACGAAGCAGCTCTGACAAAGTCTCCACCAACCCAATGGGAAGCTCTGTAGCAAAGATTGCCCATTAGAAGAGTCTCCCGTTGGGCAGAAATGACCAGGTTGTAGGTCTTCTGCCATGCTGAGTCTTTGGCTGAGGGCTGCCTTGGAAGAGCATGGCTTCAGCTAGAGAGTTCAGGTGGATTTAAAAGGCACTGACTAGCTGGAGGTTCTTAGCAAACTGTACTCTTTGCTGCTAACAACGTGTTTTTTCTTGATGGGAGATCTGAGTGGTGCATCTTTGTGGATGCCATAGTTCTTCTGATGAAATGTCTCTTTAGAGAGCTTTATGGCCGGCGGGGTGGAAGGAGAGAAATATGTAAACTATCAGGAGACCTGGTTTCCGACCATCACTCAACATTAGTTTACTGTAACAGTCTCTTTCTCTCTTTTTAGTGGCTTGACACAACAATGATTTATTTAGCTTTCAATTCTGTGAGTCAGAAATTTGGGTTGGACTTAGGTGGTGGTTCTCAGTGAGTCTCAGTTGGACCCATTCATGCATCTATAGTTAGTGATTGGGATAGCTGAGGGACGTTTGGTGTTTATAACCTCAGATGTGATCGCTTGCTATTACTTCATGTGGCCTCTCATCCTCCAGCAGGCTAGCCTGTGTTCAACCACAAGGTGGTGGCAAAATTAAGCATGCTAGGATTCTTGAGACCTAGGTTATAGCTGGCACAAGGCTATTTCTAGTGCATTTTTCTGGGGAAAAAATGTCATAAAGGCCAGAATAAATAGAGAGTTAGTCTCTACATTTTAATGGGAAGAGCATCAAGGTCTTATTTCAAGCAAGTGTGGATACAGTGATGCAGAATGTGTGTACATTTTCACAATTTGTCATACTCTATAAGAGAAGTATTAAAATTAGGTTTATGTGAAGATAAATAAGACAAGGTCTTTGCATTCCAGAAGCTCTATAATATGATTAAAAGATATTGCATGTCGTAGAAACTGGGATGACAAAAATGCAATAAGAATGTAGATAAAAATAAATATTGTACTGTGACAGTCTCTTAACCTCTGTGCATCTCAGTTTTCTCAGCTATGAAGGGGTGGGGGAATCTATTTGAAATTTTAAAAATATCTGATTTCAGATAGCAAAAATTCTTATTCAGAAATTGCATGGAACTAGAATGGTATTAAGAGCATGAAATCTGTGCCAGATTGCCTGAGTTTGAAACCAGGCTTTAGCATTGACTAATTGTGTCATCTTGGGTGAATTATAAAACCTCGCTGGAGCTTGGTTTCCTCATTCTTAAAATGGGATTAATAATAGTACCTTCCTAATAGGGTTCAAAATCTAAAGAGCTATAAAGCATTTAGAATAGTGCCTGGCACATAGTGAATACTCAGCAAATGCTAATTCTAACTCCTACCCTTCTACAAATACATGTTCTCACATACAAACACTCTTGAATAAACCTGGATTTTGGAGTGAGAATTTAAGGGGTGAATGTGCCCATGTTAGGTTTGGCAGTAGCTATATCTAAGGAAAAACTTTGGTACTACTTTTCGTGTGTCCTAGTTTCTGAGAAAGGGTAAAAAGCATTTTTCTTCCAGAGTACAGTTTATGTTGCTTCTGGATTGCCTAGTAACAAAAGCCTCTCCTCATTCTTTTTCTGCTCTGATTGTTTTTACCTCAACAATTTAATTGAAAGTTAAAAAAAATTATTGAGTTCTGCCTCCCCGACCAGTTGAAGTCACTGAATCTCAATCAAAATGCTTCAGAAACCTATAAACATCATAGCCTGTTGTAACCTACTCAGAGTTATTAACTTTCTATTTTTTAAAAAATTTTTGTATGCTTGGCAACCAGGCTTTCTTTGCTATGGACATAATGAGGCTTCACCCTTAAGTCAGCCTTATAGCCTGGGGGGTCTGGTCAATCTCTTTTCAAAGGCAGTATTTCCACACTTTTAGGCCTTTGATTAAGGAAATCAAATGTGTGTTGGTAAGTTCTTCTCATGGTACAAAACCCAAAGAGGAAGACTATTATTAATCATAATCATCAGAAGGAGAGTTTACAAGTGAAGGAAGAGGAATGAACACTTTTGGATGACTAGAGTGAAGTCTCTAATTCCAACATAGCAAATTAGCTCTTCATTTTGAAAGGTGGCACTTCACTGCTGGTGAAGGGATATAGAAGTGGGGTTAGGACAGGGAGTGGGGTGCACTAGAAGGAGATGAAATACAACTTAGCAAGCCTTGCTCTAATCCTGTGAGAAGCCTCTTTGCCATGGGATCAGAAATGGGGGCATTTTCATTATTGCTAAGAGTCACCCTGAAGCCTAGCAGTGTTTTCAGTAAAACATTGCATAATTTGCTTCATGTTTCCATGAGGATGTTTTATCTTGTTTATTGAAAGAGGAAGTACAGTTGAGGACCTGTCATCATTAGGAACTAGTGAGTTTCTGCTTTTCTCTATTCCACATCTTAAATTATTTTGATATTAAAGAAATGTGACTATAGACATGAGACAGGAACTGAGCATCCTGTTTATTTCTCTAGAGGCGAAAAAAAAAAAAAAACCCAAAAACAAAAAACACAAGATACCGTTGCCGAGAAAGAAATAGAAACCACAGCTGCTGGATTCTCCTTATTGGTTTTTTTCCACCAGTCTTTCAGCTCCCTAATTCTTTATCCCTAGTTTCTACTTGTTTCAGTGCACTTTTTTCTTCATTTTCCTATTTGTCCATTTCACCTCCCAGGAGAACTCTGAGTCATAACTATCCCTCTAGTTCTCTCCCTTGTCCCCTGAGAGATGATGTGGTCTAGTGGTTACGCACCCAATTACAGAAACACGCTTCTTAACCATGTAACTGCAGGCGAGGTGCTTGCCCTTTCTATGCCTCATTTTCTCATCTGTAAAAGGAATGTAAATAGTCCTATATCATAGGGTGGTTGTAAGGATTCCATGAGAGAACACACGTAAAGCATCTGGAATCAATATTGGCTCTATTATTATATCCTCTGTCCTCACCCCTTTCCACAGATCCTGTAATACTCATTATCTATCTGGATATATATTTGGTTGCTGTGGGACACTAGCAGAATTTAAAATACACTAATATGCCCACGGGGAGGAATGAGGAAAGATTGGGGTGGTCAGTAAAAACAGCAAATCAGTCTACTTCCCTACTGCGTCGAAGAGTCATTTTCCTGCACTGACAATCCACTAGCTACTCTGAAACAAATTCCATTCTAAGTCATGTGCATTTCATGGCACTTCAATCTTGGACCTCCAGGTTGATTGATGTGGAGGAGAGGAAATGCATATCTGAATGGCTGGAATGATACTACCACCCTTTCAGGGAAGAGTTTCACTTTGCACCACCCAGCCAAGACCTCAAAGATATGTGAATAGTTACTTTGTTGGCATTATTAACCATGTTAATAATTAATTACATTTATTAGACGTTGTAAAAACTTTTTATAGTGCAGAATTTAAAATATATACAAAAATAGACAGATGCATAACATGGGCACCCACATACTTTTCACCTGTCTTCAGCAAGTATCAACTCAGGGCCAATCCTGTTTCATTTTTGTCCCTACCCACTTCTCTACTTTCCATATGATTTTGAAGCAAATCCTGGCTATCATGTCATTTTATCCATAAATATTTCAGCAAGTTTTCCTGAAACAGAATCAGCAAACTCTGGCCTGTGGGCTAACCTCCTATTTTGCAAATAAAGTTTATTAGAACAAAGTCACACCCATTCATTTACCTACTGTCTATTGGCTGCTTTCCCAGCAGGGACAGGCACACTGTGGTCCACAAAGCCTAAAATATTTACTATTTGGCCCCTTAAGAAAAAGCATGCTCACCCGTGCTTTAAAAGATAAGGACTTTTAAAAACACAACTACAATATGGTTATCACACCTAAAAAATGTGATAATTTACTACAAAGTCACTTAAAATTGTTTAGGACCTTACATCTTTTTAAATGCCTTCGTATGTGTTATCTCATTTGAATCTTGCAACAATCTCTGTGAGCTAAGAAGGAGAACCCTAGTGTCATTTAAATCCCTTTTATATATATGAAAAAATGGAAGAGTAGAGTTTAAAAGTAACTTCATCAAAGGCAGGCAGCTAATAAGCAATTTGAATAGAATTCAGCCTCGGATACCTTGTTGTGGGGCAATCAGATGCTTAAATTCTGCAGTTTGTGAATGATAAATTCCCTGTGTATTTCTCAGCTGTTCCATTTCAAGAGTATTTGACTTGAAGAACTTGGTATGGGATATATATTTCAGACATGACTTGGAGTTAATTTAAGGTGAGCCTCCTTCAAGCAGTAAAAATAACAGGGTTTTTATATTGAGTGAGAGTTCCCATGGAACCACTCTGAGTTTGAAGTGCCATAGTGGCGCTTGGAGAAAAATCTACGGATAAGCCTGTTTTCTAGCATCTTCCTTAGAGAAGAACATGGTGTGTTATTTTACGACCAAAGACAAAAGGTGAAATGTGAGGTTTGGATTCATTTTAGTTGCATGAGCACCCATAGTCTGGGGGTGCATCCCGGCCATTTTGTCCCATAAAGCTGGCTGGAAACAAAAATAAAAGCCAGACTGCTCATGAGAAACCTGATGGCATTTTTATTGGTTTGCCCATGAGATGATAACACCTTTGAGAAGAGAATCCAAGAGAGCATATAAAAGTGGAAAATAGTCACAGAAAGTCCAATCATACTTTGGAAACTCTAAGAACATTAGTTTCCATTTTTATATGACCAGAAACCTACTGTACAATCAAAGGTCCTTGCTGAAGCAGGTTCCAGATTTTATATATGAAAAAAATGGAAGCATAGAGTTTAAAAGTAACTTCATCAAAGGCAGGCAGCTAATAAGCAGTTTGAATAGAATTCAGCCTCTGATATCTTGTGGTGGGGAATCAGAAGCTTAAATTCTGCAGTATGTGAAATTCTGCTGGAGCAGGTTCCATTGTTTAAAAACAATGCTGGTTTCTGTTACAAAATAGCTTTCTTTCAATACATTGAAAACATTCTTCCTAGTTAGGCAATTAGCTACTTGAGGGCAGGAACCATTGTTTGCTAATTTTTGTATTTCTGGGACCTAGAGCTTGGGCTGGCTGGGAAAGGAACTTAATATAAATGGCTGGGCGTGGTGGCTCACGCCTGTAATCCCTGCACTTTGGGAGGCCGAGGCAGATGGCTCACGAAGTCAGGAGATCGAGACCATCCTGGCCAACATGGTGAAACTCCATCTCTACTAAAATGCAAAAAAAAAAAAAAAAAAAAAAAAAAATTAGCTGGGCCTGTTGGCACACACCTGTAGTACCAGCTACTCGGGAGGCTGAGGCAGAGGAATCGCTTGGGTTGCAGTGAGCCGAGATCGTGCCACTGCACTCCAGCCTGGCAACAGAGTGAGACTTTGTCTCAAAAAAAAAAAAAAAAAAAAAAAAAAAAAGAATGGTGTCAAATGGCTACAAAATGTCAACATTATTACTTATTTAGCTGTGAGTAAAATCATACTTTTAGCAATGAAAAAAAATCTATCACCCCAAATACAACTTTACAGTGGAGAAATCCTAGCAGATACCACCTTAATCAACCTCACCACTGATAACCTCAGGTTAACCTCACCACCGATAAATCATATGGATAATCGTGTACCCTGTAGTATGCTAAATAATGGCTCCCAAAGATATCCACCCCCTAATCCCCAGAACCTGTGAATATGTTCCCTTATATGGCAAAAGGGACATTGCAGACAAAATTAAATTAAGGATCTAGAGATGGGAAGATTGTCCTGATTATCCAGATGGGCCCATTATACCACAAGGGCTCTTATAAGTGGGAGGCAGTGGGAGATTTGACTGCAGAAGAAAAGGCAATTTGACAACAGAAGCAGAGATTGGAGTGATGTGGCCACAAGCCAAAGAATACTGGGAACCACCAGCAGCTGGAAGAAGCAAGGAACAATTCTCCATAGGACCTCCAGAAGGAGCCTGCCCTGCCAACACTCTGAATTTAGCCCTGTAAGGCTCATTTCTGACTTCTGGTCTCCAGAGTTGTAAGAGAATACATTTTTCTTGTTTTAAGCCACTAAGCTTGGGGTAATTTGTTACAGTAGCAACTAATACATACTCCCTGATAGGAAGTGATGAGAAGGGTGCCTTACCTCTTATGGTTTTTCTCCCCCAAATTTATATCCCTAGTCAAGTCATGAAAATATACCAGGCAAACCCCAATGAAGGGACATTCTACAAAATACCTGACCAATATTCTTCAAAAATATCAAGGTCAGGAAAAACAGGAAAGTCTGAGAAACTGTCGCAGCTAGGAGGAGCTAAGGAATCATGTTGATTACATGCAATATAGTATCTTGGATTGGACCCTGGAACAGAAAATGACAGTAATGGAAAGACTGGTGAAGTTTGAATAAAATATGTAGTTTAGATAATAGTGTTATATCAATGCTAATTTCTTCATTTTGTAACATTTTAATAATAGAGGAAGCTACGTGAGGGGCATACAGGAACTCTTTGTACCGTCTTTGTGACTTTTCCATAAACTGAAAGACATTTCAAAATCTAACATTTAAAGAGGAATCCATGCCAGCAACATGTTTTCTTTTCAGACATCTGTTATTAGAGATGGAAATAATATAGGAATGTATTTCAGGGAGTCTAGGACTGTGCTGATCGAACCCTCTCAGGGGAGAGGAAGAAAAGGCTAGAAACAGATGGCTGAGGGTAGAGAAACAGTACCACTCTCATTTGCCTTCCATGCTCCTGGTGGTGCTAATGCATCAAGTTGTCCTGGGGCATAGGCAAGGGGAAAATGTTCCTGTACTTTATGAATGGAGAATCCATAGCACAGAACAGTTCAGTAACAAATAATGTTCATTGAATTTATTTTACTTGTCCAAGTTCACTGAGCAGATGCAGAAATGAAATATAAACGGTCTAATTTCCAGGTATATGGTGGCTGAGCAAGAAAGTTCAGTTCATTTACAATATTTTAAAAATACATATTTTGATCCAGATAAGAAACTTTGGTGTTGCAGAATGACAAATGAATTTCAGTGTGCACAACCTTTCTAGATTTGACCATACTTTCCTTCCCTCACACCCTGTATGACCACTCCAGGTTTAACTCAGGTTTATAGCACTTGCCTTTTCTGGTCTTCCTCTTCTGTTTTCTTTTGTCTTTGGGGTGGTTTTCTTTTCTTCCTCTTCTCCATCCATTCTACTTACCAGGTGTTACCTGTGGGTGCATAACAAATTACCATAAAACAATGGGTTAAAACAACAAACATTTATTAACTCATGGTCTCTGTGGATCAGGAATTTAACAGTGGCTTGGCTGGGTGATTCTGGCTCAGGGTCTTTCATGAAGCTGCAGTCAGAGAGTCAGCTGGGGCTGCAGTTATGTGAAGGCTTGACTGGGGATGGATGATCCATTTCCAAAATGACTGACTCACATAGCTCTGGACAGGAGGTTTCAGTTCCTCCCCATGTGGATCTGTCCATAAGGTCACTTGAGTATCCTCATGACATGGCTGCTGATTTCCTTCAGAGCAAGTGATCCAAGGAGAGAGTGCAAAGAGGAAGCTGCAATGTCCCTTATCATCTAGTCTTGGAAGTTACACACTATTCCTGCTGTGTCATTCTATTTGTTAGAAGCAAGTCACTAAGTAAAGCTCACACTTAAGGGGTGGAGGTGGGGGTTAAATTAATCTACATCTCTTGAAGCAAAGAGTACTGAGAACTGGCGAATATATTTTAACCACCACACCAGGTGTTCTCCTAGCCTCAGATGTGTCTGAGAATTTCGTCTTCCTCTTTAGGCTTTCTCTTGGCATCTACATTTACTTCTGCAGTTTCATGTGACTCAAAATGAAACCCAATTCATTTTTTCCTTCCAGAAGACTCCTCTCATCTTTCTTCTAAGTTTTTAAGCCCCATAAAAAGTCACAGAATGTTGAGAAAAGAAAAGGGAACTTGAAACGATCCCAGCATTACAGGATCTGGATAGAGTCATCTGCCTCTTTTGTTCCTGCTGCAGTACTAAAATTTGACATCTCTGATTCTTCTCAAGCAAGAGTTGCTGCAGTCTTTTGAGCAGCTTCTCCGTGGTGCTGTCACAAATCTAATATTGAAATCACGCTTAGTCTTCACTGACTTTTACCACATAATCTTCTTCTCAAAGCCTAACTTCACTTGATTCTCTGTGATTCTTTTACTGTACATTTAAACTATTTGGCATTCAGGGTTCTAGTTCTCAACCAGTCCTCTTAATTATTTACTTCTATGCTTTCAGACTTCACCTCTCATTTTCCATTGGCTTTCTTACATTCCCTTGTTCATCTAGCAAACTCAATATGCCTGAAGCCAAATTCAGCCTTTCCCTCCAGAAGCTTCCCTTTTGACCTTGCTCATAGCCAGTGGGAAGAGGCTTTGTCTCCACACTCTGTGGTCCCATTGAATCTACCTGTTCTCCTAAATTCTATCAAGTCACTGTTGCCCACCTCATGTTAGAGCCCCACAGAAAATCCAGTCTTTTGGAAAGATGAAAAAGGTGACTCTATTGACTGAAATAGAAACAGAAGTGACAACCCTGTCCCAACACATAAGAAAAGATGCTGAGTCATACTCCAATTCTATTCAGAAATTGGACTCCCTGGGGACAGAGATTTTATATTACATTTGTTCCATGTCATGTTCACATGTCAGAGGCATCTCATGTTCACCAGTAAATAAAAAGCTAAGCAAATGTCTGAATACGTTTGGTGTTTGGTGTTCCGGCTCTGCCGGAAGGTGACACATAATGGTAGGGATGGAAAGAGTCATTATAGTTAATTAGTTGAAATGACATAGAAATTATGGAATTAGCTTTTTTTTTTTTTTTTTTTTTTTTGAGAGGGAGTCTTGCTCTGTCGCACAGGCTGGAGTGCAGTGGCACGATCTCGGCTCACTGCAAGCTCTGCCTCCTGGGTTCACGCCATTCTCCTGCCTCAGCCTCCCAAGTAGCTGGGACTACAGGTGCCCATCACCACGCTTGGTTAATTTTTTGTATTTTTAGTACAGACGGGGTTTCACTGTGTTAGCCAGGATGGTCTCGATCTCCTGACCTCATGATCCACCCGCCTCGGCCTCCCAAAGTGCTGGGATTACATGCGTGAGCCACCGCACCTGGCCCGAATTAGCTTTTTAAAGCATCCTTGATCCCCGAAAATATTAGATGTCAAACCTCAACGCACCTTTACTCCTAAAATACCATTAGAAGAATCTATAGTGCTGTGGAACACATAATGCTAACACCAGCTATGAGAAATCAATATCTATCAGCATCCCCTTAACTTACATTGGAAGAAACACTAACCACCCAATTAGATTTAAGTAGTGAGGCTGACTCAGCACACAGGGGTGTCTAAAGAAATAAAGGGAAACAACATCCAGAAGTTCTCTTTGTGAACCAAAAATATGCCTTTTAGACCAAACTTCTTAGCAAGAATACAAGATCCATCACAATCTCACCCAAACCTGCTTCTAGCTGCATTTCACGCTGTTCTTTTTCCACCCCTGTCTTCCAATCTGGGTGACCCTCTGGATTTATAGATGTCCCTCTGCTCAATGTCATGCTCTTTCCTTTATGCCTTGATCCTAGGCACATATGATTTTCTTCATTCAAAAGACCTTGTCAACACTTAACCTTTAAAGATATCGTCTTTTCTGGAGAAAAGGTAGTTGCTTCACTCCAGAGAGGGGTTGGGGTCTAAAGAGCTGTGAGAGTACACATCTTCATGCTATTTTTCTCAGCCTCTTGCTCAGTGCCTGGCAACTGGTAGATGTTTGATAAATTTTTTTCAAGTAAATAAAGGAGTTGCTAATTCACTCGTATGAGTGCTTGCCTATTGATCTGAGGTCAATCACTCTTCTGAACTCATTGGGCTTTTCCAAAGTAAGCCTTTCCCCCTCAATCTAATAATGATAATAATAATAAGTGCTAATATTAATTGAGCACTTACTATGTGCCAAATACTATGCAATCTTAACATGAATCATTTCATCTAACTTCATAAGTTCTCCTCACCCTGCAGATGAGGAACCTGAAGCTTAAGACACTAAGTAACTTGCCATAATTATAAATGAGGGAGCCAGGATTGAAGCAGAGCCTGTGTACTGTATCATTAAGCTATATTGCTGGCAACTAATCAACACCACTGGGCTCATGGCTATTGGCTGGTTACTGGTGCTACTGATCTCTGCCGAGAAGCTCTTCCACCTCTAGCCATGCAGCATCAGTCTCCCTCCTGCTGGCAGAGAGGGGCGCTGAGCCTTTCATATTTACATAGAAAGCATGGCAGCAGCCTCAGTGTTGGAACCTGCCACTGGAAATGTCCATAACAACACAGTTGGGGGCTTTCTTTGTGGGCCCTGGCATGGTAAGTGCAAGTTTTGTTATTCCTTATGGGTTCTGAAAAATGAGACTTCACCTGTTAGTGACTGGCTTCACGTCATGTACCTGGAGGAGCTGGCTTCACATACGTCATAAAGATGCACTCTAATAATGTATTTAGAAGTTGTTGGCTAAAGGTCTAAGCCTGATTCTAATAGCACTTCCTCAATTAAGCTTTTTCTAGCACTCCTTCAACGATAACTTACTTCTTTTACCACCCACTCAATTCCTCAGTATTGTATCTATCACGCTTTTATAGTTCTTTATTTTCCACACAGGGCTATAAAGAGGATATTTGCTATAAAACATGGCAAACATTCAATTAAAAATGCAAATAGCTGCATCAAAATGCCGATTCATAAAATTTTTAGATCAGATGAGAAAAGACCCATTTTTCTGGAAAAGACTATTGATCATTGAGAGTTAAGAATACAGCTGGTTCCCAATTTAATTTCTCCCTGGTAAACAGAATAGGAATGGCTTGGCAAATCTACAGGAAAGAACATGTGTGCATTGTGCTTCTGGCTTTTCCAGATGTCAGTTGCTGAAGGTTTAAGGTGTGAGTCTGTGCATGTGTTTCTGAGGATCAGTCCCTGTTCAAAGAGGCAGTGGGAAGACTGAGTGGGATAACTCACACATGGACACCCTGTGCATCAGTGTGCGTTTAATTCAAAGACAGACCTCATTTGATAGCAATATTGACATGTCATTCTAATGAATTAGAAAAAATGAGAAAATGGGATGTAAATCCCCATCTGGATTCATGGGGATAGTATCAGAAAGATTTTCAGTGCCTTTGCAGAATGCTAGCAACATTTATTAAATACCTACCCTAGGTGCTATGTGCTTACATGAGAAGCCAAAGGTATCTGTTAAGCTAGGTAGGAACTGCAGTCGGCTGGTTGCTTCTCATCTGGAGAAAGCAGGCAACTGGGCAGTGATTGAAGTGTCCAGCAGGGGGCTGGCATTCTCTGTCTATAAGTAACACTGGTTCCTCTTCAGAGCCTCAGCTCAGCGGAGCTGCCGTTTGCTGGTGAAGCCCGTGACGTGCAAAGCATCCTGCCTATAGGATTTGAGGATTTCTCAGTGCAGTTTTTTTCTACCCACTTTAAACCTCCAGATTCTAAATATCAGGAAAGACGCTGTGGGAAAATAGCAGGCCAAAAGTTCTTAGTAAACTGCAGCCAGGGAGACTCAGACTAGAATGGAGGTAGAAAGAACTGATGCAGAGTGGGTTTAATTCTAAGCCTTTTTGTGGCTAAGTTTTGTTGTTGTTAACTTATTGAATTTAGAGTTGTATTGCACTGGTCATGTGAAAGCCAGAGCAGCACCAGTGTCAAAATAGTGACAGAGAGTTTTGAATACCATAGTTAGTATATATGTACTCAGAGTATTTTTATTAAAGAAGGCAAAGAGCCCGGCATAGATCTTATCTTCATCTTCACTCGGTTGCAAAATCAATAGTTAAGAAATAGCATCTAAGGGAACTTTTAGGTGGGAAAAAAAATCTAGAGATGGCTCTAAATGACTGTTTCCTTCTGAACTTGGAGGTGGACCATTTCATGCACTGCAACATCTCCAGTCACAGTGCGGATCTCCCCGTGAACGATGACTGGTCCCACCCGGGGATCCTCTATGTCATCCCTGCAGTTTATGGGGTTATCATTCTGATAGGCCTCATTGGCAACATCACTTTGATCAAGATCTTCTGTACAGTCAAGTCCATGCGAAACGTTCCAAACCTGTTCATTTCCAGTCTGGCTTTGGGAGACCTGCTCCTCCTAATAACGTGTGCTCCAGTGGATGCCAGCAGGTACCTGGCTGACAGATGGCTATTTGGCAGGATTGGCTGCAAACTGATCCCCTTTATACAGCTTACCTCTGTTGGGGTGTCTGTCTTCACACTCACGGCGCTCTCGGCAGACAGGTAAGTACAGGCTGAAAGTTACATGCTCTCCAAGGGTGATAGACGCCTGGGTAAATGAACTACCATGTCGGGACAGGGAGCTGATTGCACAAGGGAAGTTTTACTCAAACACGGATTCCCTTCCAGGCAGGTTTTTATTCTGGGTATGACTTCTTGAGTGTAACATATTGGTTTAAGAAAGAAAAGTGAATGATGGGGACAGAAGGAGACAGATGAGAAAAAAAAAATCTCTAAGCAGAAAACTGAGGTGCCTTTTTCTGGAGACATATCTATTTAGCATTGCCTTTTCCTAACTTCTCCCTCCTTGCAAAATTAATTGACCAGTGAGAAAGACAATCACACCCAATAGAGTTTAAACCTCAGGCAAATGTTTTTTAGGAGCAATTGAAACCCCTCAGAGAACAGGAAAGTTCCACTGGATTTCTTCAAAACGTTCTTTCAGAAATAACCAAGAGGAGAAAATAAGCCTCATTTCTCTGAAATTCATTTTCCTCAGACAGTTTAACTTTTCTCACAGCTGATTTTGAATTTGACTCTCTGTGATAGAACAATTGTATGCCGGTTTTCCTAAGTCTCTCTTAAATGAAATCAAACATTATTTGAGTTTTTAAAATTTTCTGGAGAAAGCTCTATTCAAGGTTGATTTCTAATTTTAATATCTTTATTGACAATACTTCATATACCATGCTTTTGGGGCTTATTGTGGGGAGGAAGAGGGAGTTCACTACAGTTTTTTATTCTGGGAAATATACATATTTGCAAACTGCATTTCTTGTGTGAGCACATTGCATAAAAGTTTACGTTTATTCAGTCTTAAAACTATATATTCATTCTTTGAACATTTATCAAGTGTCTAGCATGTAAGAAACACTTACCTGAATTAGCAAGTCAAGAAATAGCTGCAGGTTGTTCACATAAATTACTGAACATACTTTATGTACTTCTGTGTTCTGGAAATTGGACATAGTAATGAATAGACTTTCAGACACAGCATAGACCATATGGTCAAACCCAGAAAAACTGCTGCAATGAACCTAGACTATAAATTTTTCACTTATAATCAACTGTATGTTATGTGTTAAAGATACAGAAGGATTTGAGAGTGTTCTGGAAAAGACATAGATGCTGCTCTTGAAAGTTTATACTCCGAAGAAAATGTCCCACATTTTAATACATGTGGTGCTGGATTCTCATTTTGTAGAGGAACAAACAGTCCTCAGGTGATCTGGCTTTGTTGAGTAATGGACAAATAAAGATAGTGTTATCAGTATTTATAGACATGTGTTTATGCTTAGCTACCTGAAGCACACTGCCCAGCACACGACATTTTCAAAGTCTGAAAAGTAATAGCACAGAAGTAAGGTTTGCACATTGTACCGACTGGACAGAGTTTCTCCATTCCCTCCATTCCCCTTCGGCTTGCACATCCTCCCCTGCACATCTGCCCACAGATACCAATGACCACAGACAGTTTCATGTATTGATTCAGGGCTGGCAAACTCTGGAGCTGGCAGAAGGGCTGTGGCTTGTTACCAATGGCCGAGGGCTCTTCAGGATGAGGGTAATTTTCTTAATGGGAAGGAGAGATTTTGGTTTCCGGGTTGGTGAGTGCAGTGGTACAGATGGTGTTTACTCTCTTCTTAGGGAGAAAAACAGAAAGGAAAGTGAGGGCATGAACTGTAAAGATGCAGCTGCAGGGAACTCTTCTCTGGAGTTTCAAAGCAGACCAAGTTCACCATCAACAGAAAGGGAAAGCTCTTTCAAAAGCCAGGTTGCACTCCTTCGCGGCTCCAGTGTGTTCCCAGTAAGTTTATAGTTACTGCCTGTCCTTGCCAAGTTCAGAAATTACTAGAAGCTCCCATATAGCTAACTTTTTGTGTTTTGCTAAGTCTTTAAAAAGCTGATGGATCACCTGAATCACAGGTAGTGCATCTAACCAATTCCAATAGAAAGAATAGGTATTGAGCTAAATGATTAAGACTGTACTTTTTTTCTATTCATCTCATTTTTGAAAACAATGGGATTCTTCTATCTTATATCTCTGAGGTTGGCAGGGCAAATATATATTCTATATTATTTTTTCTTCTCAACAAGGTGTAATCCATATACACAGTAAACTGAACAAGTAACAGCTCAATATATTTTTACATATGTCTATAGAACTGCATAACCAGATGGAGATATAGAACAGTTCCAGCATCCCCCAGAGTTTCTCTTATGCCCTTTCCTAGTTAATACCCCCATACAGAGGCAATCACTATTCTGATTCCAATCACCATAGGTTATTTTTGCCAGTTCTTTAATCTCATATAAATGGAATCATATAGCAAGTACTCCTTTGTATCTATCTTCTTATGCTTATCATTATCTCTGTGATATTCACCTGTATTAATACGTGTAACAGTGTGGTTTGTTCTTTTTAATTGTGTGTGGTGTTCCATTGTATGAATACACTTTGGTTTATTTATTCCTTCTAATACCGATGGACACTGGGTTGTTTTTAGTTTGGGGATGATGATAACCTGCTCTGGACATTCTTATTCATGTCTTTGGGGAAACATAAGTGTTTATTTTTCTTGGATATATGTCTGCGAGTGAAATTGCTGGGTTATAGGGGCCTATATTTACTAAATATTGTCAGTTTTCAAGGTGGTAGTCTGTATTAGGTAGATTGGTGAAAAAGTGAATGAACTAGAAGACCCTCCAAACCAGATGATCACCAGAGTCACAGGGGAGCTTTAAAAACATACAGATTCCTAGGCCCTGTCCTAAATCTACTGAATTCAGGGTTCTGAGGCATGAGTGGGGCACATAGTGATAACCATCCATCCCTGCCCCCTATACATTGCCCAGCATTGCCAGTCCTCATTCCAGCTTCCCTTCTGCAGTTCCCCCCTTCACCGGGTGAATTCGAGTCTTTGTCAATATGAAAAGAATATCAAGTTTCTAGAAAAGTTTACACTGGCATCACCGGGTAAAAGGGAGACTTCAAGGCAGTCCCAGAAACCAGAATTCTGGGGATTTGCACAGCTGAGCAGTTGTAGGTTTGCATTCAACCACCTTCAATATTGATCCCCATCCTCCCTCTCCTCCCATGCTTTCTGTCCTTACACACACACTGATATCCTCATACACAGTGGTTGCACTGATGTGTTCCTGGCTCTGTTTCCTGGCTTATGCTGTGTCCCACCCGCTCTCCAGAATGCTTTCTCCTTTCCTAAATACAGACTGTATTCCTCATCCCATGTGGCATTTGGGCTTGGAATGGGTATCAACAAACCTGCATTTTAGACATTTTCCTGCCATTACTACCCGTATGAGAAAGTGGGACTAAGTCACTTAACTCTCTGACCTTAGTTTAATCATCTATAAAATGATGGAGTCGAGCTAGGCAATGTCTATGGTCCCTTCAAGTTCTAAAATCTTGTGATTGTTTTTTCTATCTTCTTGTCTATCATTCAGAATCTGATTCAAATCTCCTCCTTAAAGCCCTAAGTTGAGCCATTCTAGCTCAAATTTCCTGACCCTCTTGAAATATCAGACTTATTATCTGAGACATGAATTATCTTGTGACACCTTTTATATTGCTGTTTGGAAGTGTTTTGTTTGTCTGTTTATTTTAGCCTCTCATATATTCATTGCTTTACATTTTTTAGGTAGATTATTAAGAATGTTGAAGGCAGAGATTTTCAATATATTCTTAAATCTTCCATAGTGCCCCTCAAGTTTTCTTGTGCCAAATGGGTGATCAATAAATATTGACTAATTAAAATTACGTTTAGTTAATGCATACAATTTTCCTCATTCTTATTCTTCATTCTATTTTGAGGATTAATCTGAAAGCATACTCTTAAAAATAATGTATTGGCCGGGCGCAGTGGCTCGCGCCTGTAATCCCAGCACTTTGGGTGGCCAAGGTGGGTGGATCACTTGAGGTCAGGAGTTTGAGACCAGCCTGGACAACATGGTGAAACCTCGTCTCTACTAAAAATACAAAAATTAGCCGGGTGTGGTGGCAGGAGCCTGTCATCCCAGTTACTTGGGAGGCTGAGGCAGGAGAATTGCTTGAACCCAGGAGGCGGAGGTTGCAGTGAGCCGACATTGTGCCACTGTACTCCAGCCTGAATGACAGAGCAAGACTCCATCCCAAAATAATAATAATAATAATAATAACAATAACGTATCACATAGTCACCTGCTCATCTGTTCTCTATTAAGCTCTCATTATCTGGGTAAATGAAAGAAAAACTATTTTTTGTGGGTCAGTAAGTAGATTCAGGGGATAAATAGATGGGTGGATGGATGGATAGATGGCTGGCTAGCTGATTGGGTGGGTTACATGTATGAGTGGACAGATGGATGGATAGATGGCTGGCTGGCTGATTGGGTGGGTTACATGTATGAGTGGACAGATGGGTGGATAGATGGATGAATGGTTGGATAGATGGAGATATTTTTTACATACTGGTCCTTCCTATTAGATGTCCACCTTTGTGCTAGGTGCCTCATTATTATGTAAATGAAATTTGAGACCTGAATTGGACCCTCAACAGAAAAAGGGTGAGCGTGGTTTGTGTTTTCTTTTCCAGTAAGTGTAAGGTTTAAAGCTGAATTTAATGTTGACAATATATGTAATGCCCAAGTTATATCAAGCCTGCTTCAGTGCCATTATTCAGTGTTATTTTTACTAGAATGGGGCTGGCAGAATGGATTCTAAGGACAGATGGATATGGCGGTTCCACTGTAACATGATTCTTCTTTGATTCTATGGAAAGACTGGTTATAAGTTTCTTTGTTATTTGGAATGTGGAAAGAAACAGGAAGGTGTTATATTTCTGCAAACTTCTTGAAGTACAGATTCTTTGAATTTTCTGCAAGGAATGTATGTGATAACATGGTTTGTAGCTTTCCCGACATCTAGAGTTGTATGGTCTAACTTGGTAGCCACTAACCACATGTGGCTATTTAAATTTGCATTTAATTTAAATGAAATGGAAAATTTCATTTCCTCATCACACCAGCCACACATCAAGTGCTCAGTAGCCACATGTGGCTAGTGGCTACTCTATTGGGCAGTGGAGACAGAGAACACTTCAGTCATTGCAGAGGGCTCTATTGGACAGTTTAGAAAAGAGTTTGCTATATGCTTTGGGGTCCAAATTTCTTCCCCAGGATACACGTTTGCTCCTCTCTCTCACAGAGGGTATCAGGAATTCCTCAGATAGGCAAATATCAAATGCCTCCCAGCTGCACAGGCTCTTTCTGTCTGTGAAATATCTTCTGTTGGAAGACACACACAAGTGAAGAGGGAAGAAATGAAGCAGCCCCATATCATCTGTAGTCACAGGCTTGGGGAATTTAGGCATCCCATTGATGAGGTTTTGAGGCTTTCCAAAGACATGAGGGGTCAGCTTTCCAGGTCTCCACTGTGAACTTGTGTCTGATCCTTTCATTCTTTCTTGTAGGTCCTCTTCCAGCTGCCAGTCTCTCTTTTATATCCCCCTGTCCCAAGACTTGCCAGAACAAACACTGCTCTAGCCAAACTCTTCTCACTGCCTCCCACATGTGCCACCAGACTTCTCCCCCTCTAACTTCATTTCCCCTTCTCTGATGGCTGGGCCCTATTCTTTCCATCTACCCAAATCCTATCAATCCTTCAAGGGATAGTTCAAGTCCTTTCTCTTCTATGAAGCATTCCCTGATCTTTGGCTTTCATTGATTTTTTTTCCCTTCCTAAGATGTTTCTGCCTGTATTGTTCATTAAATGCCAAATCTATCCTGTACTACTAGGTCTTTGTTAGAGATGTGTTTTATACTTCCTTAATCGTATGGGGTGGTTCATAGGGATCTGTGTCTTCTACAGTAGCCAGGCCCACTCTGCATTCAGTAAGAGTACAATAACTACACCTTGGTTGATGTTTGAGCAGTGACAAAAGGATAAAGTCCAGCAGCTAGAAGTAAAAGTCATCTTGAAGTTCACACCCTTGTTTGACACAGAGACCAAAAGAGGTGATGGGATTTAACTTTGTCACAACAAATTCAGAATGGACTCAGATTAGAAAGAACCCTTTCATCCTCATTCCAAGTCTTAATTCCTTCAGGGGAACTGGAAACTTTTCTTCAGAAGCCATCAAACACAGAGTCTGATTCCATTTCCCTTTTCTGGACAGTGGGAGCTACTGATGCCAAAACTACCCTTCTGAAGGAAAATACCCTGAGTGACTCCAGGGTAATCCCCTTCTAATGGGGTCACCCCAGTAATTCCAAAGGCTCCTTTACCATTCTGGAGGCCCAGCTTCATTGATTGCAAGGAGATTGGCCCCTTTCTCACAAGAGAAGACTTACTTAATATCATTCCTTGTAAAGCATCCTTCTAGAAATGCTTTACAAGAAAGTCCCTCTGCTGGAACCAGTTTACATAAGCTGCCAGTTCATAACTTCTGTATAGTTTGATTTTTCTGAAACACATGCTGCCCCTCTCTGGAAGGAAACTCAACTCATGTCTCTCCACGGCAGTGGAACTACCACAGCTGCCAGCAGCCTCTGGGAATGATGAGAGGACAGGTGCTGTTGAAGTGAGGTTTCCCAGCAAGGCTCTTTCAAGCGGATCAGGAGAGGAGAAGGGCAGCAAAGAACTTTGACCTTGTCTCTCACTTGTTATCTTTTAAAGTGTTAGGCTTTTATGTGACTAATTAAGTATCATTTCTGGCAACTTAATATGCATAGAGGCAAAAAAGAAAGCACAAGCTTGATCATGAAACATAGAGTATAGCCTGAAAGGGCTCCCTGCTGAGGATTTTTGAACTGTGCCTGTCAATAACATCCTTTGAAAATAGGCTAAATTTACATTTTTGAGCTTGTAAGTCCTCCTATGTGTGGGGTTTGCGTAAATTCTCTCTTAATTAAAACACATGTTTTTCAGAATAAAAGAAAAAAAAATTCTCCATTTCTTCTTTTTATCTCCTAGTAATAATAGAACAAGGGATTTTGAAGAAGTTCGTTTCACATATTACACATCATTTCCTGTAGGAGGTCTTCCTTGGCCACTGAATCTGAAGAAATAACCAATACTACCCCATAATCCAATTTCTTTTTTTCAGGTCTACTGAGGCGTAGTTTATATACAATAAATTTTTTACATTTGTATGAATTTTGACAAACATACAGTCACATCACTACCACCACCAGCACAGTCAAGATAGAGGACATTTTCGTCATCCCCCAATTCTATCATGCCCCTTTGTAATCTATCTCCTTCCTCCACCTACAGATCCTGGCAACCACTGATCATTTCCAGAATGTCATGTGAATGATATCACATAGTATGTAGCTATTTTAGGTCTGGCTTCTTTTAACTCACTTTTTGCACGTATCAGTAATCCATTTCTTTTTATTGCTGAGAAGGATTCCATTGTATGGATATTCCACATTTTGTTTATCCATTCTCCGGTTAATGAGCATTAGGGTTGTTTTTGGTTTGGGTGATTATGAATAAATCTGCCATAAACATTCTTGTACAGTTTTTGTATGGATATATGTCTTCATTTCTTTTGGGTAAATATCATCCAGTATTATTTTCTTGAGAATTATTTTGTTCATTTGTTTGTTTACTGTCTGTCTGCCACCACTAGAATATAAGCTCCAAAAAAGTGGGAGGCCATCTCATTCTTTGGTGTATTCTCTGACACTGGAACAGTCCCTAACCTGTAGTAGGTGCTTGATAAACATTTGTTGAATTGATGAATGGATGGATGCATGAAGAGAGGAATAAAGGAATTAATGAATTCTAGTAGGTCCTACTGGGTAAACCCAGAATACTGGATTATGGTCTGTAAATCATGTTGCTCATTACTTTTCATGATTAACAGAGTGATTGCAGGAGAACAATGGTTCCAACCCTAGATGACAAGAGTTTATCCAGATTTTATGGGGACTCTTGGAGTGGGGGCATTTTTAAAGAAAAACCAAATAAAATTATGACTACAAAATTAGGGAGAGAAGTGGATATTTTAAAACCTTTAGAAATCACACATTAGATTTAGAAATCATAATAAATCTCTCATTTAAATAAGCTGCTAAATTTCACCAACATCATAAAATCCAGAAAAAGAATATAATATCTATTAAATAACTGTCTGACACACCTCTGTCATACTTGTTTTCTTAAATATTTTGGCTTCATCCTCATTTGTCTCCCTTTAAAATGACATTATTTGGTAAAATCCATTTCTATAGAGAAAATAGAAGGAGGAGGTCAGTCTTCTAGCATGGTTGATTAAAATTGTCTTTTTATTAATGAGAGATTAGAAAAACTTTCTTTCAACTTCATATCTCATTATTGGTAGTGTCATATATATGTTTAGGATTAACATCAAACTTGGAAAAGCCATTATCAAATTTCTTTCTTATCTGGACTGTAAAAACCCAAAGCATTTCAAGTTTTCTTCTGCGTTGAGTAATCTTAAATACTTATTCAATTGATGACTCCTAGTAACCTATTTTTCATGGATATCTTCACATTATGAGTTTTGTGCTATCTCCATCAATGTCAGTATTTTGTGAGTTTGCACAACATCTGTGACTTTACACAAATATATTCGCTATTTGTAATTTGGCTACATGTTTCTGCCCTATAAACACAGACACTCATAAATTCAATTCTACTCATATATTTGGATTTAAATCTACCATCTTATTGTTTGATTTCCATTGATCTCACCTGTTTCATAATATTTTTTCCTTCCCTTCTTGCTTTCTTTTAAATTAGATATTTTAATTATTCTATTTCCCCTGTCTCTGAGTTTGTTAATTATACAAACTCTTCTTAATTTCTTTTAGGGGCTTCCCTAGAGTTTACAACAGCGTGTATCCCTGATAGAATCTACTACAAATTGGAACTTTCCTACTTCCTGGACAATGTAAAAATAATAGGACACTTTTAACTTCATTTAAAATTCCCTCTTGCCTTTTTGTTGGTTATTGTGATTCTATAGTTTAATTCTCTCTAGATTTAAAAACCTACATTATTTTTACTGTTTGTACATACTTTACATATACTCACATATTTACCTTTAGATTTAGATTTAGATTCCGTTTATTTACCTTTCCTGTTGTTCTCCATTCTTTCCTGTATCTCTGTGGCTTCATCTGAGATCACTTTACTTCTCCCCAAAGATCTTCCTTCAGTATTTCATTTAGTGTACCTATTTTCTCAGTCTTTGTTTGTCTGAAAGTGTCTTTGTTTCATGTACTTTTGGAGGATATTTTCAGTGGGCATAGAATTCTAGGTTGGCAGTTCTTAT
Organism: Homo sapiens; assembly: GCF_000001405.40. Lineage (NCBI taxonomy): Eukaryota > Metazoa > Chordata > Mammalia > Primates > Hominidae > Homo > Homo sapiens. The sequence goes on from NC_000023.11 coordinate 16,133,669, forward strand.
CTTTCAGCACATTGAAGTTGCCATTCATTGTCCTCTTACTGTATCTGACAGTCATATGTCAGTTTTATTGTTGCTCCTTTAATAGTATTGATTTTTTCTCTTGGACTGATTTTAAGATTTTTCTCTTTCTTTCTGATTTTCAGCAGTATTACTATGATGCACTTAGGCATGATTTCCTTTGTATTTCTGCTGCTTGGAGTTCATAGCATTTCTTAAATCTGTGGCCTGAAGATTTTAATTAGTTTTGGAAAATTCTCAACCATTACAACTTCAACTATTGCTTCTATCTCATTATCTCTTTCCTCTCCTTCTTTGTCTTGGCTACAGATAAATAGAATAACTACAGGTTAACTTTAAGCTTTTAAAGTGTTTTCCCCTTTGGTTATCTTTGCTTTTACTAAGGCAGGCAATTTCATACTAGAGTCAGACCTCTGTTACTGAGAAGTATTTTAAGCACAATTTCATTTCACCATTTTGCCATGTCCCATAAATTTCCTACTCTCTTTTCTGTATTTGCCATCTTTTTTTCCTCACTGTACTTCAGTCTGGCCATTTTCAGTTCTCTAATCCTTTCTTCAGTTGTGTCTAGGCTGCTTCTGAAGCTTCCATTTAATTCTTCATTTCAGTTATTATATATTGCAATTCTAGAATTTTCATTTTGTTCCATCTTGTAGTTTAATTTCTCAAATTAGTCCGAATATATTTTAAAATACCTTTCTGGTAAGCCTAATATGTAGAACCTCTATAAATCTGTTTCTATTTATGTATCAAGAATTATAGATAATTTGAGGCTCTAGATGGTATTATCTTCCAGAAGAGATTAGCTTTTGCTTCTTGAAGGTAATTAGGAAGTGGCATTACATCTGATGCAGTCAGGGATTGAACAGATTGAAGGATGGACTTTGGTTTTTGTGAGAGTTGGTCTATTTAATCTAGTTTTCCCCTGTCACTGAGGCTTACCCTTTCAGGCATCTCAACTAAAAGCCTGAGGTGTTAACCTGGGCTTCTCTCCTTGGTGGGCCCTGGACTCTACTTATTGTTCTCCTTCATCCTAAAACTCCTGGAAGCTCGGATCAGCTCTCACTTTCTCTGCTGCTGCTTGACATTTGGTTAATGCCTTAAGGGGGAAATGATGCTGAATAACAACTTCACGTTTTTGCACATCATTTCTCTCCAGGACTTTGGACTCTCAAATCCCTATTACCTTGGTATTTCTCTGATGTTTTCAAATAGATTTTTAAAACTTTTCCTTCCAGGAGAGTTTGCCATCAAAAAGAGTACATCCTATACTACTACCTCCCTTAAAGACCTGATCTGCTGCCCTCAAAACTACACACATCCCAGTTTCTTTAAAGAGGCATTCAGAGCTACCTATTCAGGCCTATGGGATCAACATTCACAGCCTCAAATTATCTCAGCAATTTTGAGTGAGAGAAGTGAGTTCTGGCTAACCTCAAAGTGAATAAGTCAGGAATCTCAACTGATGCCTGCCGCAGGGGACACTGCCAAGCATGTAGGTACATCAAAGCCTCTGGGATCTTTAAACTAAGCCAGGACTTTTAGCCCCAATAAGCAGGAGCTACAAATGACATTTTGCTATTCAGTGATTGATAACAGCTAAAATTTCATGGGAAGGAAAGAGCCAGAATGTTCCTAAGGTACATTTCTTTAAACTTCACATCTTTATTACTTTTTCTGTCTTTCTTTGTCTTCTTTCTCTTTTTTAATATTGTTTTTGTATTGTACTCAGGCTAGCTGGCCAGTGGTGATAGCTAAAGATTACATGGGAAAGAAGTAGGGGAAAAATGCAAAATTTGTCACATAAAGAATTTATTTTCCAATGTAAGGAGAATTTACTGTGACAATATTGTGTGTATGTGACTCACTTCTTTCTTCATGCTGTCTACATATAAATAGAATAACTACAGATCAACTTTAAGCTTTTCAAGGTTTCTTTTTTCCGTTTGGTGGTGGTGATTTTTTAATTGAGTCAGGCTGTTTCATATTAGCCACAGGCCTCTGTTATGAGAAATACTTTAAATACAATCTTAAAACAATAGAAAATTATGTACAAAACAAAATCACAGTAGTTACCCCATGAGTACATATGGGAAATGCTTATTTCTTTTTAAATGAATGGTGATCAGAACAGATTTCTAAGAATTTCATTATTATCTTTTCTTCTCCCTTTACACTTTAAATGTTTGGAAACATCATAGAAAAACAGAAAAATCAGAATTTGGCATCGTTTCTTTCCTAGATTGTGAACAGAAGTGAAATTGAAGGTTAAAATGATGATTTAAGGAATACATGTACTGCGGGATGAAGACAAGTACAGTCAATATTTAGTTTTAAGTATTCTTTACTTGTGCTTTAAAAAGACCCGAGCATCTAAAGTGCTATAGGTAAACATAAAAATCTCTGCTGACTTGGGGATCAAGAGACCCAGGTCTAGTCTTGGTTCTCAGCTAACTGGCTGTGGGACTTCTCTGGGCCTCAGTCTCTGGTCTCAGTCTCCTCTTCTATGACCTCTAAGTTTTATATTCCATAGTTACATATGAAACAGATTTGTGATTAGACGTTGACTCATTTGTCTGTACCAGGATAGCAGCACTTTATATGCTGACCTAGCAGCATCTATTCTAAGAGCTCTTCATAAAGGCATATGTCAGTATTCTTATATGGCTCATTAAGGGCTTTTCCTAGATGTATCTTGCTTCCCCAATTAGATTTTAAACCCTCAATGGCCGGGAACTATTATATCCATGGTGCCAAGCAGAGCCTGAGATGCCAAATTAGTACTTAAATATGCTGTTAGACTAAGCATCCTGAGCGATGAGTGCTTAGTACTGGAAGACCAACGACAGGGGTCAGTGGCCTATTGTCTTCATTATCACAAATTAATAAGTCTAACAGACGGTGCTGTGTGAGATGGAAAATGAGCTTACCTCTGTTTAAAGAAGGAACCAACAGCTTTGGTGTGGACAGGCAGAGAACAACAGAAACGGTAAAACTTTTGGCAAACATTTTCTGCAGCATATTAGGCTTTGTGGACCATACAGTCTCTATTGCAACTGCTCAATTCTACCCTTGTAGGGTGGAATCTGCCACAATGTGTAAACAAATATACACGGTGATAATACAATAAAGCATTATTTATGTACCTTGAAATTTGAATTTTATGAAATTTTTACATCTCAAAATGTTCTTTTGATTTTTTTCTCAACCATTTAAAATGTAAAAACCATTCTTAGCTCACGGGCCATATAAAAACAGGCAGTGGACCAGACTTGGTTGGTGGGTCTTAGTTTACTGTCCCTGATATAGAGTGTGCATGCTTTCTGGGGTGGTTATTTAGCAGTGAGAATTTCCTATTTGAATGGAGTGGGACCTAGGGGAATCCACGACCCCTTTCCAGTTAGCCAGGACAGACTTCCTAAGGAATATTATAAAGAAAAGGCATACATCTGTGTGATGCTTCAGGGTTTTGAGGCACTGTCATATCATGAACATTAACTTTTTAGATCATTTGGAATCCTTATCATTATCCCTGTTTTTAGATGGTGAAATGAGGGTTCTACATCACACGATTAGCAAACAGTGAAATTGAGAATCAAGCTGAAGTCTTTAAGCCAAGTGTCCTTTCCAGCATGACCTGGGTCCCGTGTGATGCTAACTGTTGTTTAAATGAAACAAGTAAGAGGGTTTTAAATGGAGGTTTAGCTGGATTCCAATTTCCATGGGTGGCAGACATGAGGGCAGGGCCTGGTAAATTGTTTACTAGGGAAGTAAAGGTGTAAACAGATGCTTCTCACCACCTCCTTTTAATGTTTCTCCATCATGCAAAGTGCTGCTTTCTCTAAGGTCTTTTCATTATAGGCTCATGTGAGCAAGTTGCCTTAAAATTGTCAAAAAGAGGAACTGAGTTTGGGAGAATCACTTCTTTGGTTACCCCCAGTGATTTTTCTAGTCTTGAAATGATTAGAGAAATAGGAAGTGTTTTGGCTCTAGGAGATCTCTTGGGAAAAGGCTAATAAGCTGGTATCCAGAGTGATTTTGGGTAAAAGGGCTTGAGAGTAGTGTGTGTGACTGGGAGCATGGCAGGGGAGGAATGGGTTGTCTTGAGCATCTTGAACCCATTTCCTTATCTGAAAGGAAGACATCACAGGCCAGACAAATTGGATGAATAGTTCTAGACTTTTAGTTTTAGTCATTTATTTATTTCATAAATAAAGTAGGCAGAAAATGAACAAGACCTAGACTCTACCCTTAAGAAACTGATACTCCTGTTACTCAGGGTACATCAACCTTCTTAATTTCCAAAATGGAATGAACATAAATGTCACTGAGTGTCCAGAGCTTATGCTTTGTTTAAACTCTTGTGTACCTAGCATAGGACCATGCAAAAGTAGCTGCTTAAGGTATGCTTTGGATTTGGATTTGTATATGCTAGAGGTATTACTTTTTGGGAAGTAGGGGGTGCTTTGTGTCATTTTAGCATGATGTGTTGCACTGAAGCTAATTGTAGGAAGAACCTGTGAAAGCAGGGACATTGCCCTCTAGCGAGCACCAAGGTTCTTTGAAAAGTCATGGTGCCCAGAAGCATGAGCAGAGCACTGCCTGTTTGCTAGAAGGGTCTTGGACATCTGTGTGAAACTGGGAGATGTTTATGCTATAGATCATTAAGAAAAGATACAGAATTGTATGCTCTCAATTCTGTACAAAAGACAAAAGGAAAAATTGGAAGGAAATATATCAAAACATGACATGCAAAACTTACAGATGATTTTTGTTTGTTTTTAGAATTCTCTACTAAGATTTTACAATAAGCTCTTTGTAGTTTGATAATAACTTTTTTGAATGAAAAACGTCCTTCAAAATAGCTAAATGCCTCCTAACCACCTTCCTTGTTGATGCTTTTGCTGACTCAAAGCGACTATTTCAGTTAGTTCTTACGATAACCCTGAAGTTGCATGATAACAAGCTTGAAAACTATTTCATCTTTCTTCCCTTTCTTCTTTTCTTGCTGTTTTGTTTTTTTTCTTTTTAAAATTGTACTGGGGTAAAATATACACAACAAAATTTGCCCTTTTAACCATCTTTAAGTGTATAGTTCAGTGGCAGTAAGGACATTCACAGTGCTGTGCAACTATCACTGTCATTCTTCTCCAGAACTTTCTTCATCTTCCCAAACTGAAGCTGTATGCCCATTAAGCAACAAGTCCCCTTATTTTTGTCATTTTCTTTTGTTTGCTTTCTTTTGTTTTATTTATGAATTTTGGGGGATCACATTTAGTACATCACTATTATTCATAGTGGGGATAAATTCAAAAGCATTAAATTTGAAGAAATGTCTGAGATTGAGCCCTGGTTCTTCCAGTTGTCAGCTATGTGACTTTGGGCAAACCACTTTGTAAGCTTCAGTTTCCTGATCTTTAAAATGGGGAGAGGATCATCTACTTTTCATATATCATAGGACTGTTGTAATTTTTGTAATGATGTAATTAAATAATATATGTTGACTTCTTTATGACATGTTACGATTCCTAGTCAAAAGAGTGAGTGCACCGTTAGCATGACTGCTATTTAGGTTCATAGGGGAGCCAAGAGGTTGTCGTAGAAGTTGACTTTCTAGTGGACTCGCTTTCCTTTTCAGGAAATACAATAATAACCTTTTATTTAAATCCAACTTTTCCAACCCGCAGCCTGCGGACCACCTGCGGCCCGGGATGGCTTTGAATACGGCCCAACACAAATCCATAAACTTTCTTAAAACATGAGATTTTTTTGAGATTTTTTTTTTTTTTACTTGTCAGCTATCGTTAGTGTATTTTATGTGTAGCCCAAGACAATTCTTCTTCTTCCAGTGTGGCCCAGGGAAGCTAAAAGATTGGGCACCCCTGATTTAAATAATGCTGTTTTTCAAAGTGCGTTTGAAAAATTTAGCTCATTTAAATCCTCATCATACTAAGTAAGATTGGTATCTTTAGCTCTGTTTCACAGATGAAGAAAATGGAGGCATCAAAATCTTGCAGTTTAAAGTATGGACTCAGACGCTAGATGGTCTCTGTTTAAACCCCAGCTCTTCCACTTGCTAGCTGTATGACCGTGAACAAGTTACTTAACCTCTCAGTGCCTTCGTTTCTTCATGTGTTAAGAAAAAGATGACAATAGTAATACCTATCTTCTAGTATTGTTATGTAGGGGCAGAGGGAAAGCTTCCTCTAATTCTTGAAAAGTGTCGAGAACTTTGTGCTAGGCACACAGTGAGTACTATGTAAGTTTTTGTTAAATAACAAAAAATAAAAAGAAACGGAGACAACATGCTTTCACAAAAACAGTTAATCATAGAAGTGGGACTAGAGTGCAGGGTTCCCAGTCTTCATCCAGTCCCTCTCTCCCCGTCTTGGACCTCTGCACCATATGGTGATGCCTCACCAGCACTGCCAGGATCAACCTCCTGGGCCAGTGGTCCCAGTAAGCTACAAAGTTGGGTCACCATTTCACCATTTATAAAACCTTTCCCAAACATTTATTTAAATCTAGTGCTGTTAAATTTTTATAATTAGACACAGTGACTCATATGCCATGATGGTATTTTTGAGCTGTAATGATTCTTATTTTGGAAAAAAATGATAATGTATTTTATTATGATAATTTAGAAGTTCCATTTTTATCCTTAATGATTTGAAATATATTTAAAAACTGAAAATTATCTGTGATATTTCATTTTCTATATATGTGTTTGATAAACTGACCGGATCAGGAGAAAAAATGTACATAGTGAGGGTGTCCATATCCCCTGGCACAACTCAGAGGTCACTTAGAGGGCTGGGCTTCCTGTGTTTCTCTGACCAAGGGTGATCTCTGGCCAAGGAAAGGTTTGGGGTAGGCTGAAGTGCCCCAGAATTACCACCAACAGACAATTGTCAACCAGAGATGAGAGTTGGTGGGTAAACACCCCACCCACCTCATCCTTTGGTGGCACAGTTCTGGAACGTGTTAACTGTGGTTTCTCAGGGGATTCCCAGCAAGAATGTGCCCCAGTTGCCCACCGTGGTGCCCTTTACTGGCTTTTTCTACCTCCCTGTGCTTCCTGGCATCTTCTTCCAAATAAATTACTTGCACCTAAATCCTTGCCTCGGGGTCTGTTTGGAGGTGAACGACAATTTACAAAGGCAATTTATGACCCTGAATCTATTATCCCTTCCACCTAGAGCACGGTTAATTTTTCTTTGTCTTCGTGATTTGTTTTTTTCCCCCGTTCTCTGTGTATCTTCTTTGCTACGCAGTAAAGTAATTGCAGGCTGTGTCTAACTACAATTTGCAAATGGGATTTTGAAATGTTTTTCAAACATTTTGGCTCATAAAATTTTAACAAGTTATAAATACATGTTCTTCCTCCATAACATTTTTGAGGAATGAACAATGTGTGCCAGGATGTTTGAACACCTACTGAAATTAAATGGATTACTACTTTCCTTTGTCATTTCAAACATATCCACTGGTAACTGTAATATTTCATCCTGCATATACCTTTCTGATGGGCTCCCTTACAGGATTAGCATTGAGCTTTGAAATTGGATCACTCTGCTGAAACTCATTTTTGGCCCAAGGGTCAATAGTTGCCCAACTCCTTATGAGAAAGTGCCATAAGATGTCCAACAACTAATTGCATCTCTCTTTCCATTTTATCCCTAAGCTTCTACATCCCTCATATCCCAGGATCAGTACCTTCTCAATGTCAGTAGCTCTTTCTCTAGCCTTGTTCCAGCCTCTGGTTTCTAGTCCTTCACTGGTGCCATTTTTCACCTTGGCTCTAAGGTCAAAGTCTCACTCAGATGACCACTGCTGGCCCTGAGGCCTCTGAATATTTTAAGGAGCCCAGACACTGCTCTAGGCCTCAGGCCATAGGGAACTGCAAGGCGTGTATATGGGGGTGAAGAGAACCTTTGAAACCTTAGCCAAGTTTTCTGGAAAGTGTCTTCTGGGACAATGAACCCCAAAGTGAACTTCACATGCTCCCGGAGAGGTGTGGCCTGATCTGAGAGATAAGGGAGGAAAGTACCAAAGCCTCTATTTATATTGATTTTTATTTTAATAGAAGGATGAATTAAACATGAGTAATATGTAGTATCCAAACTGAGGCTCACCCACATCAGAGGATTCCTTATCACATGTGGCTCAGGCAGCAGGAGTGAGTGGCCCACTATCTAGAAGGCTCAAATAGGACACCCTTACTCTTCTTTGCACTTTTAGCTTAAGGGAAGGCATCGCCAAGTGATGCTTGTTGTGCATAATCTAGTTTTAATTAAAGTAACCTCTTCAAATGGGCAAGTGGCTTAAAAATATTCCTGCTGAAACAAAATAGACAAAACCAAACCCCACAGATTGTAGATGATATTAAAATTGCAAGCCCAAGAGAGTAATATGAATATAACAGAGAAGACACTTCTCTCATTCCCGGTATAGGCTCTAATCAGATATGACACATTCAATCACATCACAGTTATAATAAGCTTTTCTGGTGGCAAAAGGTTCACTGACAATAAACTAGGATAAAATATTTAACAAAAAATATTTAAAGTAGGCTTTAAAATTTTATTTTACTGTTAGCTCATCTTTTAAAAATTCTACATTTTAGCATATGTTTTCTCCCTGACTTGTTTATGAACTCTTGTATAATACCCACCCACATTCAGCAATTACCATTTCCTAGATTTTTTTTCTCTCTTTCTTTCTGTGTGTATGTTGTTGTGTTTTGTTTTGCTGAGCTTTGGAAAGTAAGGTGCAAACATCCTCACCTTTCACCCCTAAGTATTTCAGTGTATATTTTCTGAGAACAAAGATAGTCTTCTACACAACCCAATGCCACCATCACATTGAATGAAATTAACAATAATTCCTGGTAACATAGAATGAAATTGTACCTAATATATTAGTACAGTAGTACATATATATAATTTATACATTAACATACATACAATGTAGGTGTATGTTCAATTTGTTATTACTTTCTTAAAGCTCTGTTCTTCAAGGATTTTTAAAGAATGGGGGTTGGTATACTTCCCTAAGTGCCCCCACTCCCCCTCCAACTTCCCACCACCCTTATTCCAGCTTCTTCTTGGGCATCCGAGTAGACTGACAAGGTCCAGATGAATGTGTCTGCAGGGAACTGGCCCAACTTGTGTTGCTAGCTGGAATATAACTTTTGTTCCTTTCTTCTCTTCTCCATCTTTTCTGTCTTCTCCCCTTTCATCTCCTCTCCTCCTCTCCCTTGCCTCCTTCTCTCCTATCCTCAAGTTTCCTTTCTTTTTCTCTTGTTCCTTTTTTTTCTCTTCCCCTCCTTCCATCCCCTTATTTCCCCAGTGATTCTGCTCTTTTCCTTTTAGTCCCTCAGGCATTCCTGCTCATGTCTGACAGCAGAAAAGTTGGGGAATTATTTATTTAATTGCCCTTTTGCTGGAGCTCTTCACCCCTCCATGCCCTGTTGATCACACACTCAGACCTGTGAGCTATAAAGCTGAAAGCTTGTTCCCTCCATGCAGGGACAGAAATTCTCTCCTGCCCCATATTACTGCTCTTTTTTACCCATCCTGGTGGGAAAAACTAAAGTTTCACCCCTCTCCAACACTTTACCTCTCCCTGTTGAGCCAAAAGCAAATCCCAAGACATTTCTTTTCCCCAGCTTAGCTTCTGCAGTCTCTCTGAATCATTGAGGTTTTCCAAGAAGTTGGTGCTCACGCACAAATTAAAGCAATGAAGAAAAGGAGCCAAAAGATGGAGGACTGCTGGAGTAAACAACCTGAAGATTCCCAAATATTAATATTCCCCAAATGCAACAAGCCACCCAAAGTTCTAGAACCTCCCTGCTCTCCTTCCTTTGTTCGTTCCTATTGGAGGAATACCTTTTGACTCTTCCTTAGCTTCTCTAACAGGATGTGGCTTTATTCCACTTCTCCCCAGTCTTCCCTCATCGATGTTGTCAATATTACTTGAAATTACCACAAAGACTCCTTACTCCTTTCTTTAGAGGTTCCTCAAAAGCTTGAGGCTAAGAATTGCAAGTCCCTTCTGGAGGGTAGAATAGCGAAGTGGGATGTGAGTTCTGTTTGTTCATTCAGTGTAGCACCTCAGTTCTTAAAGTAATGGGGAATGTAATACCTAATATCTAGAGGGTTCTTTCTAGTTATTTTGTTAACATATCCCCACGAGCTCCTTGTCGGTAAAGAATTGTCTCCTGTTCAAGGATGAGAATACTGAAGTGCAGAGTCCACGATTCATCCAAGACCATACAACTAGTTGGGAGAATCACCATTAGGAACTACATCTCTTGATCCCAGGTCTGCATTGGAGCCCAGAGGAAACTAGAGTATATTAAGAAGAGGTGAAAAGGAGCATTGGAGATATTTATCCTGGAGAAAACAGAAAAGCATAACTGCAATCTGTTACATACTTAAAGATAACAGTTGGATTGGCACCAAAGACCAGTAAGTTCTCCATTTGTGGAGTAATAGCTCAGAGAGATAAGATTCCATTGCTCTGGGTTATAATCATCATATAAGCCAGCTAATAATTGCCTTACTTGTTCAGAAAAATTCTTGGTGCTATTCTCAGGAGAAAATAAAGCTGATGTTTAGTAGTTTTGTCAAATCTCATCAGGTAGAATTCTAATTTTAAGGCAGGCAATGTGTCAGTTACCCTAGAGACCATTTAGTTTGTTTAATTATCGTCTTCACCTCAGTATTCTCCACATAGTATACATTAGGATTGCAGTGGAGTTTTAAAAATATTGTAGTGCAACAATTCCTACAGACTTCCGTAGGTAATTATGGACAAATAAGGGCTGAAATGCTGGATCCTTAAAAATAAACAAACTGCCCATATTTGAATAAAAGACATACCTTTCTGTGGGCAAAGGTTTCCAACCCAGAGTGTGGCAGCCAGCTACTTCTAGTTGCCAAGAATCTCTTTGACAAATTAATCTTCCCACAGAGAACGTTTTGTGACCTTTCCAATGTTTGTATAAGAAAAATGAAGCACAGATGTTTTCAGAAGTGGGAAACAATTGTTTGAGCCCCATATTGTCAGAGGACCAAATTTGTCAGTCTATTGAAGAATGATTTTTACTGACTTAATGTGTAAAAGGGAAACTTCTCTCTCTCATTTGTGAGAAGTTGGAAATAAGAGACACAACGGCAAGTCACATACTAATCATCAATTAATTAGCAAGTATTTGCCGAGTCCCTACTTTGAAATAAGTGATTTGCAGAGCAAGGAACCTGGAACATTTTTAGTGAGACAGGAAAAAGAGAAGAGGAAAGCATGTAAGCTTCTGACCTCAGGAAAATTAAGAAAAAGTCAGGTAGAAAAGACATACCCATAGAATGTAAATTAGTATAACCACCATGAAGAACAGTTTGGAGGTTCCTCAAAAAGCTAAAAATAGAGCTACCATATGATCCAGCAATCCTGCTGGGTATATACCCAAAAGAAAGGAAATCAGTATATCTAAGAGATATCTGCACTCCCATGTTTGTTGCAGCACTGTTCACAATAGCCAAGATTAGGAAGCACACTAAACGTCCATCAACAGATGATTGGATAAAGAAAATGTGGTACATATACACAGTGGAGTACTATTCAGCCCTAAAAAAGAATGAGATCCTGTCATTTGCAACAACATGGATGGAACTGAAGATCATTTTGTTAGTGAAATAAGTCAGACACAGAAAGACAAACATTGCATGCTCTATTTGGGAGATTTAAAAATCAAAACAATTGAATTCATGGACATGGAGAGTAGAAGGATGGTTACCAGAGGCTGAGAAGGGTAGTGGGATAGGCGGGAGGCAGTGGTGGTTAATGGGTACAAAAACTAATTAGAAAGAATGAATAATAAAACCTACTATTTGTCAGCACAACAGGGTGACTATAGTCAATAATAATTTAATTGTACATTTTAAAATAACTAAAAGAGTATAATTGGATTGCTTTTTACACTAAGGATAAATGCTTGAGGGGATGGATACCCCATTCTACATGATGTGATTATTATGCATTGCATGCCTGTACCAAAACATCTCATGTGCCCCATAAATATATATACCTGCCATGTACCTACAAAACTTAAAAATGGAAGAAGAAAGAAAAGACATACCCATAGAAAACTAGCAAACAATTCAAGATAGTGCATAATAAGCAGAAAATGAGAGGAGCTGATAATCTTGTCATAAAAGTCAGACAGGTTGGGAGAAAGAATGGGAACTATTAAGGCCTAGACTGGTCAGCAAAACTTCATCAAGATGATACTTAAACTGAAATTTGGAAGGATTGGATTTAAATGAATCAAGAATCTGGAATTGGGCATGATGGAAGGAGGGAAACAGGAAAGCAATGGAAAATTTAGGAATGAGGCATAGACTAGTCTATCTCTTGAGTACAATGAAAAGTGGACAGCTCTTTCTTTCAGAGGGTAGCAAGTGGGGAATGATCTATGTAAAATGATCTTGGAACTAAATCTGGTGATAACTTTAAAGGGTTATCACATCTAATTGTTTTAGATAAGGCTCTTTTGTTGGCAAAGAACAGAAGCCACTCAAACTAACTCAAGGAAAAAGGGGATGGTAGTATTGTAAAATTATAACAGGACATCTCTTGTACATTCAAAACTAGTACATAAGCCAGAAACCATACCCTCTGTATGACTTAGGGCCACATTATCTCAGCTTCTCCTCTTATGTCTGCTTCATTTTTTTTTCTCTCAGTCCATTTACTCAGCTTATTCATCTTCTGCATGTTTAAATATGGCTGCCCTGATCTTTTCCTTGACATCAAAATCTTATATTTCCAGCATCTATTACTAACTATATTCTCTCTATTTTTCCGTTTAAATGCTTAAGAGAAAGAGAATCTCTTTAGTAGCTAGCCAGGCAGTTCATTGGCTGGTTTAGATCGGGTATCTACTCTAATCCAACCAGCCATTGCTCCTAAACAGGAACTACCCTGTGGTGTCTCCCTGCATTGGGAGCTCTGGGCAGAGCAATCTAGGCCAGAAGAGGAAATAGACTGATATGCTCCATGCTATACAAAACCATTAGACTTGCAGGAAACATTTTGTATGTTCTACATACATTTGAGAAACATCTGGTCTATCTCTCTCCCTCTAGGAAGAATTTACCCAAAGCTCTCTTCTGAAAGAACTGTGGTGTTCTAAAAAACATTGGTTCTAAATTGAATGTTGACTCTACCACCTCTTAAACTGAGCTTCAATTTCCCATCTGCAGAGTGGAGATAATAATGTCTACCTATTGGAGTTGTCTGGAATATAAATGAGATAATATAGATTCTATTCTCTGCTTGGAAAAAGGCAAGAGCTTAGTAAATGGGATTTCTTTCGTTTATTTGCTATGTTCTGAACATACCACAACAGAAAATTGTTTGCAATGCATTTTAACTTATTTTTAATTGCACAAGTGATATATTAATATGTCAATACTTTAAAGCAAATACTAGATATTATATTATTTCACTGGTAAATACTTTAGCTTGTGTCTTTTATAAACAAGGTCTTTTAAGAAACACATAGCCGCAATACCCTTATCACACTCAATACATTAAAAATAATTCCTTGATATCACCAATAGTACATTTATATTTGATTTTCTTCAATATTTATTTCACAAATATCTTTTTATTGTTGTTTGGTTTGACTCAAAATCCAAAAGGAGCCTACACGTTGCATTTGGTTGATATGTCTTTCAGTCAGTCTATAACCATTCTCTCATTTTCTATGCCATATATTTGTTGAAAAAAAATGGGGTAATTATTCGTGTAGGATTTTCCAATTCAGAATTTGGCTGATTGTATCCTTATAGCATCATTTAGCAGGTTCTTCTATCACCATATTTCCTGAAGACTGGCACATAAATCTAGAGGCTTAATTAGATTTAGATTCAAATTAATTTTCTAGTAAAACTATAAATGCTTTATACTATATTTTATATTTTAAAAGTTGTGAATTTAAAAGAAAGAGCATAGTTCCCATGGTATTTTGCACCTAGGAAGACAAGATTCCTAAAAGAGAAGGACGTAAGCCATTTACTCTGGTTTCTGACTGAGTGAATCACCTTTACTCAGAGAGTTAGTGTAATTATGACTGCTATCTGCCAGAAAATGCAGATAGAAGTCTTAGTTATCATTTTATCTCTAACAAATTTATTAGCGATATCTTTAGCCATATGCATCTTTGGCTGAAGATGTTCTCATGCCTTTAATTAAAGATACCAATTTCTTGCCTACATTCTAAGCTAGGAAAATGTTTAAAATGGCTAATGAATAAAGAAGATCCAAAAGAAAATAGAACTTTATTTTAAATTTTTATTTTTATTTGTATTTGTTTAAAAATAAAGCAAATACAGGTACATTGAAGCAGGACTGTAGTATTGTTCTGGAATTTTGGGGTTTGGGGATGTTTAATAAATAATAGCCCTCTCTTCCCTACCTAATTTGAGAACAAAAAGCCAGATAAGGAAATCAGAGAGACTATGATAAAAATAGTTGCATCTATGTCTGATAAAGCTGTTTGGGGAATGTAACTCAGGTCTATAGCAATAATGAACTTGCAGACACTCTCTTATCTTCTATATTACACTTGCCATTCCTCTAGACAGGGCCAGTTAAACAACCATAATCCTCCCTGAGCCCAATGCACAAGCCAGGTTCTTTTTCCCAAACTTGCCACTGAATAATTCCCCCTTCCCTGGTAGGAGGAGGAAAGTGAGTGAGGAGTCAGGGTGCAGCCAAGAGTGGTAAACCAATGGAGGTCTAATCAACATGAAAACAAGTGGAAATAAGTATTCCCCTTCCCTGAAGTCCATGATATAAAAGAGTATCATAAGTAGAGTCCAGTTTAAACACAGCATTTTCAGCAATAAACACCCTCACATGTAGTTGGTCTCAACTCATATCAACTTCCACATTATAGTAGCTCATGTTCAATTGAACAAACTTTTGTGGAGTGTGTGCAAATCACAGTGCTGGCAGATTCCAACATAGAAAAAGACATACTCTTTGCCCACCAAAGGCTCATCCTCTGGTGGGTTCTCAGACAGGTGTACGCAAGATAATGGTGCCCTTGTCTTGTCACTCACTGTGCTAGAGACCGTATGGGGAGTGTGCAGACATGGAGATGTGCTGCTCAGACCTCCCTTGAAGAAGAGACTTGCCCAGTTGCAGGGGGTGTGGTTAGCTGAAGCCTCCAACTACCAGCTCTTTCAGGGTCCACTTCAGCTTTCAAGCTGTGGTCATGTTCTTTTGGGTGGTTCCTGCCCAGTGACTGAGCCAGGTGGTAACTGAGATCACATTCTTCCTGGGGTGACCCCATGCAATGACTAAGCAAGGTGATTATACATGGGCCTGGCAATTTCCACCCAAAGCAGGACTTCCCCGTTGGGTAATCTTTGTTCCTAGGCTTCCTGTTGGGCTAGCGTAGAATGACCAGCTATCCCAGTTTGCTTGGACTGAGAGATTTCCCAGGATGTAGGATTTACCATGCTAAAACTGGAAAATTTCCAGGCAAACCAAGATGTTTAGTCATCCTCGCTGGTGTAGACCTGAGAAGCTCCCTCTTTCTATCCTACTTCCTCCCCTTTTTCCTTTCACAGGTATTGCTCCTCAATAAAATTTGTATTTCTTACTTCATCTCAGTGTCTGCTTCCCAGAATACTCAACCCAAGACATGGGCACAAATAGCTCACAAACCAGGAAGAACCTAAATACTTCAAGAGAAGATAAGGCTGAGATCAGGAAGGCAAGGGAAAAATCAATGTGAAAATTACAGGGATTCTCCTGGGTATTACTTTTTCAAGGGACCATTTATTATGCATACTTTGAAAAAGAAAAGAGGCATATTTAAAATACTCAACGACTTAAGGTTCCCTGAAGTGGATCTGAATACGCAAAATGAAGGTTTTGCCAAAAAAAAAAAAAAAAAAAAAAAGCCAACCTCCTTGTCTCTGTGTCCTTTAACTAGCAACATGCCTTGTTATTAATTTCTATGATTTAAGAAGAAAAACAAAGGGAAATTCAGCTTTTCTAAGAGGTATTCTTAAAATCAAGAGAGAGTGTGAATTGTACAACATGGTGACTATAGTTAATAACAATGTATTGCACACTCGAAAATTGCTGAGTCGATTTTAAGTGTTCTCATTTTAAAAAGATAAGTATGTGAGGTAAAGTATATGTTAATTAGCTCAATCTAGTCATTCCACAGTGTATACATATTTTAAAACACCATGTTGTATACAGTAAATATATACAATTTTTATTTATTTATTTTTAATTGGCTTTAAATTAAGACAAAAAGAGAATATAAGCGGAATGGTACTTGTGGAGAGAAGAGAAGGCATCCTTCAGGGCTAGATTAGAATGAGGCAAGTGGCTATTTGGAGTACAAAATTTAAGGAGGCACTCACTCTCAGGGTCACAGAGCTCAGAGTCGGCACCCTCAGGACCCGAAAGTGAGCACCTCCTTAAATATTGTACGCCAGGTGTCTCGCTTGCCTCAACTTAGTCCTGGCCCTGGTATTCAGAATAATATTATGCAACTGATGGGGATGCTTCTTTCCTGCCCTAGATACAAAGCCATTGTCCGGCCAATGGATATCCAGGCCTCTCATGCCCTGATGAAGATCTGCCTCAAAGCCGCCTTTATCTGGATCATCTCCATGCTGCTGGCCATTCCAGAGGCCGTGTTTTCTGACCTCCATCCCTTCCATGAGGAAAGCACCAACCAGACCTTCATTAGCTGTGCCCCATACCCACACTCTAATGAGCTTCACCCCAAAATCCATTCTATGGCTTCCTTTCTGGTCTTCTACGTCATTCCACTGTCGATCATCTCTGTTTACTACTACTTCATTGCTAAAAATCTGATCCAGAGTGCTTACAATCTTCCCGTGGAAGGGAATATACATGTCAAGAAGCAGGTAGGTGCTCAGGATTGATTCATTTCCTCCTTGGGGATATAATCCCTTGCATTTCTTTTGGACCCCACTGACAAGCCATGACACTTGAATCTGCAATTAGATGAGGTGGGTGATGTGTGGCCAGATGCTAAATGGAAATGCCTAGCCATGGAAACCCAAGGTGTTCTTTATAGTCTTATTCTCCTGTTAAAGACCTAAGCTAGGGAGGTGTTGTGAACCTGAAATATTTCAAGTGTGGGTTTCTTTTGGAGAAATAATCTGAAAAAGAGTTGTATTTTTAAAATAAATAAATGAAGCTTTGAAGCTCATGGGGATGTGACTTCTTTAAACTCCAGTCACATTGTTTGCCTAGAAAGAGGATTACCACATGGAGACAAAGCAGGAGGCTGGAAAGTGAGGGCAGTTGAAGAAAAAGAGTAGTTTGATTAGGATAGGCTCACACTGATTTGGGCTCAAGTCCAAGCCGCATGATGTATTCAGCCTCTCTGAGCCTCAGTTTTCTTACCTATCAGATAGGCTTATAATCCCTACATTGTAAAACTATTGGAAGAAGATTACAAGAGAGAGTATATGTAAGGCCTACAGTGCCCAGCATGCAAGATGCCCTCCATATGATTAGACTCTCTTTCTTATCCCCCATAACACTCCATAATTTCATCCTTGAGTTACAAACAAATGGTAGAAAGCAAGGGCTCCGGCTTCCTCCTCTTTGTCAGTGCTTGCCTTCTAGCCCAGGTGTAGATCATGTAGCATCTATGATGGAAAAGCAGAAACACTCCCCACTCCATTTCAGTGAATAGCTGACTCACTTGGAGACCTTACCCTTTAACGTTCATTATTTATGTATTTGTCTCAGTTGTGGGGGAAGAGTGGCAGTTTCTAATGAAACTACCTTCCTACTTGAAAAGCCTCTCATTAGCCAACATCCATTGTACCCCAAACTCTTTATGGAGAAACATGTTTCCCCTTGAGGTAGTGGATGGAGTTGGGAGCAAAAGGAGATGCCCATCCCTCTTTGCCACAGTCTCTTTCTATAGACTATAGTCCAGAGATAACTCAAGATTTTAAAATCATAATAATAGAGAGTTATCTTGGTTTAGCCAGTGAAGAAGAACAAAGCTGGCTGCTCTTTCTGAGCATGAGAGGGAATAAGAAATTATTAACTGTGGAGAAAAGAAAGACATGAAGTAGTATGGCTGATAAACTGCACCAATGCTCTCCTGAGGAAAAAGGGGGCACTTATTAGAAGTTCATGTTGCAGTCCATTCAAACATGTAATCAACTTTGTTTAAAGATCTGTTCTCAGTGGTATGTTCTAACTCTATTCTTCCTCGTGGGTTTCTGCTTCCTGGCTCATCCATTTCTGTGTTTCTGACTCTTTTTTTTTCCTTTTCTGTCTGTTTCTGTTGCCTTTCTCTCATTTTACTGGATTCTCTCTTGCCCTCTCCTATTGAACTCTTTTTCGGTGGCTTTGTGAACTCCTCTATTGCCCTAATTGTTTTTCCCTTTCTCTTTCTCTGCCTGAATCTTTGTCTCTCTGCATTCTTCTGACACTGTCCCTTGGTTCCTCTGTCTCTCTCCATGTGATTCTCTCCTTAGATTGAATCCCGGAAGCGACTTGCCAAGACAGTGCTGGTGTTTGTGGGCCTGTTCGCCTTCTGCTGGCTCCCCAATCATGTCATCTACCTGTACCGCTCCTACCACTACTCTGAGGTGGACACCTCCATGCTCCACTTTGTCACCAGCATCTGTGCCCGCCTCCTGGCCTTCACCAACTCCTGCGTGAACCCCTTTGCCCTCTACCTGCTGAGCAAGAGTTTCAGGAAACAGTTCAACACTCAGCTGCTCTGTTGCCAGCCTGGCCTGATCATCCGGTCTCACAGCACTGGAAGGAGTACAACCTGCATGACCTCCCTCAAGAGTACCAACCCCTCCGTGGCCACCTTTAGCCTCATCAATGGAAACATCTGTCACGAGCGGTATGTCTAGATTGACCCTTGATTTTGCCCCCTGAGGGACGGTTTTGCTTTATGGCTAGACAGGAACCCTTGCATCCATTGTTGTGTCTGTGCCCTCCAAAGAGCCTTCAGAATGCTCCTGAGTGGTGTAGGTGGGGGTGGGGAGGCCCAAATGATGGATCACCATTATATTTTGAAAGAAGCCATCAAGTCTTAAGTTTTTCATTTCAACTTGTGAACGTTTCTTCTGATGTGAAGCAAACCTTCCCTTTTCAGAAAAGGGAACAAGTAGAAAATTATTTTTTAAGCCTCAAGCCCTGTTAAATGGTCGTGGCCAATTATGTCATAGAAACTGTATGAACAACCAGATTTACATAGCAGAGAAATCATACATTGAATGCTTACTTTGTGAAAGACTTCACCTTGTCATTTCTTTAAGCAGACGCTAGTACTTTAGAAATATAACTTGACTCTGTTTTCAGGAATATCTGTAATACACAAACCAAGGAACAACTTTTATTTACACTCCTAATATGAAAAGTCAATCCTGTGAGAGAGCTCCATGTATGAGGGACACTCTCCAAGTTGATAACAATGGAAGCGAGTTTAATATAAAACAATTCCCTAAGCATTTATTTTTTTTTTAAAAAGATGTTACTGAGGACCTAGAAGAAATGCTCAATACATACTTTGAAAGCAAAAATACAATCAAACACATTGACACGTATATAAAGATCCACGCGTGGCTGTGCGTGATATCTCACACTCTGAATTCTTACTTGATGGAGGTTTTGTTTGCTGCTACGGTTTTAATCATCCAGGGTGCCATTCCACCATAGAAGAGCAATCCTTTTAGGAAAAAAAAAATCATGCTATTAATTAATCAAATATCTATAAATGCATAAAGTACAGTATTTATTCTTGATACATAGGTTTTGAGTCAAATGTATTTACTTAGATTTGTCTTTGACTGCTACACTGAATCAGTAGTTTCACTATAAGAAAGAAGGGATTGTATCTGAGTAGAAATGGGAACATGTTTATATTTAATGTATGCTTCTCCTAACGTTTGTGGGAGGAAGTGAATAAAATTTCAGTAACACGTATTTTTTGTCTGAATATGTATAAGAAAGTCACAGGGGTCTTAACTTTAAGAACTGATTGAAAAACAGCTACAGACTTGTTTCTACTTAAGAAGAGTATTTATGAAAGAGCCATGTGCAGAAAAAGACTTGGCTGAAATATTTTTCTTTTTCTAAGTGAGTTTAGTTGGCTCTAAAAAGATTTGATTCCCTTACTTTAGAAACCCTGAATCGAGTTTTTTTTCACTCAAAGAGGGCAATTTTGACAGGTTGCAAACATATTAACCCACTTTCAAATAAATTCAAATTTTACAAATGTGCCCTTACACATTAAAATTCTAAGACAATTTTAATTTAGGTTTTCTCTATCCAGATGAGATACAAACAGTTGGCTCTCATTTTCACATGGCACATATGAAAAGATTCTTGTCTCTTGATATGAAGAAGTGCCCACTGTCTATGGAGCTTTAGGAGTTGGGACCAAGACAGAATGAAACTTCAATTCTGCTTGCTACGTGCTCGTCTGTACTGTACAAACCTGCTTTGCTGGTAGTCCATAATTACATTGAACAGTTTGAAAAGCAAGACAGATAGTATAGCTTAAAGAACCAAGATTTCTAGCTTGACAGTCCAACTCTGCCTCTAGCTATATCACTCTGGCTATCAATTTCACTTGTCTAGACTCTTGTTTTCATCTCTAGACTGAGAAGACAGTGCTAAGGTCTTGTCTATCGCTAAAATTCTGAGTCTCTTCATCGTCTCTAGTTCTGTCTTTGCAGCCTTTCTGTAGCCCATTTGGTCACAGTAGCCTCACTTCTGCTACGCTTGCAACAACAACTCTTTGGAAATCAACCGCTATTCTATATTTGTGTTCACGTTAGTGGTATGAAAGGAGACAGACCATTCTGTTGCTTCAAGGGGCTCCTTGGAATACTTTGCATGAACCCTGATGTTCCGCGAGCTTGCTATGTTTTGGAGTTAGAGCTGTAAGAGACATAAGAAAACATATTGCTGAGTCTTCTCATTATACAAAGGATACTCTTCCTATTCACCCTTCTTCAACCTCCATGAATCTGTTATTTTGAACTAGTGTTCCACAATTTTGCCCTTGGCTTTCTTCAAAACCCTTGAATATAAATGACTCTATGCTTAGTTAGTTGCTAACATGTATAGCCTTTTGAATACCTAGCATAACTCGTTCAGGCATCTCTGATCTACCTGCTTCCAGAGACATTTTGGGAGTAGAGCTCATCTTCATGTCTCCTTCAGTTAACATCATGGCATAGATTGTGTGTGGTCTTCTTCCTAGCTTCTGGACAAAGAGTGAGGAGATAGAGGTCTAAGTGTAGCTGTGTGTCCTTAGGCGAATCTTATTACTTTTTTTTTTTTTTTTTTTTGAGATGGAGTTTCGCTCTTGTTGCCCAGACTGGAGTGCAATGGCACTATCTGGGCTCACCGCAACCTCTGCCTTCTGGGTTCACGGGATTCTCCTGCCTCAGCCTCCCAAGTAGCTGGGATTACAGGCATGCGCCACCATGCCCAGCTAATTTTGTATTTTTTTAGTAGAGATGGGGTTTCTCCACGTTGGTCATGCTGGTCTCGAACTCCCGACCGCAGGTGATCCACCCACCTTGGCCTCCCAAAGTGCTGGGATTACAGGCATGAGCCACTGTGCCCGGCCAAATCTTACTACTTCTTCGAGACTCTTAAATGAAAGGATTGAAGGAGGCCTTTGCCAGCCAGTGACCAAGGACTGGTAAAACTATTCTGTGAATCAACTAATGGATTGACTTAGACCTTCTTACCAGGAAGGGCATAGTTGGGCCCTTCTCTAGGGAAATCAAAATTTTATTATTTTATTCCACCTCAAGAACCTAAAATTACGTGAGAGAGACCCAAGTCCCCACGTGTATCACTTCTCTGCCAAAGCAGAGTGTGGCAGGGGCTGGAGCTGAGACATTTCACGCCTGGCTTCCAAAGATAATCACGTTTAGCACTTATGTCTTTGGCAAGAAAAAAAAATCAATTTTTGCTGTGGAAAACCATCTGTGTTTATTCAATTGACAGACACTACCTTTCAATCTATCTTAAATTGAGCCTCCCTGAGGCAGGCAGCTCAACAGTGATAGATTAAGCAATAAACAAAGCAATCTTCCCACCAACGGCTGCTGCTGGCAGGGAAGGTGCAGCTGCTATTGGGAGTGATATTCTTTAGCAAGAAGATCCTCCCTGCTTAGTGAAGACAGGGCCCCTCCCTGTTGTTGATTTGATGATTCTCCATAAATGTGGATGGCTAAACCCTGTTTTTTTGACTGCCTTCACTCTCACACTGAACCTGCCTTCCGCCTCATTAACAAGCTCTGGATTTCCCTCTTTGTCCACAAACAATTTGGTTCCATCCGGGAGGATGGAGAACCCCTAGGTAAATAAACTGTTTAGGGGCTGCTGCAGATGAACCAAGCTCATCTTGTTATGAAAATGAACACTGAACAGAAATAAATGAACTTGACAATAGCACATGAGCATCCTTGCATTGTAAAGTCTTCATTCATGTCAAAAGCAGCAGTTGGTTATTTGTTTCAAAGTGTCTTCATGCATCAAGTAGCTTCTGGTAATAGAGATTAACTTTGTTTGGGGAGTACACATTGAATGGCATCATCTGTGGACTAAAAAGTGGCTAAGTCACTGTTCCTGGAAGCCAGCTAGAAACCATCACCCTGGGAAGCTGACTGTATGGAAGCTGAATGAAGAGCCATCCACTTGTATCGTGGTGAGATGGGAAGGGTGCAAACTTTCTTGCCATTTGTGCTCTTCACATCCACAACAGGAGGTAGCTATTGTTAGAGAGTAGCTTAGAATTATCCCTGGGTTTCTGGGGGAATGGAGCACCTTTTGTACACTTGTCTAATTTTTGGCTGTATTCTTATGAAATGGATTAACAGCTGAAAACAAAGGGATTAAAGAATCTTTCTTGGGCCTAGGCTTTCATGGGCCTAGGCTTTGTGCACACTGTTCGATGAAACCAAGGCTTACCAAGCTCTACTTTATTCCGTATCTGGATGGTCATTTCATTTCTCCTAGCCCACACCCAGACACACACTTCTCAAATACACACGACAATTTCACTATCTCACAATCTCTTACTGTAACTTTGGCCTTCAGAAACACCCTTTGTTATATTGCAGGCGGCCAAGCATTAAGTCCAGCTGAATATATTCAGAGCAATCAACAAATAACACACTGAGAACAGACTTTTCTCTTATGAGACTTCACATTAGAAATTCATTCAGTAGAATGTATCTAAATTTTTAAAAAGCTTCAATGTTGCACATATGTTAAATTTAAGAATCCCTGGGTTAGAATATTACTGTGGAATCATGTCCATGACTAATTTTTTTAAAAACATTGCATTTACCTAGTGTTCATGGTCTATAAAGTACTTTTATACTCATTACCTCATTTCATCCAAGCCTTCCCTGCTGGCCAAAGAGCTGCTTTACATCCTTTACTATGGAAATGTGACCATCTACCATTACATTAAAAGGCCCATGGAACTATGAGGCTGAAACATGAAACTGTTAAGATTGGGCCATTTTCGAACTACAAAAAGGCAATTTCATCTGGTTCAGCTTAATCTGATTTCATATTGTTTCGAGGTGAACTAACTGTACTTCATTCCCATGGGCTATTCAGTTATACTGAAGAGCAGTGCTGATCATCACTTCTCCACTTTACAGGATATTCTCTTGTCCCCAAAGTGAATCTGTTTAACTTGGCACAAGGGAGTGGACAGGGTCATTGTGGGCTGCCCCAGGAGAGACATATTGGTGGGCACAACATTCAATGCCACAATGAAATGGAAGGCTAAGACAAAGAAGGGTGGGATCCTTGGGAGCAAAGACACTGGCCAAGAAATACACCAAATTTGACCAAAACCTGAATGGAGTGCTGTGGCTCTGGAAGTGCTGGAAAGGAAGGGGCTCAACTTCACCAAACACTGACAATGTGCCAAGTCCAGTGCTGGGCACATGAAGCCGTGGCAGGGAGATTACTTACTGATCCTCAAGTCACATGGGGAAGTTGAGTGGCAGAGTATAAGTGTGGAGCTGATCTCTCTATGTCGATGTCCATTCCACTGCTTAGCATTGCTTCCCAAATCCAACCTGTGTGAAAAATTAAGTTCACAGTACTTAGAAGAAAACTCCACTCCCTATTCTAGGTTTTGTCCAGAGACCTGAACTAATGATAGAGTCAAAGAATGTATGCAAAGAGCATTGAGGCACCTAGTTTAAGGAATTGTTGAGGGCAGAGGCTGAAATGCAGCACAAAGCGGGTGAGTCAGAAAGTCCCTTAGGTCAGTTGTTCGCACCCTCCTTCTCCCCTACTCAGAGACACAATTCACTTGCAACTGGAAGCCCTGGGAAGAATTTCCCACCTAGTTCTGTGTCTGAGGAGAGAAAAAAACTTGCTAAGGACCAAGTTAGAGAGAAAACCCAAATGAGAACAGCGAATCTAGCCATCTTTCTTTGAATCAGAATTAGTTGGAGAAAAAGTGTCAGGTAGAGGTAGAACCACCTACGCCCCCACTTTCCCCAAAATAGAGTAAGATACGACAATGGTTGGTTTCCTAGAGTCTGGGGACCCAGGCTACATAAATAGCCTCTAACAGAAAAGCATCTCCTGGACTAAGGGGACAGATAAGAAACTCAGATATGGACTTAGGTATCTGAGTGCCCAGCCCTAGGTGCCCTGTTCTAAACACAGACACCACTGTCTCTCGGCCCTCTCTGAGCTCACATTTCTAGAAGATAAGATTATTTGCCTTTTTTCCCCCAATTTAAAATTCACTCACAGAGTCATATAATGACATGAAAGGACTCACATAATTTTATGACATTTTAAAAGAATAATTTTAATGGACAGTAAAACCTCGTACATTCAAGGCCTCATTAACTCCCAGACAAGCTTAAAAATGTTGGCATAACTCAGAACTTCAATGTTGAAGGTACATTATATAATTTGAGCCTGTTGTGAATCCAGATTTTCATAACTTTGCTTCCATTTTAGCTAATGACATTAATAATACGTGTATAACATTAAGAAAGTAAAACTCATTATCTTCTAAAAGTTTTTTTTTTTCTGCAGTCTGGGCTTTACTGATTCAAACATGACCTTTCTTGCATTCAAGTCAGTAGAGTTTTGGGTAATAAAATTCGTAAAACAGTCAATTCGGTGAGTTGTAAAAATAAATGGCACAAACTTCTTTAATGTCATTTTATGTTTTGTTTTAAATATTAGACTCATATTTCATAAATTATAATTGTACTTGCTACTATTAACTGTAAATATTTATTGCATTGAAAAATGTACTCTGTGTTAAATAACTCAGAACAAGTTCCAGGTGTGGTACTTAGTGTAAATAATGTCACGGCTTGGCTTTGCCTGGACTCCTTGAACAAATGAATTATTTATAAGAAATTCACAATATTAATATGAATGACTCAGATCCCTTTAAATGTTCAGACTTAACTCTGTGACCATGTAAAACTCTATCTATAAAGTGTGCTTTGAGTGAAATTGTTATTTTTCAACAAATGCTTCCAATGCTTCTATCACATTGTAAGTGGTCTGTATGACATTAAGTCAGATCCCGTGTATAGTAAGCTGGATGTTCAAGTTGTAGAAGAAATGAGGTTTATTCTTTAATATAATAAAACATAATTTGTGAAATGGACAGATACATGTATCCAACGTTCAATAAAAAATAGTTGTTGCATGAACATAGTCTGTGGCTATGTGCCCCACAGTTCCTTGGTTCCTTGGACCATCTACATCAGAATCAGCCAGGCTGCTCATTGCAAAATGCAGATTCCCCAACCCTCTATTGACTTGGAACAATGTCAGTGTTTAGGCTGGGGGTGTGGTGTTTAATTAAATTTTTAAAATATGTACTTACCTTTTGAATATGTAAGCCATTCTCATGGTCCAAAACCAAAAGCCTAGAAAGGAATCCAGTGAAAACTTACTCAGCTACCATTGTCCCCTCTGTACAGTTTTTGCACCCATTACCAAACCCTTCAAAGGAGTGACCATTGTTATGTTATTAGTTTCTTACTTGTGTACACTACTGGACATTTTTTACGCATATGCGAATAAATACAAATCTGTGTTTTCCTGAAGCCCACCACCATTTTACAGAAATGGTAGCCTATACATTGTTTGCCCCTTGTTTACTTCACTAAATACCATATCTTAGAGATCTTTCCATATCGGTAAACAGTAGTCTCCCCTTATCCACAGTTTCACTTTCTGCCATGTCAGCTACCCACAGACAACTGCAGTCCGAAAAAAGCCAAGTACAGTACAATAAGATATTTTAGGAGAAAGAGACCACATTCACATAACTTTTATTACAGTATGTTGTTATAATTGTTGGATTTTCTTGTCAGTTTTTGTTGTTATTTTGTTACCTTGCCTAATTTATAAATTAAACATTATAATAAATATGTACGTTTAGGAAACAAAGATAGTATCTATAGGGCTCAGTGCTATTTGTGGTTTCAGGCATCCACTGGGGGTCTTGGAACATATCCTCCACAGATAAGGGGGGACTATTGTATAAAGCACTTCCTCATTTTTTCTTACACCGGCATAGTAGCCCCTAATTTATTTACCCATCCCCCATTGATGAACTTTCAGATTGCTTCCAATATCTGGCTATTATCAACCATATTGCAATGAATAACATACACAATTTCATGCATGAGCAAGTGTTGCTGTAGGAAAAATTCTTAAATGTAGAACTGCAGAAACAAAGAGCATACGCTTTTATAATATTGACAGTTATTCTAAATTGCTCTCTTTAGGACTTGAACATTAAAGTTTGGGAGTGTCTGTTTCCTGGGATAATCGTAGGCATCAGAGAGCAGGAAAGCTCACACAAATTATAAATCAAAGTGAAGAAGTCTAGCTGAAAGTTCCAGATGTTTAGCCTACTGACTACCTGAAGCCTACTTTTCTTTCCATCTTGGCTCCTGCTTATTGTGAAGAAAGAGTAATTGATTCTAAGGTTAGCGTTCCAGAGACAGTGAGGAGAGTTGGCATTTAGTTCATTTATCCATTCCTGCAGGATCAGTTGTCAGGAAGCAAATTCTTTCTCTCTTTGTCACCAATTCCACTTATTTGAAGTCTGCCTAATGACTAAGCCAGTGGTCAAGTCTCTAGGAATATTTAAAATACTCAACAGCAAACGTTAGGCAGCATGAGAAATACCACAGTCGCTAAGTTGTGAACAAAATAAGCTGATGACAAAGAAATGACACAGCTACAGTGGATGCAAATTAGGGCTGTCCAAGCTCCCTGTACTCCAGGTGAGAAGAGGTAATACCAGAGATGTCTATTAGATGCAGTCACAAAACTCTTTGAGAGGCACACTGACAGCCTTGCCAAGGGAGCTCTTGAGTGTGCCAAAACAAAGGGGCTACAGGCTCCAGGCAAGTCTGAAATCCAACAGGGCAGTCATTACACCTTAAAGTTCCAAAATGATCTCCTTTGACTTCATGTCTTACATCCAGGTCACACTGATCCAAGAGGTGGGCTCCCACAGCCTTGGGCAGCTCTGTCCCTGTGGCTTTGCAGGGTACAGCCCCCTCCTGGCTGCTTTCACAGGCTGGTGTTGAGGGGCTCTGGCTTTTCCAGGTGCACAGTAGTGCAAGCTGTCGGTGGATCTACCATTCTGGGGTCTGGAGGACTATGGCCCTCCTCTCGCAGCTCCACTAGGCAGTACCCCAGTGGGGACTCTGTGTGGGGGATCCAACCCCACATTTCCCTTCTGCACTGCCCTACTAATATGGGAAGGGGGCAGAGAAGGGCTGGGTAGAGAAGGCCATGGTCCCTGGTAAGGGCTCCACCCTCAGGCATGTGCTCACAGACCTAAGTGAGGACAGGCACTCCTGTTTTTGCATCCAAATGTTGCATTTTTCTGGCCCACCATGCCCCCATCCCGTGCTCATATAAACTTGAGGGACACAAAGTGGCTGGACATTGAGAGGAACACACCAGCAGGAGAACACACCAACGGACACCAGCAGATGCCAGCAGGCCATCAATGGTGGAACAATGTGGACACCAAGGGGAATTCGACCAGGGCAGTCAGAGGAGGATCTGGCCACTGGGTGGACTGACTCCAGGGGAAGACCATCTTCCCACTCCATCCCCCTTCTGGCTCCCCATCCATCTACTAAGAGCTATTTCCACCACTCAATAAAACCTTGCACTCATTCTGCAAGCCCACATGTGATCTGATTTTTCTGGTACAGCATGGCGAGAACCCAGGATTCAGAAAGCCCTCTGTCCTTTTCATAAGGCAGAGAGTCTAATTGAGCTGATTAACACGCAACTGAAAGAGCACACTGTAACACATGCCCACTGGGATTTCAGGCGCTGTAAACAACCCTAGACACCGCCATGGGGTTAGAGCCCCAAAACACTCCTCACGACCTGCCTGTCTGCATGCTCCTCCTAGGGGTTTGAGTAGCAGGGCACTGAAGAAGTGAGCCACATCCCTGTTGCATGCCCTGTGAGGGGGATGAGGGAATACTCCTCCCTTTTCAACAGCAGAGGTTCTCCATGAGGGCCCTGCCCCTGCAGCAAACGTCTGCCTGGACATCCAGGGGTTTCCATACATCCTCTGAAATCGAGGCAGAGGTTCTCAAACTTCAATTCTTGACTTCTGTGCACCCGCAGGCTCAACATCATGTAGAAGCTGCCAAGCCTTGGGGCTTGCACCCTCTGAAGCCAGGGCCTGAGCTGTACCTTGCCCCCTTTTAGCCATGGCTGGAGCAGCTGGGACACAGGGCACCAAGTCCCTGGGCTGCACACAGCAGGGGGGCTCTGTGATGAGAGGGGCTACCGCAAAGTTCTCTGACATGCCCTGGAGACATTTTCCCCATTGTCTTGGTGATTATCATTTGTTTGTTACTTATGCAAATTTCTGCAGGAGGCTTGAATTTCTCCCCCGAAAATGGGTTTTCTTTTCTATTGTATCGTCAAGCTGCAAATTTTCCAAGCTTTTATGCTTTGCTTCCTCTTTAACACTTTGCTGTTTAGAAATTTATTCTGCCAGATACCTTAAATCACCTCTTTCAAGTTCAAAGTTCCACAGATCTCTAGGGCAGGGGCCAAATGCTGTCAGTCTCTTTGCATAGCAAGAGTCACCTTTACTCAAGTTCCCAAAAAGTTCCTCATCTCCATCTGAGACCACCTCAGCCTGGACTTCATTGTCCATATCACTATCAGCATTTTGGTCAAAGCCATTCAACAAGTCTCTAGGAAGTTCCAAACTTTCCCACATCTTCCTGCCTTCTGAGCCCTCCAAACTGTTCCAACCTCTGCCTTTTACTCAGTTCCAAATTCGCTTCCACATTTTCAAGTATCCTTATAGTAGCACCCCAGTCTCTGCAGGTACCAATTTACTGTATTAGTCTGTTCTCATGCTGCTAATAAAGACATACCCAAGACTGGGTAATTTATAAGGAAAAGAGGTTTAATTGACTCACAATTCTGCAAGTCTGGGAGGCCTCAGGAAACTCACAATTATGGTGGAAGGGGAAGCAAACACATCCTCCACATGATGGCAGGAAGGAGAAGTGCCGAGTAAAAGGGGGAAAAGCCCCTTATAAAACCATCAGATCTCATGAGAACTCACACACTATCATGAGGGCAGCAAGAGGGTAGCCGCCCCCTTGATTCAATTACCTTCGACTGGGTACTTCCCACGACACATGGGGATTATGGGAACTAAAATTCAAGATGAGATTTGGGTGGGGACACAGCCAAACCATATCACATGTCACTGCCCTAAACAAGATATGCTCCTTGTTTTGCTTAAACTCTTGCAAATAACCCCTAACAGGCTCTTATTTTTCTTCTTTACTTTTTTTTTTTCTAGATTATGCTTCCTTATTCATGCCTCTGATCATGTTGCTCTCATGCCCACATTTTGTTATTGTCCCCATTTCCCAGGACAAAATCTAATTTCTCTGACCTTGATTTGACTCCCTACTTCCCAGGCTTATCTCCCACTGCACTATCCCTTCCCTCTGCACCCAGAGACTCCCTCCATTCACACCTGGCTCCTAATTGTTCCCTGACACTTCTTTGGGCCAGTGTTTCTCAACCTGGGCTGCCCTTAGAATAAACTGTGGGGTTTTTAAAAATCCTGATGACCGCCAGGCGCAGTGATTCACACCTATAATTCCAGCACTTTGGGAGGCCAAGGCAGGAAGATTACTTGAGCCTAGGAGTTTGAGGCCAGCCTGAGCAACATGGTGAAACCCTCATCCCTATAAAAAAAATACAAAAATTAGTCAGGCATGGTGGTGCACACCTGTAGTCCCAGTTACTCTGGGGACTGAAGTGGAGGATCACTTGAATCCGGGAGGCAGAGGCTGCAGTGAACCGAGATCAGGCCACTGCATTCCAGAGCAAGACTCTGTCTCAAAAAAAAAAAAAAATCCTGATGCCCAGGTCCTGCCCCTGAACAGCCGAGTCAGAATCTCAAGGAGGGGGAACCCAGACGTCTCTATTTCAAAGCTCTCCAAGCAATTGCAATAAGCAGACAGGGTTGAGGACTACCTCACCTAAAATGTCCTCTTGTCTCTCAGCTGGCCTGAATCCAACCCATTCCCCAAAGCCCAGCTGCAGTGTTCTCTCTCCGTGAAGCCCTCCCATGCTCCTGTACTCACACAGTACTTTCTACATGGGTCTTATTTTTTTAATCATATCCTGCTTTGAATTATATTTACTTGTGTAAATGCTGATCTATCCCAGGAAATCAGGAATTGGCAAACATTTTCTGTAAAGGGCCAGAGAGTAAATATTTTAGGCATTGCATGACATACAGTCCGTGTCATGATTACTAGATTCTGCCTTTGTAGTATGAAAGCGGTCATAGATAACATGTATATGAGTGAGTGTGGTTGTGTTCTAATAAATCTGCATTTGCAAAAACAGGTGGTGAGCTAGATTTGGCCTGAAAGTTGTCACTTGCTGACTCCTGCATGAGACTAATAAAGCTTCTTAGGGCCAGGGACCTTTTCTTCTCTATAAGGCTTTCTTTCCTTCCTTCCTTCTTCCTTCCTTTCTCCCTCCCTCCATCCCTTCCTTCTTTCCTTCATTTCTTCCTTTTCTTTTCCCTTCCTCTTTTTCTCTCCCTTCCTTCCCTCCCTCCCCCGTTCCCTCCCTCTTTTCTTTTCTTCTTTCTTTCTTTCTTTCTTCTCTCCTTCCTTCCTTCCTCTTCCTCCACCCCTCTCTTTCTTTCTCTCTATCTCTCTCTTCGTTTCTTTCTTTTTTCTTTCCTCTTCCCCCAACGCTCTTTCTCTCTCTTTCTTTCTTTTTCTTTTCTTTCCTCTTCCCCCACCCCCTCTCTCCTTTCTCTCTCTTTCTTTCTTTCTTCCTTTCTTTCTTCTTTCCTTCTTTCTGTCTCTCTCCCTCCCTCTCTGTCTCCCTCTCCTTCTTTATTTCTCTCTCTCTGTCTTGCCATCCCTCATGTCTATTGCATTGTCTGAACCAATCAGAGAAAACCACAAAATTCCCTTTGCAGAGCTCTATGTGATCAGTTTCTCACAACCACAGACCCAGAGCATAAATAGCCAAAGTGAGGAGGGAAGTGTCAGAGTTAATAAATTCTGCCTTTTAGGCAACTATTAGTATTTACCTTACTTGTCATGTCCAATAGGACCATCAAATAAACAACTGTCATTTGTGGTGCACAGATTAGCACCAACTAACACTGACTTAATTCACCATTATTAAAAATGATGCCCACTCCAGACAAGAAGTAAAGGAACCATGACTCTCTGGCCTGTAGTCAAAGGCAGGGGAACGTTCTGAGAGTTCTTTAACATACATCACTGTGAGTGGTCAAACTTGTCATAGGGGCTCATATTAACTAGGAAGCATGAAACATGCTGGTGAATGCCATGGTAAGAAAAAAATAAACTTTCTTGCTAACCATCTGCAAGTATTGCTTTTTTTTTTTTCTTGAGATGGAGTCTCACTCTATCGCCCATGCTGGAGTGCAGTGGCGCAATCTCGGCTCACTGCAACCTCCACCTCCCGGGTTCAAGCAATTCTCCTGCCTCAACCTCCCAAGAAGCTGGGATTACAGGCACCTGCCACCACACCCAGCTAATTATTGTATTTTTTCAGTAGCAACAGGGGTTCGCCATGTTGGCCAGGCTGGTCTCGAACTCCTGACCTCAGGTGATCCACCCGCCTCAGCCTCCCAAAGTGTTGGGATTACAGGGGTGAGACACCATGCCCGGCGAGTATTGTTTATTTAGAATAAAACTATTCCCATACTGTCACACTCATCTCAGCCTGAGACAGACCTTGTGTATCTTAATTCACTTTTCTTCTCCCTACTCCAAATTGTATATCAAGTAATAAGAAGAAAAATACCGTGTACAAACTACTGGTTTGGAATACATAGCCAGAGCAATAAGAATACAAAAATAAATGAGAGCTATGAATAAGGAAAAGAAAGAGACAATACTCAGTGACCACATGATCATCTACATATGTGATGTCAGATCACCTGAAAAGATTGGGGACTCACAGAATCATGTGGCCCTACCCTTCCTTGGAGAAAGCCAATCTATTAGAACCAAAGTTACAGCAGAGGCAAAGTCTGGCTGGTAAAGAAATGGAATAGACCAACTGGCTTTATTTTGACCACCCACCACTTGTCCTGGGCCCCCTGCCTTGAGCTACAACTTCCTGATCTCTCATCACTTCAGGGCAAGGAGCCATTCTCTGCAAAGTTTGCGGAAGAAAAACTGTTAAAGAGATTGCAGGGATTTGGCATTTCCCAGGAAGCCTTGAATTAATGAGACAGGAACCAAGATGTGAAGCCCCATGTAGGAGGACTGAGGATACCGTCATCCCAGAATATTGGAGGTCCAACAGAGACCAGCCTGTGGCTGCTCTCAGACTTAGAGGGCCACAGGCAGGGCTGAGGCTGAGCATCTCCACAATTATCCTTCAAGGTTCTCAG
Organism: Homo sapiens; assembly: GCF_000001405.40. Classification (NCBI taxonomy): domain Eukaryota; kingdom Metazoa; phylum Chordata; class Mammalia; order Primates; family Hominidae; genus Homo; species Homo sapiens. The sequence goes on from NC_000023.11 coordinate 16,166,754, forward strand.
GAGCATGAGAGATTTCAGGAAGACAAACTCAGGTCAGTAGAGGAAGGACTGTGAGCTTCTGATAGATACCAAGGTGATGACCCTGAATTAAGAATAAAGGAAGGAACAAGCCAGAACAGTGGGGTCCCATAGAGTCCTGCCCTGGCTGACAGCCCTTGTCGTTCTGGAATAGTCATTGGTAGATTTGGCTCATCCTGATTACAACTCTGTAGTCCCAGGAAGGTGAAGACCTTGATCAGAGGGGAGCAGCCTCAAGTCCCATGAGGATCGAGTTCCAGGACTAGTCAGTCAGGTGTCAAGGTGAGGAATTTCAGGGAGCAATTAGAAAACCACACATCCATACTAGAACAGAGGAAGACACAAAAACTCTTACCTCCACCAACCCACATCTCCCCTTCCCTGCACCGCCGCTGCCACACCATCCCATCCCCACTCCTGTCACACCATCCTTACCTCTCCTGTGACTTGGGAAGCTCAGGAAGAGCTGTCAGGTTGAGGTGACTGTCATTTCGGCCTGGAGGGTCTCAGGGAAGGGAGAATCTTGGTCTGGTGGGGGAAGCCCCAGCTGTGCATAGTGGAGCCCCAGAAACTGACTCGAATCAAGGTGAGGACCGAGAGTGACATAAGGGAATGGTTATCAGCAAAAAATAAAAACAAAAATAAAAAAATGCTTAATCTTGTCAGCCATAGCAAAGACCTCAGCTGAGGACCCCTTTTTTTCTGCTTAGATGCTCTAACGAGGGTAGTGACTCTGTCTAAAGGCAAAAGCACAGTTCAGCTGAGGGAGGAGAACTGGACACTCATTGGAGTCCCGGAGAGGACACTGAGTACACTGGAGAGGACTTCTATGCAAAAAGGGGGCCCGAGCAGAGCCCCGCCCCGCTTTCAGCCCTGGGAGACCCAGCAGGGACTTGATTGGATGTGGCTCACTCCGACATCCGCCCGCCTGGGAAGCTGCCGGAAGTGAGGATCTTCGTCTGAGGGACGCCACCTCAGGCTACCAGAACCCCAAGACTGGTTGGGTATCAAGGTAAGGACCCTGATCGTGGACTGAAAGGCCCACCACACGCAGCCAAGGCGACCACCCTGTGTCCCCCAACCCCCGCCCCCGGGTACCCACCTCCCTCAGCCGCGGGAGGCTCCAGTCAGGCTGTGGCACTGACTTCTGAGAGGGCACCAGGGAGGGGAGGGTTTGGTGTGAGGGTGAGGCTTCGATTCTGCAGAGGGATGGACTCCTAGGCCCTAATCGAAATGAGGTCCCTGATGCTGATGAGGAGACCTCTCCCAAACATGGGAGGCCCACGAGGCGGGCATGGTAGCTCACACCTGTGATCCCAGTGCTTTGGGAGGCTGAGGCGGGAGGATTACCCGAGCCCAGCAGTTCCAGACCAGTCTGAGTAACAAAGCGAGACCCTCTCTCTCCAAGAAAGAAAAGAACAAAAACTAGCGGGACATGGTGGCCGGCGCCTGTGGCCCCAGCGACTCGGGAGGCTGAGGCAGGAGGATCGCTTGAGCCCAGCAGGTCGAAGCTGCAGTGAGCCATGGTCACGCCATGAGCGTGGCGACAGAGTGAGACCCCGTGTCTGTCACAAAGAAAAAAAAAAAAAAGGAAAAAGCAAGAGAGCCAGGGAGAGCCAGAGAGCCAGGTTTCTGCTGCCCTGTTGTCAGCTCTGGGAGACCCCGTGCAGGCATAGCCAGACGGGGCATGCCGTGACTTTTCCCTCTAGCAACTTTGGGACGTGAGAGCTTGGGCCTGGGCCTGGCTGACTCAGGTCAGTGGAGCGACCTGAGTCGCGTCCCAAAGAGTTGGAGGTCCCACCCTGAGCCAGGTTCAGAACCCTGAGGCAGAGCAGTGGGGTCCCCTATAGTCCCACCCCTGCTGTCACGCCTTGAAGGCCCTAAACAGCCTTGAGAGGATGTGGCTTACCCTGAATGTCCAAATCTGAGGTCCCATTGAAGCAAGGATCTTGCTTTGAAGGGTGTTGCCTGTAGTGAGCTGAGGATGGAGTCCCAGGACTGGTCAAGTAGCAAGGTGAAGATCCTGAGCCCTCAGTAGACAGGGCTGCACGGAGCGTTTCAGCAGAGGGCTTTGGTTGCAAGACTGGCTGCCCCAGGTCAGCGGAGAAAGGAGTCCCAGGCTCTGTGGGGAGTGAAGGTAAAAAAAACCCTGCGTGAGGAGGGAGGAAAATGGCCATTCCAAAACACAGGAGACCACATAGAGTCTCAGCTCTGCTGTGCGCCCTGGGAAACCATGGGCAGAGCCATTAGCATTTGGTGACCCCTCGTGTCCTGAAGGGGTCAGGGTGGCGTTTCAGAGAAGTGGCTCTTTTGCACCAATGGGCGAGGCCCCATTCATGGTGGGGTGGGAAGGAGGACTTAGTCCCTGGTGGGAGTCAAGGGGAGAACACTGAATGAGAAGAGGGAGCCCTTCCCAGGGAGAAGTAGGCCACATAGAGCACCACCCCTACTGTCACCTCTGGGAGACCCAGGCACGTTGGCATGGTGAGTGGCATTTCCTCCCAGGGCATCTCAGGGAGGTGAAGAGCCTGGGTAAAAGGGACAGCCTCAAGACAGCTGCTGGAGGTTGTTAAGCTCTTGCCAGGAGTCAAGGTGAAGACCCTGAGGACCAAGGGGACCACCCATTTGTAACTGTGGGGCCAACACAGAAAATCTCCACTGCTCCCAGTCTTGGGACATGATGAGCATTTGTGGCCAGCTGAGGTGACCGTCACTACTTCCTAGGGGTATTTCAGAATGGAGGGGCTGGTATGAGGTAATAAGTCTCAGGTTAAGACAGGAGTGTTTTCCAGGTAATGATGGGAATCAGGGTTAAGACTCTGAGTGAGAGCTGAGGAGAGCACTCACCTGGATCCGGGGGCACCACAAAGGCTGGCTTCCCTCTCAGGCCTGGGAAACCTCAGGAGAGGGAGTCGGATAGAGGGCCCCTCACTTCTAGCCTATGGGGGCTCAGAGTGGACAGGGCCTGGGGCTGAGGCTGGAGGAATCTGGTGGGCTGAGCGACATGTCCCACATTCTGCCTAAGTGAGGACTAACAGGGCCACCGAACCCAGAACATCAGAGGCTCTGAGAGTCCAGACCCTGCTACCAGTCCAGAAAGGCCATGAACAGGGGTGGCTGGAGGGGACTCATGCTTTCTTTCCCCTTGGGGTGGGGGTGAGGTCTCAGGAAGGTGAGGGCCTTGACCTGAAGGGAAGGGCCTCAGATAGTGAGGACCCTGAGGAGCGTGGAGCCACCGACCCCAAATTAGTAAGAGGACCTCAGGATCCCTCCCTATGTCAGAGGTTTGAGGCCCCAGACAGGGATGTCAAGCCCAGATGGCCTCAGTTTCCCCTCAGAGGAAACAGAGAAGTAAGGATCTTGGTCTCAGGCAGGGCTGGCAGGCTGCAGGGCAAGGAGCACTGTAACTTCCTCCCCAGGGTCCCCAGGGGACAGGCTGCCCTGGAGAACAGGAGCCTGGTGGGGCTATGGAGCAGGGTCCTCAAGGACACCTGCATGGAGGCCTCCTTAAGGTGATATCTCCCCACTGAGGGGCTCACACACTCTGTTCCTCCTGCTCCAGGTGCCCACCTCCTGCACCCTCTTGCCTGCTGCCCCTAAGCACAGTCATCATGCCTCGCGGTCAGGCGAGTAAGCGCCGTGCCCGTGAGAAACGCCGCCAGGCTCGAGGTGAAGACCAATGTCTCGGGGGTGCTCAAGCCACCGCAGCAGAGAAGGAAAAGCTGCCATCCTCCTCCTCTCCTGCATGCCAGAGTCCTCCCCAGAGCTTCCCCAATGCAGGCATTCCTCAGGAGTCCCAGAGAGCCAGCTACCCCAGCTCTCCTGCTTCAGCTGTTTCACTCACAAGTTCTGATGAAGGTGCCAAGGGCCAAAAGGGGGAAAGTCCCAACTCCTTCCATGGCCCGTCCTCCTCTGAGAGCACAGGAAGAGATCTTCTGAACACGAAGACGGGCGAATTGGTGCAGTTCCTCCTCAACAAGTATATAAGGAAAGAGCCCATTACGAGGGAAGCCATGCTGAAGGTTATCAACAGAAAGTACAAGCAGCACTTCCCTGAGATCCTCCGGAGAAGCACTGAGAACGTAGAGGTGGTCTTTGGCCTCTACCTGAAGGAAATGGACCCCAGCCGTCAGTCCTATGTGCTTGTTGGCAAGCTGGACTTTCCCAATCAAGGAAGCTTGAGCGATGGCGGGGGCTTTCCCCTGAGCGGGCTCCTGATGGTTCTCCTGAGCACCATCTTCATGCATGGCAACCGTGCCACTGAGGAAGAGATGTGGGAATGCCTGAATGCATTGGGGATGTATAAGGGTAGGAAGCACTTCATCTATGGGGAGCCCCAGGAGCTTGTCACCAAAGATTTGGTGCGAGAGGGGTACCTGGAGTACCAGCAGGTGCCCAGCAGCGATCCTCCACGCTACGAGTTCCTGTGGGGTCCCAGGGCCCGTGCTGAAACCAGCAAAATGAAAGTCCTGGAGTTTGTGGCCAAGCTCAATGATACCGTTGCCAGTACCTACAAGTCCCGGTATGAGGAGGCTCTGAGAGAGGAGGAAGAGCAAGCCAGAGCCAGAGCGGTAGCCAGGGATAGCGCCAGGGCCAGGGCTAGCAGGTCCTTTCAGCCCTAGTGAAGTCTCAGGCAATCCTCACTAAGAGATTGAAAAGCCTGTCCACCATCTCAGTATTTGGGGGTGAGGTGGGGAGCCCAAGACGTGTCTTTCTTTTGTTCTGGTTATTTGCAAGCCACTTATAGATTCCTCTTTCTCTTCTGTGTCTACCGCGTGTTCCTTTGAAAGAGATTGACTTTGATTCAGAATCTAAGTTCATGAATTAGGTGCCTCACACAATTATTGCTGTTTATCACATTGAAGAGTGATGTTCTTGTATTTTGTAAAACAAATTGGAAATTTTTACTTACTAGATTATGATCTAGTGCAAGAAGAAATAGCATTGGAATAGCGATTGGCTTTAAACTGTGAAACAACTGAACACTGCATCAGTTGGGATCACAAGATGGTGGGAAAAAAGTGTCGATTGATTGGCAACCTTTGACGTTTAAAAATCTTATTTCTTTAAGTCTTTTGTTGTGATAAAATGAAAAGCTATATACTCACAGTTGCTATGTGTATTCAAGAATGTTGGAGAAATTAAATCATCATAAAGGAGAACACTTGCTCACTGGCTCTTTTGTTCCTTGTGCTAGGCAGTTCTTGTGTTGCTCTAAAGGCATACCTGAGACTGGGTAATTGCTAAAGAAAAGAGGTTGACTTGCTCACAGTTCACCAGGCTATGAGCGTGGCACCAGCAACTGCTTCTGGGGAGGTCTTGGGGAGCTTTTCCTCATGCCAGGAGGGGAAGGTGGTGCAGGCATGTCACGTGGCAACAGTGGGAGGAAAGACAGCCAAGCAGAGCGGGGGTGGGAGGTGCCACATGCTTTCAAATGACCAGAGATAGGGGAAGTCGCTCACTATGGCCAGGGCAGCACCATGCCATGAGGGACCCTCCTTGATGGTCCAAACACCTCCCACCAGGCCTTACCTCCAACACTGGGAATTATATCTCAACATGACATTTAGAAGGGACAAACATCTGAATTATGTCATTCACCAAACATGAATTGAACATCTGCTCTTTGACAGTCTTCATGCTAGTTCTGGGAAAGCACAGACAAAGAAGACCCAGCCCCTCACAATGATATTTTAGAATCCAAGAGCAGCTCTCCTATTAGGAACACGGTGGGGTTGGGGTGGGATGCGCGGAAGAGACACATTGGAATACCTAAGGGGCAATCAAGGTACTGGAGAGGAGGGAGGAGATTCAAGATAGGATCCTCCCTGCATTGCCCCTCCTCTACTATAAATGCCCTGGGACAGGGTAGGCTGGGAACTTGAGACACTGCCAGTCCCTCAGTAGGAGGGCATTTCAAGTTAGCCTGCATCAGGGGCTAGATGAGGCTGTTGTTGAAATGGTGAGCAGAGACCAGACCCTCAGGTGGTGGGTTTCAGAGTGGACAGACTAGGCCTTCAAGGGAAAAGTGGTCCCACCAGTTCCTTGGGGATGAGGTAGACCAGAGGGGCATCCCCACCTGGGGCAGGATTGGAAGGACTCCTGTGCTGTGTCCCCATGCCAGTGAGCACAGTGCACTATATAGATGGTTTGCCTGCTGTGTTAGGTTGTTTCTGAGAATGAGGGTGATGCTCCCTTCAGGTAGGATGTCCAGCAGCCACTGGCCTGGTCCTTTTGTCCCTGGCCTGGGGGAGCCAGACTGCTCCATTAAAAGGGAATGGAAAGGAGGTGTACTGCATAGGATGGCCAGTTCTTTGCGTAGTCCAGAGTTTTGATGGTGGCGAATGAAACTAGGGATGGGTTCAACGCAAGGGCAGCTGGGAAGGAGGAAAGGTGTTTGTCCTCTGCACACCTTCTAGCGTCTTCGTGGTGCATCTGACTGGGGAAGTCTTCTTCACACCCAGTTAAAATGACTGATCCTCTCATGGGGAATCATTACTCAGTTGGATTTAGCAAGCAGCATTTTGGCTCATTTGGTTTTCTTTGTAATAGAAGGCATGGTGGCTCATGCCTGTAATCCCAGCACTTTGGGAGGCCAAGGCGGGCAGATCACTTGATTCATGAGTTTGAGACAAGCCTGGCCAAAATGGTGAAACTCCATCTCTACTAAAAATACAAAAATTAGCCGGGTGTGGTGGCACGTGTCTGTAATCCCAGTTACTTGGGAGGCTGAGACAGGAGAATTACTTGAACCTGGGAAGCAGAGGTTGAAATGAGCCAAGATTGTACCACTGCACTCCAGCCGGGGCGACAGCATGAAAACTTGTCTCAAAACAAAACAAAACAAACAAAGAAAAAGCATTTGACAAAATCTAACACTTTTTAAAAATAATAAACACACTTAACAAACTAGGAATAGAAGAGAACTTCCTCAAGCTAATGAACGGCACTTATAAAAAACTGACAGTGAAATCATATTTAATGGTGAAAGTTTCTGCTTAAGATGAGAAACAATACAAGAATATCTGGCTCTTGCTACTTCTAGTCAACCTTGTAGTGGAGGTTCTAGCCAGAGCAGTTAGGCAAGGAAAAGAAATAAAGGCATCCAGTTTGAAAAGGAAGATGTAAAGCTATCTCTATTAGCAGATGATATAATCTTGTATATAGAAAATCCTAAGGGATCCACAAAAAATTATTAGAACTAATACATGAGTTCAGTAATCAGGATACTTGATCAGGATACAAGATCAATATGCAGCAATCAATTTTATTTCTATACACTAGCTATAAACAATCCAAAAATGAAATTAAGAATACCACTCCATTTATAATAGCATCAAAAAGAATAAAATACTTGGGAACAAATTTAACAAAGGAAACCCAAGACTTGTATGCCAAAAACTACAAAACATCATTGAAAGAATGTAAATAAAAGACAGACCATGTTCATGGATCGAAAGGCTTAATATTGTTAAGATGATGATACTCCCCAAATTGATCTTACAGATTTAATGCAATCCCTATCAAAATCCAAATTGCCTGTTTGAAGGCAATTGCCAATTTTCCTTCAAGTTGATTTAAAGAAATCAACAAGGTGATTCTAAAATTCATTCAGAAGTACAAGGGACTCAGAATAGAAAAAAAATCTGAAAAAGAACAAAGATGGAAAAGTAATATTTCTTGATTTCAAAACTTACTACAAAGCTACAGTAATCAAAATAGTGTAATACTCACATATGAATAGATATATAGATCAGTGGAACAGAACTGAGAGTCCAGAAATTAACCATTATATTTGTGGTCAATTCATTTCAACAATAATACTAAGAAAATTAAATGGAGAAATAATAGTCTTTTCAACAAATGGTGCTGGGTCAACTGGATATCTCCATGCAAAAGACTAAATTTGGAGTCCTAACTCACATCATATATAAAAAATAACTCAAAATGGATTACAGACCTAAAAATAAGAGATAAAACTATAAAACTCTTATAAGAAAACGTAGAAGTAAATCATGACCTATGATTAGATGACGGTTTATTAGCTATGACACCAAAAGCATAAGTGACAACAGAAAAAAAGAGACAAATTGAACCTTATCAAAATTAAAAACTTTTGCGCTTCAAAGATAATATCAAGAAAGTGAAAAGGCAACCCACAGAATGGGGAAAATATTTGCAAATCATTTATCTGATAAGGGACTTCCACGTAGAATATACAAGTGACTGCTAACCAGTACAAGCTTTCTTTTTGAGGGGATTAGGATGTTTTAAAATTAGATAGTGATGATGGTTGTACAATTCTATGAATATACTAAAAGTCACAGGTCTATTTCTAAAAGGTAAATTTTATAGCATATGAATTATATATCATTAAAGCTATTTTTAAAAAAATGAAGTGGGCTTTTCTCCCTGCCTTTTCAGCTGCCCAGAGCCAGCTTCTTTAAATACCCATGAGCATCCTTTTCCAGAGATTACAAAGTGAAGATGCAGACATATTTATTTTCAAACTTCCCACAAAGGAACTCATTCTTTATCTCTTGGCTAGTTATTGAAAGCATCTGGACCGAGGATATGCAAGACACCTTAAAGCTAGGACAGTTTTGCATCCAAAACTACAGGGTTACAGTTGTTGTTTGTCTTTTCAATTCCTTCAAAAATCAGTGCCTAGGGCAGGAATTTATAGCATTTGTTTACTCTGTTCCTATGTCCCTGAGGCAGAGCAGAGAGATAGACAAATAAAAATTGGTTGTCCCACACAGCTCCCTTTCTTTCAAGGTGTCTCACAGACACCTTGATTGGACAGTGGCTTCTTGGGAACAGCCCAGGATAGAAACACCACTCTCCCCAGTTAAGTCACTTCATGGGCTGGAGGGATTATGGAGCCCAGGGCACAGGAAGCACTGATTTTTTAAAAAATAATAATAACTGTTGTAATTAGATTAATTGCATATTCTAGGCATCTTTGTAATAAAATATGACATCTTTTCCTCTTTCCTGACAGATTAATGGTTCAGAGAATGATATTAAAAGCCAACTTTTTCTTAGCTCTGTGTCTCCTGGTTGCTCAGCCTCACTCTGTACTTATGGAATGATTTAAGTATTAGTTCAATAATTCATCATGAAGCAAACAGAATAATGTTCCCACTTCACAAACCCAGAGAACTACATCGATTAGGTCATTTCACTTCTGCAGAGACTTGTTTTGATAAATTCAAATACCCAAAGGGCACAGACATTAGCCTCGGTGGATTAATGGCTACTAATTCAATCTTGTGGAAAGAAAGCCTTACCAATGATTAGGTTTTCAATCTTGCAAGACCTGGAACAGCAACTTCTCCAAGATTCTTTATTCCATACCATATGTAGCAAAGAAATAAGGTGGTTAATATAACAGAATTGGTGTGAGAACTTTGCTTACACTGAGTATGAATCCTTGGTCTACCACTTACTAGCTGGGTAACCTTGGATATGTTACTTAACCTCTCTGTGTCATATTTTCTATATCTATCACATTGTGATGATAATCCCTAACTTACAAGATTGTTGTAAGAATTGCAAATGACATGAAGAGATGCACAACTTAACTAGTAATTAAAGAAATCGAAAGCCAGACTGCAAAAAGATACCATTCTACACCCACACAATTGGGAAAATAGGAAGCCTGACAATATCAAGTATTGAAAAGGAGATGAAACAATAGGTCTCTTATGTAATGTATCACTCATACATTGTATATTGTTCCAAATGATTTGGAAAACAACATAACATTATATCATAAAGGTGAACATGTTTAAACTCTGTGAAACAGCAATTCTACTCCAAGGTATTTACCCAAAGGAAACTCTTGCACATGGTTATTCAAAAATATATACAAAAATCTTTGTACCAGCACCTTTCAAAATAGCAAAAATTTTTGAAACAACCCAAATGCCCATTGACAGGAGAATGAGTAAACTAATTATGATACATTCACACAATGGAATATTAAACAGCAGTGAAAATGATTGAATCACAACTACTTGCAACAATATGTTGAGTGAAGACCAAGTACAATATTCTTTCACAAAGTTCAGTGCAAGTCAAAACATGTATTTATATTAAAGCGAATGACGTGTCAAAACAAAACAAAAAGACAACGGGACAATAAACACAAAATTAGTATAGTGGCTATCTCTGAGGGAGAGGGAGGATGGGAGAGGGGCAGAACTCAGAGTTAAAGTAAGTTTTTGTTATGTTTAAATTCCTGCGTTAAGTAGCAGGTTCATGGATGGTCATGGAATAATCAATAACATGTATTATTAACATTATAAATGCAGGTGAGGTGGATCCAGGTTTTGTAGAGGCTTCTTTTGGAAAAATAATATGAAGTTATACACATTCAATATCCTTGGCCACTCCAGTGCTCCTTTAAATGAGGGGGAAGTGTGATGGGGAAGTCAGAATGGGAAGAGAGTGTTCTTAACTGATCCTGTTTAAAATATCTTTCTTTTGCAGATTTTACAAAACCTATATGGCCATGGCAACACATTGCTCATGTTCTGCAAGGGGCATGGAAGAGGCCTCTGCAATTGAGGGGCCCTGAAGTTTAAGCTTTAGTGGCTTCATGGTAAATGCATCTCTAAGGAAGTTAGATGTAAAGGGCACCAGATGGCTCTAGTCCGGGCTCTAAAACTAGAGCTGTGTATGGTCAGGCAGGTCACTTACCTCCTCTGAACCTCAGCTTCTTTCTCTGTGAAACGATGGATCAGGCAGTATCTTCAAACTTAAACACCCTGCAACTCTGTTAGTGAAGTTTATAGACTCATTTAATAGACACACACAGTGTGAAGTCTATGTCATCAATATAATGTGTTTACAATGGGTTTTAAGTTAAAACTGTCATCTCCTATGTAGCCTGTGATAGTAGAATTTATACTGAAAAGGTTAATGGCAGCACAGAAGAGAGTTCTTTAGCACAGAATTTTTGTTCCCTCAGAATGTAAATATTTTAAAACATTATGAAAGTGCAAGACTATTTTAATGAGACAGGGAAAGTAAGTTATATATGAAAAGAGGAAACGGAAATAAAGTTAACCCCAATTAACATGCATGTTATCTTAAAAAGTTAAGACATTATAATGAATAATTACAGGTACTAATAAAAGAGTTCAATAAGAATGAAGGCTGATAATAAAAACAGACAAAAATTAATCACTTTTTATATATTGCCATTGCTATCCAAGTTTTAATTTGGTTAATATTGATCTGATGTACTTTTTTCAGGTCTTTATTTTAACCCTTTATATATGGGTTTATTTTAGGAGTTTCTCTTATAAATTAAGGTGGCAGATTTGGTTTTCATTTTTACTCTAATCTGATAGTTTATGTCTTTTACTGGGTGAATTTAACTAATTTATATTTATTTTATTTTTTTTAGAACTCATCAACTTTTAAAAACATATTTACATATACATTTTCTAAACAATACAATGTTAACCAGTTTTATTTATCTTCCTTCCAAAGGCAAAGATTTTAGCATGCTCTAACTATCCATTGAACAACTCGATCATTTTATTGTTGCTTTGAAATTTAGTTTTACTTTGGTTGATACAAAACAATTACTTTTTTCCGTCATTAAACTTACTGGCATATTTTACCAATTTATTTGTTCATTGTGATTTCACACATCTTAAGCATTCCCTCTGTGTTCACTTCTCTTCTTGATAATGTATATATTGTAATATTTCTTTCAACAAGGGTCTGGATCATAAGTATAGCCTTTGTAAATCTGATTTTTCCTTCACTCTTGAATAAGAATGTATATGCACATAAATTTCTAGCTTGAATACGTTACTCCATTGTCTCCTCGCAACTATTGTTAATGAGAAGTCTGCTTTCTAATTGTTTTGTTGTATCGTCTTTTTTATTTGGTAGCTTTTAAGATATTTTCTCTTTATTCTTGCTGCTCTTCAATTCCACTGCAATATGTCTAAAGGTGGGTATAATTTTATTTCTCTTGCTCAGTCTCAAAGTGTGCTTTGTTTTGAAGACTCATGTCTTTTGTCAATTATGGAAAATGTTCAATATTTTCTTAAATATTGCCTCTTCAACTTCCCACTCTCTTTTTTCTCATGTAATTCACATTATGCCTGTTTATTCCTCAACCTTATTGTGACTGTTCTGTTATATTTGATATCAGTATCTGTGTAATATTCAGGTTAAATTCTTCAACACTGTTTTCTGATTCACAAATTCTTTATTCAAATGTATCCAGATTTCAATTCATTTTATCTATTGAGTCTTTAGCACAATTAACTATGTTTCATTCTGTTTTGTTTTTCTTCCTTTCATATCTACCCACCCTTGTTCTTTCAAGTCTGCTTTGTTTTATAATTTTTTGTTATTTTTATGAAAATGTAGTTTTTCAACTTAGGCATACTTGTGATTTTCATGCGCATCTGTGTGAAGAGACTACTAAACAGGCTTTGTGTGAGCAATAAAGCTTTTAATCACCTGGGTGCAGGTGGGCTGAGTCCAAAAAGAGAGTCAGCGAAGGGAGATAAGGGTGGGGCCGTTTTATAGGATTTGGGTAGGTAAAGGAAAATTATAGTCAAAGGGGGGTTGTTCTCTGGCGGGCAGAGTGGGGGGTCACAAGGTGCTCAGTAGGGGAGCTTTTGAGCCAGGATGAGCCAGGAGAAGGAATTTCACAAGACAATGTCGTCAGTTAAGGCAGGAACAGGCCATTTTCACTTCTTTTGTGGTGGAATGTCATCAGTTAAGGCAGGAACCAGCCATCTGGATGTATACGTGCAGGTCACAGGGGATATGATGGCTTAGCTTGGGCTCAGAGGCCTGACATTCCTGTCTTCTTATATTAATAAGAAAAATAAAACAAAATAGTGGTAAAGTGTTGGGACAGTGAAAATTTTTGGGGGTGGTATGGAGAGATAATGGGCGATGTTTTTCAGGGCTGCTTTGAACGGGATTAGGGGCGGCATGGGAACTTAGAGTGGGAGTGGGAGAGATTAAGCTGAAGGAAGATTTTGTGGTAAGGGGTGATATTGTGAGACTGTTAGAAGAAACATTTGTCATTTAGAATTATTGGTGATGGCCTGGATACAGTTTTGTATGAATTGAAAAACTAAACGGAGTAAGAGAAGGAGAAAAACAGGTATTAAAGGTCTAAGAATTGGGAGGACCTAGGACATCTAATTAGAGAGTGCCTAAGGAGATTCAGCATAGTCCTGTCAGCAAAGATTATTTATTTACTTCAAGAGTTAAGAGTGGCAGTTTGGGGATAGCATCAGGAGATATCAGCTGTGATGTCTTGGAGAAACAGTGTAAACCGGCAGTGTAAACAAGAGCAGGGCATGTATGAGTAGTTGAGAACGGTGAATAGGAGTATGACTAGACAGAAGATAGTAGGGATGACAAGTTTTTTGGGGGCACAGTCTAAGTTGGTCTGGTGTCTGGCATGAGACTGGGGCTTAATAAAAAGGAGCAACCATACAGGAGCTCAAATGGGCTGTACCTTGTAGCATTCTGAGGACAGGTCTGACTTCTGAGAAGGCAAAGTGGTAAAAGTATTGTCCAGTCCTTTTTAAGTTGGTGGCTGAGCTTGGTGAGGTGTGTTTTTGAAAGACTTTTAGTCCATTCTACTTTTCCTGAAGACGGAGGACCATAAGGGATATAAAGGTTTCACTGAATACTAATAGCCTGAAAAATTGCTTGGCTGATTTGACTAATAAAGGCTGGTCTGTTATCAGACTATATAGAGGTGGGAAGGCTAAACTGAGGAATTATGTCTGACAGAAGGGAAGGAATGACTGCGGTGGCCTTCTCAGACCTTGTAGGAAAGGCCTGTACTTATCTAGTGAAAGTGTCTACTTAGACTAAGAGGTATTTTAGTTATCTGACTCGGGGCATGTTGAGTAAAGCTAATTTGCCAGTCCTGGGTGGGGCAAATCCTGGAGCTTAATGTGTAGGGAAGGAAGGGGGCCTGAATAATCCCTGAGGAGTAGTAGAATAGCAGACGGAACACTGAGAAGTTATTTCCTTGATGATAGATTTCCACAATGGAAAGAAAATGAGGAGAGATTCTAAGAGGCGGGCTAGTGGCTTGTACTATAGCATAGCCTGCCTTTGCTGGTGTGGCGATTAGGCCTGGTGGAACTGCCATCAATAAATCAAGCGTGATCGGGGGAGGAACAGGAAAGAAGGAAATATGGGGAAATGGGGTGAATGTCAGGTGGATCAGAGAGATACAGTCATGGGGGTCAGGTGTGGTATCTAGAAGAATGTGGGAGGCCAGATTGAAGTCTGCGCCAGGAGCAATGGTAATTGTGGGACTTAACAAAGAGTGAGTACAGCTGAAGGAGCCAGGGAGCAGACAGTATATGCGTCAGGTGTGAGGAAGAAAATAGATTTTGGAAGTTATGAGAAATGTAGAGAGTGAGTTGAGCATAGTTTGTGATTTTTAGGGCCTCTAACAGTATTAAAGCAGCGGCAGCCGCTGCATGCAGACATGAGGGCTAGGCTAAAACAGTAAGGTCAAGTTGTTTGGACAGAAAGGCTACAGGGTGCGGTCCTGGCTCTTGTGTAAGAATTCTGACCGCACTAACCATGCCTAGGAAGGAAAGGAGTTGTTGTTTTGTAAGGGATTGAGGTTTGGGAGATTAATCGGACACGATCAGCAGGGAGAGCACGTGTGTTTTTACGAGAATTATGCTGAGATAGGCAACAGATGAGGAAGAAATTTGGGCTTGACTGAAGTAATGGGGGCTATCTGTGAAGTCTTGCGGCAGTACAGCCCAGGTAATTTGCTGAGCCTAATGGGTGTCAGGGTCAGTCTAAGCGAAAGCGAAGAGAGGCTGGGATGAAGGGTGCAATAAAGAAAGCATGTTTGAGATCTAGAACAGAATAATGGGTTGTAGAGGGAGGTATTGAGGAGAGTATATAGGTTTGGCACCATGGGGTGGATAGGCAAAACAATTTGGCTGATAAGGCGCAGATTCTGAACTAGCCTGTAAGCCTTGTCTGGTTTTAGGACAGGTAAAATGGGGGAATGGTAAGGAGAGTTTATGGGCTTTAAAAGGCCATGCTGTAACAGGTGAGTGATAACAGGCTTTAGTCCTTTCAAAGCATGCTGTGGGATGGGATATTGGCATTGAGCGGGGTAAGGGTGATTAGGTTTTAATGGGATGGTAAGGGGTGCATGATCGGTCGCTAAGGAGGGAGTAGAGATGTCTTATACTTGCAGGTTAAGGTGGGGAGCTACAAGGGGAGGATGTGAAGGAGGCTTTGAACTGGGGGAAAAGGCAGCAATGAGGTGTGGCTGTAGCCTAGGAATAGTCAGGGAAGCAAATAATTTAGTTAAAGTGTCTCGGCCTAATAAGGGAGCTGGGCAGGTGGGGATAACTAAAAGGAGTGCTTAAAAGAGTATTGTCTAAGTTGGCACCAGAGTTGGGGAGTTTTAAGAGGTTTAGAAGCCTGGCCGTCAATACCCACAACAGTTATGGAAGCAAGGGAAACAGGCCCTTGAAAATAAGGTAATGTGGAGTGGGTAGCCTCCGTATTAAGAAGCGGACGGACTTACCTTCTACTGTGAGAGTTACCTAGAGCGTCTGTGATGGTCCTGCAGGCTTCTGAGGCGATCCGGCAGTGTCAGTCTTCAGCTGCTAAGCCGAGAAGATCTGGGAAAGAGTCAGAGAGCCTTGGGCTAGAGTTCCAGGAGCTCTGGAAGTGGCTGCCAGGTGAGTTGAACAGTCCAGTTTTCAGTGGGGTCCTGCACAGATGGGACACGGCTTAGGAGGAATCCTGGGCTGTGGGCATTCCTTGGCCTAGTGGCCAGATTTCTGGCACTTTTAGCAAGCTCCTGGGGGAGGAGGTTCTGGAGGAACCCCTGGCAGCTACGGTTCAGGCGTTTGGAGTTCTTGTGTGCTGGAGATGTGTCTGGGGTTTGTCTCACAGTGGAGGCAAGGAATTGCAACTCAGAAATATGTTGCTACTTGGCTGCCTCTATTATTGTACACCTTGAAGGTGAGGTTAATTAAGTCTTGTTGTGGGGTTTGAGGGCCGGAATTTAATTTTTGGAGTTTTATTTAATGTCAGGAACGGATTGGGTAATAAAATGTATATTGAGAATAAGACGGCCTTTTGACCTTTTAGGGTCTAGGGCTGTAAAGCGTCTCAGGGTTGCTGCCGAACGAGCCATGAACTGGGCTGGGTTTTTCATATTTGGTGAAAGAGCCTAAATGCTCACTGATTTGGGAGACGTCTGATAAAGAAAAAGGAGCATTAACCTTGACTATGCCTTTAGCTTCAGCCACCTTTTTAAGAGGAAATTGCTGGGCAGGTGGGGGAGGGCTATGCACGGAATGAAACTGTAAACCAGACCGGGTGTGAGGAGGGGAGGTGATAAAAAGATTGTAGGGTGGAGGAGCGGAGGCTGAGGAAGAATTGGGACCTAGCTCGGCCTGGCGAGGAGCAGCCTGGGGAGGAGGGGAGGAGCGTGGATATAACGGATTGGGGCGCCGAGATACAAGGTTGGGGCACTTGTACTTCCAGAAAAGCGGGACTTGCCGCTAAGGGTAAAGGAGAAGGGGTTGGGGGTGTCTTGCCCCCCAGAAAGGTGGAGAAGGGGTAGAGACACAGAAGGGGTTCGGGTACTTGCCTCTCCTCTAGAAAAGCGGGACTTGCCGCTAAGAGTGAAGGAGAAGGGGTTGGGGGTTTCTTGCCCCCCAGAAAGGCGGAGAAGCGGGTAGAGACACGGAGAGAAGGGGTTGGGCTACTTGCCCCTCCTCCAGAAAAGCGGGACTTGCCGCTAAGGGTGAAAGACCAAGGCAGGCGTCCTTGCATGGTCTGACACTTCTGAAACCTGGGTGAATAATCAGAGAGGTGTCCCTGAAATGATTAAACACCAAGAGAAGGCTGCCTTCCCTAGTCCGTGACTGGCGCCGGAGTTTTGGGTCCACGGATAAAACGTGTCTCCTTTGTCTCTACCAGAAAATGAAAGGAGTTGAAATTAAGAGAAGGGAGAGATTGAAGAGTGGCGCCAAGATTGAAAGGAGAAAGAGGTTGAGGGATAGTGAGGGAGGTTGGAGAAGAGAGTAAAAAGAGGCCACTTACTGTATTTGAAATTGGTGAGATGTTTCTTGGGCTGGTCGGTCTGAGGACCTGAGGTCATAGGTGGATCTTTCTCACGGAGCAAAGAGCAGGAGGACAGGGGATTGATCTCCTAAGGGAAGTCCCCTGATCCGAGTCACGGCACCAAATTTCATGCGCGTCAGTGTGAGGAGACTACTAAACAGGCTTTGTGTGAGCAATAAAGCTTTTAATCACCTGGGTGTAGGCGGGCTGAGTCCGAAAAGAGAGTCAGCGAAGGGAGATAAGGGTGGGGCCGTTTTATAGGATTTGGGTAGATAAAGGAAAATTACAGTCAAAGGGGGGTTCTCTGGCTGGCAGAGTGGGGGTCACAAGGTGCTCAGTAGGGGAGCTTTTGAGCCAGGATGAGCCAGAAGAAGGAATTTCACAAGACAGTGTCATCAGTTAAGGCAGGAACAGGCCATTTTCACTTCTTTTGTGGTGGAATGTCATCAGTTAAGGCAGGAACCGGCCATCTGGATATGTACGTGCAGGTCACAGAGGATATGATGGCTTAGCTTGGGCTCAGAGGCCTGACAATGATCAAGTCTTTTCTAAACTTTAAAAAATTATTTTAATTTCATCCTGAGTGAATTCATGTTTGAGTGGTGATTTTGTCAGCCGTCTTTCTTAACACATAATTTCTTTACTTTCTTTGGAATTTTGGTTTATAAGACCATTTTGAGTCTTTGAGACAGAGCTCTCTCCCTCTCCTCCTGTTGCTGCTTTCCAGCAGGTTTTTAGTACTTCTGCCTCTGGACTGATAATACAGAACCAAGAGTTTTTTTGAAAGTTCCAGGTCTCAACCCCGTGATGATATCAGGGATGTCTCAGATCCAGTCACTAAGCCTGCAGACATCTTGGCTCCATTCTGGTGTGAAAGCTGCTTATGTCTTCTCTTCTGTTAGAGGCTCACCTGTGAACTACAGCCAATAAACCTAGGCAAACAGAGCAGGACACAATACTTGGCACCTATTTCTAAAAGGTGGCTAAACTTTGTGCACCCTGCTGCCTGGGTAATGTTTTGTTGTTGTTGTTGTTTTGAGACGGACTCTTGCTCTGTCACCCAGGCTGGAGTGCAGTGGCATGATCTTGGCTCACTGCAACCTCCGCCTCCCAGGTTCAAGCGATTCTCCTGCCTCAGCCTCCCGAGTACCTGCGATTACAGGCATGCGCCACCATGCCTGGCTAATTTTTGTATTTTTAGTAGAGATGGGGTTTCACCATATTGGTCAGGTTGGTCTTGAACTCCTGATGTCATGATCCGCCTGCCTCGGCCTCCCAAAGTGCTGGGATTACAGGCATGAGCCACTGTGCCCGCCATGCCTGGATAATGCTTAAAGACAGAGAAGCAGACAGTCTATCCAGCTGGGGAACTTTAGGAGTCAGGCTTTTAAAGCCCAAGAGGGAATTTTACTTGAAAATGAATCTGATTTTATATGGGGTTATTTGCCCACAAGTAACAAAGATTTTAATTATAACTGCTTTTCTTTGGGAGATATATCAAGGATTCAATAAATGAACCTACCTTAAAGAATGTCAGAACATGAGAAAATATTCCAAAGACCAAAAGAAAGACCAGAGCAGAGGAAGGTGGGGAGAGAAAGAGAGAAACTAGGAGAAGGAAAGAGAAGCGGACGGGAGAACTAGGTACGGAGAAAGGAAGGGAAGAGAGACAGAAGCAGAGATACAGAGACAGGTGGGGGGCAGAAAGAGCCAAAGGGAGAAATATAGACAGTGAGAGACAGCCAAAGGCAGGGATAAAAAGGAAACGCTTGCAAAAAATCATGTCACTACATTGAAGGGATTCCATTTTCTGGCTTTTATAAAAGAAAATATGGCCACAGCCCTGTGAGTAGATGGACCCTACTTGCTGAGTCTGTTGAGAGGATAACCCAGAAGGGAGGAAGTGGTAAAAATGACTAATCTGGTAAAAATGACTAATCTTTCTGTCACTTGAATGACCCCTTCCAAGCCTGAGACAGAAGGCTGCTCTACACTAGCTGTTGCCCAGCACAGACAAGGAGCCTTCCCCACTGCCTCTGGCCGCTTCTAACAGCCAGGCTGATTCGATAGTCTCTTCAATAACCCATTCATCCACAGCCTTATATTCATTTTCATCCTGAGTAACACTAATTGCCCTTCTGCCAAGAGCATGTGGAAGGCATTGATTGATGACACTGCAGTATTTTCCACTTCAGCAGCAGCAGCCATGTGTGTCTTGGCTGATGCAGACTTTCCTCAGGTGAGCATCTTCCAGGATCAGTGACTGCAGGAAAAGTGAGCCCTCATCAGCAAACTAGTAGTTGGGTTAATAGAATGAACTACAGAAGATTAACCCCATCCTAATGACTGATCCTTCCCTTTGAAACATCACAGTGAACTATCATAATGAGGCCAAATATTTGCTCCCCTGTAAGAGTGCCTCCATTTATCCAAAGCTGTCTTTGCTTGGGTTTCCCCAAATGCAGAATCTGAGAGAAGGATACAAGTACAGGTAGTTTATTTGGGAGGTGCAGATAACACTGGTAGGAGAGTGGGGAAATGTCACAAAACAGAGAAGGCAGCCAATAAAGGATGCATTATCAAGCCAGCTTCCACTGTGGGAAACTGGAGCTTAATCCTACAGGGCAACTCTGAGAAGTGGTGTGAAACCTATGCCTTGAGGGTTTTTAACCCAAGGAGAGAGGGAGCTGGGGTATTTATATACCAACTTCTGGCAGGAATTAACCTCTCTTGGGAGGAATTGTTTCATGGAAGTTCCAGCCTGCCTTACATATAAGCAGAGTGGCCTTCCATTTAAACATTAAAAGTAGACATTTGCAGTTGAAAGTTGGCTGGGGTAGACTTAAGTGTTAAGGCCTGAGTTATATGTGGCACTTATGCAAAGCTTGCCCAAAAGCCTTAGTGGAAACACTGAAACTTGCTTCATTTACTGAGCTCCTCTGAAAACGGCTTTCCATCTCTAAAGGTTCACAGCATGAGCTCATTTACAAGTAGTTTAGCAACCTACATTCGTGGCACACCTGAATTAGTCCCAGCACTTAGGTTCAACGTCAACTCTTGATATGCAACTAACCAGGCAAAGTCATTTAACCTGAGTCTCAACTTTTTTCATCTGTCAGGAAGAGATATTAAGTTTTGACCTCCCTCACAGGCATGAAATGAGGCTCAAAATCAAAATATGATAATATGCATGAGGTGTCAACAAACTTTTCTAAAGGTCCAGATAGTAAACATCTTAGCCTTTGCAGGCCATGTGATCTCAGTGGCTACTCACCTCTGCTATTTCAGCAGGAAAACAGTCTAGACAATAGGTAAACAAATGCATGTGGCTGTATTCCAATAAAACTTGATTTACAAAATAAGGCAGCAGGCTAAATTTGACCTACCAATCCATGAGCTGTGTTTTGCCAACCTCTTATGTACACGAAAGACTTTTGTAAACTTTAGTGCTATGCACATTCTCTGTATCATTTATCCCTCACTCAATAAATCATTGGAATTCACTATCCCTGTCATCCCGGGGGTGGAATTCTTAGTTTCTTCCTTCATACAGCACGTATTTACTGAGCACCTCTTCTGTGGAAGGCATTATGCTGGCCCTGGGGCTTCAGTGCTAATAAGACAGACACAGTCCATGCCCAACACCTAGAATGGCAATCCTAAACCTGTTCTCCCACCAGTCTGCACAAAATAGTTATTCCTTTGGATGAACAAGTGACAACTGCAACTGAAACCCTATCGGTGCCTGGGAGAGTTGGAGGCATAGGCAGCATTACTAAAACAGCTTAACCTCAGGGCCCCACACTTGTATTGAATCCTTCCAAGGCCCTGGAAGGGGCCCTAGCAGTGATTCATATGGTCATATATTTTTGTCAAATTCACAAATACAAGCTATTTTAAAGCATAATTGAGTAAGGTCACTGTCTTTTTCTACTCTGACTTATCCTCCATCACACTTCCCCTGTGTTAGATGGTTTCCCTGATTCTTCCCTTTGAAACAGCATTGTAAGCTATGAGCAGTCACTCCAAACTCTTTTTACATTTTTTTTTTTTTTTTTTTTTTTTAAGAACGAGGCTTGCTCTGTTGCCCAGGCTGGAGTGCAGTGTCGCGATCTCAGCTCACTGCAACCTCCACCTCCCGGGTTCACACCATTCTCCTGTCTCAGCCTCTGAGTAGCTGGGACCACAGGCACCCGCCACCACGCCCGGCTAATTTTTTGTATTTTTACTAGAAACGGGGTTTCACCGTGTCAGCCAGGATGGTCTCGATCTCCTGACCTCGTGATCCACTCTCCTAGGCCTCCCAAAGTGTTGGGATTACAGGCGTGAGCCACTGCTCCCAGCCCAGCCATTCCAAACTCTTTTTAATAAAAAACATTATCACTGTGTGGACTTTGGAGTTACGGTCTATTGGGACTTCTTTCAGACAGGCCCCCTTTTGAGGGACAAGAATTAACAATAGTTAAGTCATTATTCGCCATGGCTCTTTGGTACCTTTGTGGCCAAAGCACTGTAGGAGAGGGCTGGTATTAACAGTCATGATAATTTCTGGGATAAGAACTAGTGGGAGAATGTAAAATGACAAGAGGGGCTGTCAAATTATTTAAGGAAGCAAACTTCTAAGTTTAGGGAAAAGGCTCAGGAAAAGCCAAGTAAAATTTATCAGCACTAAGATTTAGAAATTTACAAAGTCACCTTTAGCCTTTTACAGGCTTATATTCATTCCTGAGCTAACCTGAGCCCCATAATTTCACAGCATTTACCCACCTAAGGACCAGCCCAGTATTCATGAAAAACCCATGAATGCAAGTGTTCATCTGTGTATGGATATGTATACATATGTATTTGAGTGTATATGTACGCATGTAACTACATAAGTATGTTTGACATCTATGTAAAACTCTCTTAAAACAAATATTCAGATACTAGGAAAAGGTGACATCATTGTACTTCCAAATATAGACCAATTATATGAACAATAGCTATGATTCATTGAAAGCTTACCATGTGCCAAACATCATGCAAGCACTTTACACAAAATCTTACAAAGCAGGTGCAGTTGGTACAGTTATTATTGTCTCTGTTATTTGGATACAGAAATTGAAGCACTAAGAGGTTAGGAACTTTCCCAAGAACAGTAACTTATAACTGATGCAGCTAGGATTTAAACTCAGGTATTTTTGACTCCAGAACCTGATTTTTAACTACCACATAGTAGTGTGGTTAAAAAAACTGTAAATGTCCTGTCAAAAGGACAATGTCTTCACAAAACAACCTAGAGCCTTGGGAATGAATTTGTTCACCAAGAGTCATTGTAGGAAACTGGCATTTGTATGTCTGGGCTGGGGCCAGGATTCAGGCACAGAGAGCATTTTCTCCTGGTGTAAATGTTATGGAAAGGACTCCAGGACTCAGTCTCTCACTCTTTCTCTTAATACTTTTCCGTTACATCAGTCACCCCAGCGATGATTCCACCTGTCTTTCTCCAGATTCCATGAGCCCCATTTTCTGACAAAGATGTTTATTGTCTCTGACCCACTAAATATTGACACCATACACCTATTCCCTGGGCATCTTTATCTAAGTAAGGCACATATTCAATACAAGGTTTCCAAATGAGACATACAAGTTTTGTTTCTTTCTGCTTCTAGTAGCCAAGAGGCCAGGCTAAAAATGATTGAGGTACAAGAAGTCTCTCAAGTGGCACGTAATTGAGTTTTGGTACTGACCTATATGCAGATGGTCCTCAAGGTGTGATTTTTCTTGGTATTCACATTGTCTTCGAAATTCCACTCAATTTCTTTATGCTTCTGTTAATGTCCTTCAGCTAAAGACCATCAGGAGCACACCTATAGCCAGTCAAAGTTGGCTTTATTGACTTATTACAATGAGAGTGAATGAACACCATGGGGAGCCATAGGGCATCTCAATAGAGGGTGTTAGGACTTATCATAGTATTTGGACTTGTAGTGGGTGATTTGGAGGAAGGTTCAGGAAGCAGGACTTTATTCCAGATTACAAGCTGTTAGGAAATGGTAATTCTATTATTGAGTGTCATAATAAATCTTATCTAAAGGAAGGAAGACTAGTATGAGGCTAACACTGTCATTGATAAGGCAGCATCCGTTACTTATATTAGCCAAGATAGAAAGCCATTTGATCATTTTTGTGGTTTGAACGATGTTCATGTTTTTGTTTGTGTTCAGACATGACTGCAAGGTGGTCTTATTTTCTCTTGATCCATCGCGGTCAGAGTGGGCTTATCTGAATCTGGTGCTCTGTGAGATTGCTTACGCTTAACAAGAAAACACCATGGTTTAGCTGTAAGTGCCAAGCTAGCTCTTAGCAACACCAAGGATTAGCTAATAGGACCAGGCCAACTCTTGAGTATTAGAGATGCTTTAAATCTGCTGTTTTCTTTTATATTTTCTAGTTATTGTAGTTTTTAAAAAAAATGGATCCATAATACATGTACATATTTATGGGGTACATGTGATATTATGATACATGCATGCAATGTGTAATGATCAAATCAGGATAATTGGGATATCTATCATCTCAAACATTTCTTATTTCTTTGTGTTGCGAACATTTTACATCTTCTAATCATTTTCAAATATACAACAAATTATTAACTATAGTCACCTGACTGTGATATTGAACTTATTCCTTCTATCTGACTATATTCTTGGACCAGGCACACTGGCTCACTCCTGTAATCCCAGTGCTTTGGGGCTGACACAGGAGGATCACTTGAGGCCAGGAGTTTGAGACCAGTCTGGGCAACATAGCAAGACCCCATCCCTACAAAAAATCAAAAAATTAGCCAGGCATGATAGTCCTAGCTACATATCTGTAGTCCTAGCTCCTCAGGAGGCTGAGGTGGGAGTATCACTTGAGTTCAGGAGTCTGAGGCTGCAGTGAGCTATGATTGTGCCACTGCACTCCAGACTGGGCAACAGAGTGATGTCTTTAAAAAAAATAAAATAAATTTTTAAAAAATAAATTTAAAATAAAATAAAATAACTTAACTGTATTTTTGTACCAATTGACCAGCCTTTCTTCATGCTCGCCTTCCCCCACTCTTCTCAGCCTTGTCACCACCATTCTATTCACCAGCTCCAATTAATTTTTTAAGTTCCCACATATGAGTGAGACCATGAAATATTTATCTTTCTGTGCCTGGTTTATTTCACTTAACATAATGTTTTCCAGTTCCATCCATGTTGCTGCAAATGACTGGATTTCATTCTTCTTGTGGCTGAATAGTATTCTATTGTGTACACATACCAGATTTTCTTTATCCTTTCATCTGTTGATAGGCACTTAGGTTGATTCAATATCTAGACTATTGTGAATAGGGCTACAATAAACATGGAAGTGCAGACATTTCTTCAATATGCTGATTTTCTTTCTTTTGGGTATCTACCTAGCAATGGGGTTGCTGGATCATGTGGTAGTTCTATCTTTAGTTTTTTTGAGGAATCTACATACTGTTTTCCAGAGTGGCTATACTAATTTACATTCCTCCCAACAGTGTATGCACTTACTCAGTTTTCTTATCCTTCAGCGGATGTTTCTGAGCCTCATCTCTTGAATGAATAAGTTTCATCATGCCCACTTCTCCTACATGTAGAACTCATAGAAAAAGACAAAGTATCTCAAAGATGCTAACAGTGAGACTTAGGCCTTCCAAAAGATCTTCCACATTGGAGTAGAAAACAGACACAATGTTTTCCCTGCCTTAGTTTTCATTTCCTCATAACATGGAAATAATTCCATCTGTAGCTGTACCTAGAATAGACGAAATTATGGTGCCCCGTTGCTTGTGGCCTAATTAAAGTAGACGAAGAAAAGAGAAGTAAGCATCAATGCAAGCTGAAACCTGAAATTCAACAGTCCAAAGGTCACACAATGGCACAGACTAACAATAAGCAACAAAGTGCGTGTATAATCTGTGTCACAGTAGTGATTATAACTAAGTGGTGAGAGAGAATGAAAAAATCTGCTTAGGACAAGTCTCAGAATTGGCATTCTGTCTTCGGAAGCTCTTTAATAACTGACCTCTCTCTTGGGTAGCAGAGCGGACCTTCCTTTTTCCTTTTGCCTTGGGCTCTGCCTCCCCTCCAGTCCTTTCATCCTCTTGACTGTCACCTCCCTAATAGCCACACTGGCTGGTTTCCTATGAGCCAAAGCTTCCAAATGTCCTTCGGTGCTGGAGAATAAAGCATTTGACACAGACACACGTTGTTTGTGTTTCCTGGGCTGCTAATAATAAAAGTTGCCATCTTGTTGTCCTCAAATATAAACTAAAACTATCTGCCAGTAGTATTTGTGTTTGTCTTTCAGACAATACAGTTTTTCTCCCTGCATTGTTCATCAACTCTTTGTGTGTTTTCTCTGCAAGAAAAATATTTTCTAGAACTGAAAGTTGTCAGCTTGTTCTGATTTCTATTACCACATATTAATTTGCAAGTTCTACAACTTCATATAAATGAAATTATGCAATATGTATTCTCTGTGTCTGGTATCTTTCCCTGAGCATGTTTGTGAGACTTATTCATGTTATTGTTTGTATCAGTAATTCTTTTTTTATCGCTAAGTATTATTCTATTGTATGAATATACCACAGTTTGCTTATCTGATCTGTAGATAGATATTTCATTTATTTCCAATTTGGGGCTATTAAAGATGAAATTGTTGTAAACATTCTTATACATGGCTTTTTGTGGACATATGTTTTCATTTCTCTTAAGTAAATACCTAGAAGTAGAAATTTTGGGTTATAGAGTGGGTGTACGTTTAACTTTGTAGGAAACTGACAAATAGATTTCCAAAGTGAGTATATTATTTTACACTCACACCAGCAATGGGACTTCTGGTTGTTCCACATCCTCACCAACATTTTTTTTTTCTGAAAGTCTTTAAAATTCTAGCTATTCTAGTGGAGTTTTATAGCATTTTAAAGTTTTCTGATTGTCCACAGCAGTAAGAATGCTAGATTCAATTCTTATATTTTTTTGTTGGCCAGTAAGCAAAACTAGAAAAGGTACAATTTTTTCTTTAAAATTGCACTAAAAACCCTAACCATAAAAAAGATTGATAAACTGAACTTACCTAAAATTAAGAACTCCTATTCATCAAAAGATACTTTTAAGATAGTAAAAAGGCAAGCCACAAATGGAGAAACATTTTTAGATCTACAAAAAAATGGCTCATATCCAGAATATATGAAGAACCCCTACAAATAAATATAAAAAAAGACAAATAGCCAAATTTAGAAGCAGGCAACAGACTTGAACAGGCACTTTACAAAGAGAATATCCATATGGTCCATTAGTTCATAAAAAGGTGTACAACTTATTTAATTCTCAGGAAAAGTCAAACTTAAATCACAATAAGATATTACTGCACACTGAATAAAAGGTCAAAAATTAATAAGATTGATAATACCAAGTGATGGCAAGGATGTGAAGCAATTGGAACTTTCAAATACATTATTAGTAGGAATGTAAATTGGTAAAGCCATTTTAAAACACTGAGGGTGACTACTTCAGCTAAATAAGCATCTACTTAAGATAAACATGACCTAGCAATCAAATCCTAGGAAATAACCAAGAAAAATGAATGCATATGTGTTCCAAAGACATATACAAACTTGCCCATAATAGCCTTATTCATAATAACTTAAACTGAAAACAACATAAATGCCTGCAATAGGAGAAAGAGATATCAATTGTAGTATATTCATATAATAGAATAATACACAACAGTAAAAATGAACTACAGAAAAACGTACAGTGACATGGATAGCTCTCACAGACTTGGGGAGTGAAAGAAGCCAGACCCAAAATGACATATACTATATAATTTCCTTTGTATGAAATTCATGCACAAGCAAAGTTAATTAATATTGTTTAGCTGTCAGAATATTTTTTATCTCTAAAAAGAGGGTATTGGGCCGGGCATGGTGGATCACACCTGTAATTCCAGCACTTTGGGAGGCCGAGGTGGGTGGATCACCTGAGGTCAGGAGTTTGAGACCAGCTTGGCCAACATGGTGAAACCCCATCTCTACTAAAAATACAAAAAAAAAAAAAAAATTAGCCGGGCGTGGTGGTGGACACCTGTAGTCCCAGCTACTCAGGAGGCTGAGGCAGGAGAATCGCTTGAACCTGGGAGGCAGAGGTTGCAGTGAGCTGAGATCACACCACTGCACTCCAGCCTGGGCAACAAAGCAACACTCCATCTCAAAATAATAAATAAATAAAGGGGGTATTGACTGGAAAGGGACATGAAGCAGCCTTCCAGAGTACTGGAAATGTTCTATATTTTGATCTGAGTCATAAAAGTTCATCAAGTTACACATGTATAATTAGTGCACTTTATTGAATACTTAAATATTTTTTTAAACTAGCAAAGATTACAGTAGATATATTGAGAATTAAAAATCAGGCAGTAAGGAATTAGTCCCTTAAAATATGTAACCCTCAGAATGCTTAAGTGTTATAATTCTCCCCTCAAAATAGTAATTATTTATTTGCTTCCTAAATTGGGATGGAAAATAATCTGAATGGATGCTGCGTAGTTTGTAAACCATTGCCCAGAGACCTGGTTCTTAGGATATTTTCAAGATGGCTTATTATCTCTGATATGTCATGACCTCATTTGGAAGGATTAGAAGCTCTTCAAGGCCATTAACATTTTAATATTGGATTAGAGCCTTCAAATTAACTCATTTTTTTCTGGTCACTTGGTTTCACCAATATAAATTTGGAGAAAATTACATTATAAACCATGCTTATGAGCTATAACCATAATATTGAGATGCCAAGCCTGCAAGAAAATGGTAACCTATTCAAGCATCCTGGCCAGAAAATATGGTTTGCAGCACCATGGTACGATGGTCATCCAGGTTTGTGTGTGTGTGTGTGTGTGTGTGTGTGTGTGTGTGTTTCTGTAGTCTGGCTTAATTTCCTTTTATAACCAATGTTTCGCAATTTAAAAAATATTTTTGTTCCTGTTGTCTTAGGTCTAAATAGGAGCAAAAACAATCTTTAAAACTTTACTCAATTTTTTTTAGATATCATTTCCCACACTTTCCCTTATATTACATTAATGCCAATGCAAAAGAAACACACTGATTGGAGGGTGGAGTAGTAGGGGGAAGAGGCAAGAACAGAAATCTTATTGGAGTAGCAAGAAGCCTTTTGAGGGACTAAAATGACAACAAAGAGATTATGATTTATAAATTATAATAATACTCATATTTAGCAAACTCAACCATAGTATCAACACGAAACTGAATAAGTTTCATTTTTCCATAGAGGAAAGACTAAGGGCAAAATAAACTACATGCATAATGAAATTTCAAAATGCCTTTATAAGAATGTAAATTTTCCTTTTTTGTCACTATGATGGCCAATTCTGCTCATATTAGAGTGTTCACTCAAGTTTACCATGTAAATCCTTCCTTTGGAGTACATGTGATAGTAAGCAAAGCAGTTTCAGAACATGCTTGATAAGTTCTTACTGTACTGGATAATGTAAGGTCTAGTGATGAAATATTTATTTGGTAGGAACAATTCTTCCTCCATTTGATAAATATGTTCTCCTTTGACTTCTGAGAGTGAATCTATAACACTTTTTTCCTGGGGATTCCTGACTGAGGAAGACAGTGTTGATATGACTGGCTGGGGTGCAAATTTAAAATGGCAAATTTTATTCCACAGGAATCACATCCATGTCCCAGGCTTTCCAGATGGGATAGCCAGCCATGCACAATAGGTCCCAATTTTGGTTACTCTGCTTTGGACATGCTGAGTGAACCCTCACATATCTGGTATAATGCATAAAAGTGAGGCCGCCACTCAGCAGGAGAGAAAAATTGACTTGGCCAATCACTGATTTTAAACAGCTGGGTTAAATATTTATTTGCAAAAATGTCCAAAAGTTGGGTAGGGAACAAAAAACCTTGTATCACAGTACCTCAAAAAAAATCCCTGTATCACAGAACATCCCTCAAACGCAAAAAGAGTGTGACAACTAACTGAGGGAAGGTTCCTCCCTAGGCAGGCCTTCACCATTTATTGTGAAATGATTAAGTTTGATTTTAGAACATGTTTTGCTATTAGCAGATTTTTAAATTGCTTTAATTCTTTGCTTTGATTGTTTTGGTGACAGATTCTCAAGTCATACTTGAAGGAACGTTTGTTGAGGACATTGTGGGACATTGGAGTATAGTGACATGTTATATATTGTCCAAAACCGAGTGGTTTTAAAAGTTTTTAATATTTTTTATACTACACATTGTTCAGCTTACAAATGGAGACATTTGTATCAATTATCTGGGATGCCCAAAGGGAACATTTTGTTAGATGATGCTATGATCTGGATATGGTTTGTCTGTCCCCACAAAATCTCATGTTGAAATTTAGCCCCCAGTTTGGTGGTATTGGGAGGTAGTGCCTCGTGGGAGGCGTTTGGGTCACGAGGTAGATCCCTCATGTATAGATTAATGCCCTCTCTTGGGACTGAGTGATTTCTCACTCCATTAGTTCCTGAAAGACCTGGTTGTTAAAAGAGCCTGGCACCTTTCCCCTCTCTCTCTCTCTTGCTTCCTCTCTCACCATGTGGTCTCTGCACATGCTGGCTCCTCTTTGCCTTTTGCCAAGAATGGAAGCTTCCTGAAGCCCTCAACAGATGGAGATGCTCAATCATGAACTTTCCAACCAGCAGAATTGTGAGCTAGTAAACGTTTTTTTCTTTCTAAATTGCCTAGCCTCAGGTATTCCTTGATAGTAATACAAAATGAACTAAGGGAGATGAGAATGTTACACTAAAGCACAAAGCAGAAATATACTTCCATCCACAGTTTCAAGGGTACACAGACTATCACTTTTATATTTTTTTGTACTTTAACTTAATTTCTGACTCCAAATACCCATTCCAACAGGCTAATGGATTACTAAGCCTCTGTACTTCCTGTGGTGCCCCACCTTCTCCTCAACATTGTATCAGGCTTCTTATGTCTTGGGACAAAATGTTGATTGGAGGCAGGGGTGAGGAGGGCTTAGAATGACCATCTGATTTTCAGTCATGGCCCATGAAGGCTTCTGCTGAGTCATCCTCTATCTCTAACAACATCTCCACTGGGACAAGGACATAGTTTGCTACTTTCAACTGTAAAATGCACCATTGAGCCAATCAGCTTTGGGGGCTTGCCAGCAGAACATCCAGGAAGTTATCCCAAGATCCTTAGGTTCACCTTCTTGTTCCATTTCTCAGGGGAAATTAATTTCTAGTCTGGGAGAGAAGAAAACCTCTCTTCCCTCTGCTTTTTCAAAACTCTGAAAATGGCTGAAAACACACAAAAACTACTTTTTACCTTCTTTGATAACCCACGAGGATATCCTCAGAATATCATGGAGACCCTACAAACTTAGTCTTTTGGATAAAGTCAGAAAAGGGATTACTTCTGTTTTTCAGCCCTTTCCATATATATCATCCCCCAAAAAGAACACACTGCTGTCTGATTGAATAAGCAGAATAGAAGGGAACTTAAAAAGAGAACTTTTATAAGTTAATATGTAGAAATGTTATCTCTCCAAAATTGTGTGGCTTTATTTTTCCTGGTGTAATTTTAAACATCGAGAGGGTAAAAATCATGTTGTCAAGTCTTTGATGCCCTTTATCCACATAGTTAGATCAGTACCTAGAATAGGATACAGTGTCAATAAGTGAAAGGAATAATAAATGAATGTTCTGTCTGTTATGGGAGCTCCAAGCAAAAGGAAATCACGGCAGAATACAATAGATGAAAGATGCTGCAAGGAAACAAAGGATCCTGATATAGACCACAAATGTCTTTGGCAAGTGGAAAGGAGAGGGGGGAAACGACATGAGTAAAGGTGCAAAGGGGATAGGATATGTTGTATTCAGGAGTAAGGAGTTTAGGCTGTCTTGAGAAGAAGATGGGATGGAAGCAATAGGATATGGTAAACTAGCTTAAGTAGTGTTAGGGAAGCTCAAACTTTCCCTCTGAAGGTCTGAACAGACTGACAATAGACAGATTAATAAAAGAAAAAGCATGCTGTAAACCAAAAAATGAAATTCTAAGCCTCCCAACTGACTGAACAGGTCCCCTCTTGGCCAAGGAGACCCCAGAGAAACCTGAAAAGCTGAATTCCCGGCATGACAGGAAGGGAGTTAACTCCCTTTTGCAGTTTAGGCACGATTGACCAGCATTAGGGTTAAAATAGAGATCCCAGGACTGAAAAACCAGATTCTTTGTGGCAATAAAATACTAAATTATAAAGAAGACCTAAGGTCATGCAAAGCAAAGGTCAAGTCACTCTCTACAAACCATAAAACCTTGTTAAACAGGCTTTTTATTCACCAGGTATAATGTGGCTTGATTTCCAAACTGACTCTGGTATAGCATCACATGACAGATAGCAGACCCTGAGGGAAATAAAAATATTTTATATATATATATCTCATTTAATTAAGTTCTCCTTAAGAAATTTAGAACACCAACTTGTGAGGATAAATTCCATTCATCGGGGCAAATACAGATCGCAGGTAGCCCTGGAGCTGAGGAATAGCTTTGATTTTTGGTAAACTTTGTGAGTCCACAGCTTTCTGATTGATCTTGCACTGCTCTGTTATCTCATATTTCTCTTTTTCTGTGTCAAAGATCTCACTTGCCTGGTGTCTGGGCTTCTGCAGCTGCTGCTTCTTGAAGTAAATGCCAGTAAGATGTTTAGGGATTTTTACATTGCTGATATGAATTTTGGTTGAGGTGGCAATGACAAATTTCTGGTGTGTTCTTCGTAGAGGAACTCGATTGAAGACCAGAGGTCCAGTCACAGGTAACAAACCACTACCCAGCTGCTTCAGGAAAACCACCCTCTTGCCTCTGTGGCATCCAGTGAGGATGATTAGAATAGTCCAGGGGGTAATGCTGGCTC
Source organism: Homo sapiens (assembly GCF_000001405.40). Taxonomy (NCBI): domain Eukaryota; kingdom Metazoa; phylum Chordata; class Mammalia; order Primates; family Hominidae; genus Homo; species Homo sapiens. The sequence continues at coordinate 16,198,874 of NC_000023.11, forward strand.
GCAGTTTTCTCCCGTGCTGACTGAAGCCGTGGCTCAACAGCTTTCGAGGCACACCTTCAATAGGATAATATCTAGTCATTTTGAGAAGTTTAAGCACCCGGGTACCACCATTCTTGTCACTACCAACTGATTTTGTAACAAGTGCAAGAACCTTCTCCTTTTTCTTTTCAACCTTGGATCCTTGGATTTAGCAGCTGAGTACTTCCGCTTGTACATGGCCTTTCTGCAACACATAGCAGATCGGGAATATCTGCCAATTCCTCTGTCAAGGACAGGATTGCGGCTGCAATGGCACTTCCCCTTCTTGGGCTTTTTAGCCTTGAGGTAACTACCCTTTCACCTTGCCACCAGCATCAGCCTTCTTGGCTTCGGGTTTCTTGTCTTTAGTATCTGGCTTCTCAACTTTTTCACCTGCCATCTTGCAAGATGAGAAATAGCCAAAATATATTTTTTTGACATATTTTGAAAGGACCCTGCAAATCTGTCTTTTGTGGGAGAAATTTGCATCTGTAGAGAATCTCCATCAATGCAGCCAGGTCTTTCCTGGATCTAGGAGAGATGAACTGAGAGTCTGATGCCTTTAAGGACTGGAAAGAAACATTTACCATCTATTCTCTCTAAGGGCTGCTACCTATGAGGCTTTATCTACATAACAAGGGCCTTGCCCCCGAAACTCCCTCATCTTAACTCAAGCATTCCTTTCTACTGACTTCAAGTCTTTAGACAATAGCTTAACTCTCTCAACCAGCTGTCAACTAAGGAATACCTAAAACCTACCTATGACTTAGAGATGTCCTACCTTTTTGGGCCAAATTGATATATACCTTCCATGTAATGATTTATATATTTGCCTGTAACTTCTGCCTCCCTAAAATGTGCAAAACTAAACTGTAACCTGACTGCTGTAGGTGTACTTTCTCAGGACCTCTCGAGACCGTGTTCCCTGGGCCATGGTCACTCATCTTGGCTCAGAATAAACCTGTTTAAAATATTTTGCAGAGTTTGTTTCTTCTGTTAACAATATAAATTTATTAACATACACATGGAAACAGGAGTCCAGCAAATATGAGACAAAAAGGGCCAGATGGTTGAGGCTTAATTATTCTCTTCATAGGGGAGAGTGAAGTGGGGTGCTGTAGGCAGTTTTAAAGAGGTAGTTCATGATTTTTAGCGAAAAAAAATGGGCCTGGGATACAGACATTATCTTTTAAATTATTTTCTTCGGAAACTAAAATGGGAAGCTATGGGAAGGTGATGGGTGGAACTGTACTGTGAACAAAGATTGTCTTCTTATGTAGATAAAGTCTCTCAGGTAATCTCTCAAGACTGCCCTTAGAAGCATAGATGAAAAGTCTATCCAGGTGTGGTGATGACTTTTAGTCTCTTCTCTTCTCCAATGATTAATCATTCCTGGTTATTTGACAAGATTCCCAAGGAATAGGTTCCTAACAGTTGCATTTCTTTTAAAAAATAAGTATCCTTAGTCAGATAAGGAAATACCAGAGTTTCTCCCTGCACTTGGGAGAGGGAGGAGAGCCTTCCAATTTCTTTTAATTCTAAGTGCTCAGCATGCCAAACCACCATGCTTTGGAGGTATTATTCTTTGTGCCCAAACAGTAGTAAGATGATATATTTGAATGTGGTTGAAGAACCATAGTAGAACTTTGGACATTTGATCAATAGATACCCATGACTACCACAGTAGGAGATCTTGCTGTGAAATGTAAACCCCACATATTTGAGGGCTACAAGTAGAACTTTTGGTGAGAAATGATTATTTCTAATTTCTCTTGATATATCTTAGCTCCATAACAGGTTCTAACTTACAATTGAGAAGAGAGGGGATACTCAATAATACTTTGTCAGTTGACTAATTAAGGTGTAAAGGTCTTTAAATTTTGTATGAAAACATGGACTCCAGTCGTAGCTCTGCCACTAACTAGCTACATGATGTTAGGCAAGCCACTTAGTTTTACTTGACCTCAGTTTTCTCAACTGTAAAGTAAAGAGACTGGATTTAAAAATACTCAACCGTCTTTGGGCTCCCAAAGCATATAATTGATTACAGCCCAACTAAGGAATCAAGTTGCAAAAGATTTTCTGGAAGAAATGAATCCTCAGGAGATTTTAAAAAGAAAATAAATATCAACAAGCAAGGATAACAAAAGAATCATTGAATCTTCATTTAATTACAAGGGTAGCACATCAGTGAAATTACATTGTAAGCTACAAATTCTATTTTCAACAAAAGTAGGGAAACACAAAGCCAGATTGATTCCTAATTGGAGAGAAGACCTGTGTGTGTGTGTGTGTGTGTGTGTGTGTGTGTGTGTATCTAAAGGCACTCTCCATTCTTACTTCAGAGCAAAGTAAATATGTCCTCAATGACCTGGATTTTCTACTGTGACCTGTACTCTAAACTGGGAAGTCAACAGGGACTTAGCAAAAGTTTTAATTTAGCTGAAATCATTCAGAACGTTTGAAATCAATTGAAACCTTCTCCCTGGATGTAATTCAGATAATTCTCTGTCCACCATACTTCAGGGTAAGGTAAAGGTGAGGGGAGGTCAAAAAGTCATAGTTTCCAAATTCATCAATAGAACAAATCACTCAAGACATTTGAGTTAATTTTTCTTGTTGTTTAGATTCCTGTCTTTATTGTAGAGTCTAGAACACAGATCATAGACTTATACCCAACCCTAGATTTTTATCTTGTTGTACACTATTTTTTATCAATAATAAGGAAGAAAAGGCTATAAATGGAAGTGGAAGAATTTTGAGCTCATCAGAAGTGGTCCTTGGATTTGTTCCTTCATGTGTAAGATATTCAAAACACTAGAGGATGGGTGTACAATAACTTACAGTGAGCCTGTGTTGACCTTCCATATCTCCCAAAAAGCCTGACATGAAATGATGACCTAGAACATTAAGATTGTCTTTCTCAGGAATTTACCCTGGGAGATATGGAATACATTAGTCATTGAAAGGATGTATATAGGAAATGTCAGATAGTAGGATTCAGGTGATGATGGACCATGGCAAATTAAAATAGCGAGAAAGCAGAAACCGAGTAAGTAAAAGACATGTGTTAAGGAGAAGGCAGAGGAGAATGGAATAGATTTCCAGAGCAACGCAAAAATGCCATGACAAAGGCCCCCTCGGATATGATGAAAGAAGTGAATTCCTAGAATCACCTTTTACCTCCCATTTCAGTTCAAACCACCTGGATCCTAACTATAGATGAGCACTTTCCTTGTGGTAACTTGAGAAAGACCTTACTCTTTGAGGCCAAAAGGCTTAGCTAACATAATGAAGAATGTTTAATGCCCTATGGCATTTATGTCCAACAATTCAATCCCAGAGATAGGATAAACTTATTAACATCTTGTAAACACCAATGGCAATTCAGTCCAACCCCCCCATTTTGCAAATGGGAGAACTGAGGGCAAAACAGCAAAATAATATAACCAGTATCATGCTGGTAATTACTGTCACTTGACTGAGATATAAGTCTTCTTTGGTGGCTGTTTCTAAAATGGCTCCTAGTGATCTCTTCTTCCTACTATTCACGCCTTCCTGTTGTAATCCCCTCTCCTTAAGTGTGGGCTGGACCTAGTCACTTGCTCCTAATGAGTAGAACATGGCAAAAGTGATACGATGTCACTTCAGTGATTAGGTTGCCAAAGACCATGACTTCCATCTTGCTTGCACTCTCTCTTTGGTTCTTCTTGCTTGCTCGCTTTGATGAAGCCAGCTGCCATGTTGTGAGCTGCCCTGTGGAAAAGCTCATGTTGCAAGAAATTGAGGGCTGCCTCTGGTCAACAGCCAGAGAGAAACTGAAGCCCTCAGTCCAACAGCCCGTGAAGAACTGAATATTGTCAACAACCATGTGAGTGAAATTATAAGCCATCAAGCCTTGAGATGACTGCAGTCCCCGTCAGTACCTTGTTTGTGACCCACTGAGAAACCCTTAGTCAGAAGACTCAACTAAGCCTTGCCCGTGTTCCTGACTCACAGACTGTGAGAGAATTAATATTTCTGTAAAAAGCTGCTAAGATTTTGGGATAATCTGTTAGGCAGCAAAAGACAAATAATACACACCCAATGCCTAGACTGGTGCTTTTTGCTCAACAGCGGATTCCTGCAGATTCAGTAGTAGCCATGTTCACCTCTATTTAGTTGGAAGCTGTGCCTGTGATTAACCTTTGATCCCAACACCAGGTGTTTTTCACTGCTCACCTTGGCAAGGAAACAATATTAAAATGACATTGGAGCAAGTAAAGCTTGGATGTGAGATTAAAACAAATAGAAACAAACCGTTGCTATCTCTAAAGTGAATGCCAGTTTCTGTGATCTGGAAGCACAGACATGAATTACCTACAGCTGCCCCTTAAACATTTCATCAGTAAATGCACAGCAACAATCTTGTTCCTGGTGACGTTCCCAGCGAAAACAAACATTTTTGATTGATTTTTTTTCCTCCAATAGAATGAGTTACCCATGTTCTTTGTCAGTGTGGGCAAACATGCGTGCATATGTATATGGGGAAAGTGCACATCTTTCTCACTTGTTCACTATAAAGAGTTATGGAAATCTAAGATTTGCATTCAGTTTTTAAAGACTTTGATAGTCACACAGTATAAATTAAGATAATAAAAATTTCTCACGGAGAATAATTTTATCATTTTTTATTCATCCACTTATTAATTCATTCACTTACTTATTCAACAAATACTTATGATGAATCTACTATGTATCAGGCAATGTTCAAGGTCCAGGAGACCAAACAATGAATAAGATGATAAATTCCCTGACATCAAGGATCTTGTGGTCTAGAGGGGAAAGTAGACAAGAAACAGACTCTTTCTGTTACAAACCTGTAACACATGACCAAAGTAACCATTGAGTCTTTAGATTTCTATAACTTTCCTAAATTTAAACAATCTTACTGAAATTTTACAGACTGTTTTTATCTTTCTAGATGAAATTCTGGATCATACCACATAAGTCATTTTTGTAACCATGTAGCCATTCTGTCAAAACTAGCCTGAGGGGCCCATGTTTGTGGCAGCACTGTTCACAATAGCTAAGATTTGGAAGCAACCTTGTATCCATCAACAGATGAACAGATAAAGAAAATGTGGTACATATACACAATGGAGTACTATTCAGCCATAAAAAAGAATGAGATCCTGTTAATTGCAACAACATGGATGGAACTGGACATCATCATGTTAAGTGAAATAAGTCAGGCACAGAAAGACAAACATCACATGTTATCACTTATTTGTGAGATGTAAAAATCAAAACAATTGAACCCATGGAGATAGAGAGTAGAAGGCTAGCTACCAGAAGCTGGGCAGGGTAATGGGGGACTGGCAGGGGGAGGTGGGGACAGTTAATGAGTACAAAAAAAAGAATGAATAAGACCTAATATTTGATAGCACAACAGGGTGACTATAGTCAATAGTAACTTAATTGTACATTAAAAAATAACTGAAAGAGTGTAACTGGGTTGTTTGTAACACAAAGGATAAATGCTTGAGAAAGATGGATACTCCATTCTCCATGATGTGATTATGTCACATTGTATGCCTGTATCAAAACATTTCATGTGCCCCATAAATATATACACTTACTATGTACCCACAAAAATTAAAAATAAAAACGAAAACTAGACTGAAGGGTATGTGGTGCCACCCACTTGAATCTTATCAGTCCTCTTGCTCCATTTCTGGATATTCTTAACAGAAGGCTAATCTCTAGGCTCCTACCCTTAGACACTAGATCAAAGAGACCTTTCTTGGCCCCCAAGTGACTGTGCCATCTACTCACATGTTGGCTCTGCTTTAGTAAAGAACAAATTTGTTTCACCTGACTCTGTTTATTCCAAAAGATCTTTTGAAGTCATGAGTTCTGGCACAAGTTCAACCAAGGCCTATTCAGATCAAGGTCAATACTTTTGTACGTCTGCCATGCTCTTAGCATCTGCTCCAGTGAGGAGAAACAAGGCGGAAAAGCCCATGTGAGAGCAATTATAAGATGTAAATTTCCACCTTATATTGAAGTACTGGTCCACACATAAGTAATTATAAAATTCCTTTTAGCTCCAGAGAAATGTCATAAAAAGTAGCATTTAAATAGATGCAGTGAAAAACAAAAGTACTAGTGAGCAAGGCCATTCAAGTCAGCTCCTGGAAGGTTTAAACTTCTTATCAGCAACAGAATTATGTATGTGTGTCATAGAATGGCTCTTGGGTTTCTCTGTGTCTTTAACATAATTGGTTTCCACAATGTATAAACTTGCTATTGAATGTTAATATCCAACACTCCACAGGACACTGCTATTTTATTGTGGACCCTCAGTTTCTCTGGGTAGACTAAGTCCAGGTACCTTCTGGAGAGCCAACTTCTAGGTCGTTAAGGACATCTGGGGTCTCATTGTTCTCAACTTGATAAGGGTCATTGATGGGACTGATATCAATGCACAAAGAAGGTAGAGAAGGGACCAAATCCTCTCCGATTTCTGAGGCCAGACCCTGGTCCCAGCATCAGGTGAGGGCTAGTTATGAAATGGTTTCTGAAAACAAAACAATCCATCACAAATACAAAATTCTTTGATCTGCTTTGTTCTATCCCAAAATTTCATCAAAATTTTGCATGCTGCTCAATAACATCCATACCAGAAACTGTCCAAATCTTAAGTCTACAACACAATAAACTGTCACAAACTGGAAGCAACCACGCGATCAGCTCCCAGAACATTACCAGCAGGCCCAAAAGCCCCATTGTGTCCTCTTCCAGTCACTGTCTACTACTCCATCCCCACCCCAAGGGTAATCATTATCTTGACTTCTAAGAGCATGGATTTGTTTTGCCTATTTTTGAACCAAATGGAATCATACTCAACAAACTCTTGTATCTGGCTTGTGTCATTCTACATCATGACTATAAGTTTCATCTGTGTTGTAGTATGTAAGAGTAATAATAGTATTCTGTTGGGTAAACATGTACCAATTCTTTCCTCTGTTAATGAACATTTGAATTTCATTCAGTTTGTGCTTATTACTAATATTGCAACTATGAACATTCTTCTGTGCCTTTTGCTGAGCCAATTTCTGTTGGAAATATATCAAGGATTGAAATTTCGTAAGACAGGCAAATAATCGCTTTTATAATACTGCCAAACCGTTTTCCAAAGTGGTTTTGTCAATTTGCATTCCCACCAGCAGTGTATGAGAGTTCCAGTTGCACTAAATCCTTGCCAACATTTGTTATGTTCTGTCTTTTAAAATTTTTAGCCAATGTGATGTGCATATAGTAGTCTATGATTATTTTAATATGAAAGTAATGACTCTCCCCCAACCTTTGAATGAAATTGAACCCTCCGGCAACATGCCACATTTATACTCTTCATTTCTGTATTTCCTGACATGACATCCTGTATGTGTCTTTCTCCCTGTGTGAGACTGAAGCATGTTGAGTGGCAAGCATAAGTTTTGGGGTCCAGCAGAGTTTTCAAACTCTGTCACTCATGCTGTGACACCAAGGTCAACTTACTTCAACTGTTTTATCCTGAATTCCTGTCATCTAAAAATGTAACAAAAATACATTGTTTGCAAGATTGTCAAAGGAGTTCAAGTGAGATAATGTAGATAAAACACCTGGTCTGTAATAGTTGCACAATCAATGTCTTTCTTTTTTTCCATTTGGAGAGAATGAGAAACTCAATGGACTTCAGATAAATCCCCAGTTGTTCTCTGGAGCACCTTGATTCTAAGGAAATAGTACAATTTTTTGTTTCCAACATACCTTCTTCAGGAATGAGCTCCTGGCTTCTGCCTCTCCATTTTGGCACTTGTTATCTCAAAACACTCTGATACAATTGGCCCTTGAACAACATGGTAGTTAGGGATCTCAACCCCTATGCAGCTGAAGATCCACGTATAAATTTGACTCCCAAAACGTAACTGCTAATGAACAATTTGCAATTGCAAAATCCTGGAACCAACCCAAATGCCCATCAATCAATGAGTGGATAAAGAAACTGTGGTATATTTATATGATGGAATGCTACTCAGCCATAAAAAGGAAGGAAATAATGGTATTTGCAGTGACCTGGATGAGATTGGAGACTATTATTCTAAGTGAAGTAACTCAGGAATGGAAAACCAAACATCACATGTTCTCACTGATATGTGGGAGCTAAGCTATGAGGATGCAAAGGCATAAGAATGATACAATGGACTTTGGGGACTTGGGGGGAAGAGTGGGAAAGGGGGCAAGAGATAAAAGACTAAAAATATGGTACAGTGTATACTGCTCTGGTGGTGGGTGCACCAAAATCTCACAAATCACTACTAAAGAACTTACTCATGTAACCAAACACTACCTGTATGCCAATAACTTATGGAAAAATTTTAAAAAGTAAAAAAAAACATACTTAACTGCTAGTGGCCTACTATTGACTGGAAGCCTTACTGATAACATAAGCAGTATTAACATGTATTTTGTATGTTATACATATTAGATGCTGTATTCTTACAATAAAATAAGCTAGAGAAAAGAAAATATTATTAATAAAATCATAAGAAAGAGAAAATATGCATTATTTACTATTCATTAAGTGGAAGTGGAGCATCATAAATGTCTTTGTCCTCATGTTAACATGTCTTCATGTTAAGTGGCTGAGGAGGAGGAGAAAAAGGAGCGGTTGGTCTTGCGTCTCAGGAGTGACAGAGGTGGAAGAGGTGGAGAAGGTGAAAGGGGAGGCAGGAGAGGCAGGGCACACTGGTAACTTCTATTGAAAAAATCTTCTTATAAGTGGATTCATGCAGTTCAAACCTGTGTTGTTCAAGGATCAATTGTATTTGAACACTGCAGTACCAATGATGCTTCACAGTGCATTTGTGCATGGTCCAAAGTGGAGGCAAAACTGGAAAAGTGCCAGCAAGCTGTTCCTTACAGCCTCTGATGGCCTTATAACCTCTGTCTGGCTTCTTATCCTCTAAGACTTTGCCCTCCACACTTTATCTGATTTACAGCTGCTTGACAACAACCAAACTAAAAGGTTAACTCCATAACCGTACTTGGCCTCCTGAGTCTTCACAGGTATTTTAAAAAATCATCATAGGTAATTATCCATCCTCTAAATAGAAAATCAAGATAATTCATGTTCATGCCTCTCATCATCTTTCAGCAGACATTCAGATACCAGGTAAAAGTGGTCAATTTTGAGTTGTATGTGTCAAAGTAAATTGACAGTCTACTTAAGGGCTGGCTTTCTTCTCTGATAGATATTGCTATTCTCTGCTACTGAGAATTCACCCCGGGTAGATTTTGTAATCATTATTGTTTCTTTTCTTCTTTTTTCTTCAGCAATTCTTCTATTCACTGAGTACATTCTATGTAATAGACATTGTGTGAGGTATTTGACAGTTAGAAGATCTGGACTTTTCCAGGCTTTGCCACTAATTAACACTGAATCTAAGATGTCATCAATTATAAGATGTACCATTATTTATGTAACACTAAGAAACAAAAAGTACTTAAGTTATAATACTTCTTAATTACTTATAAATTTTATTGTATAGCTTTTAAAAGAAGTTTTTTAGACTTATTTAAGCACAGATTTTAATCATATTTCACTATTATGCATATATCTAAAAGGGAAATATGAATGGAATAAACTGATTTAATTCCTAAGGATTTTTCAAATTTATTGTCTAACTCTTTTGAATCATTTTTCGTTACAAAATTTCCATGTCCATGTTTTGGTTTTACGTCTGTGTCATACCATAGAGTACATATGATCTTGTCCTCTATGTTTTCGAGAGCTCTGGTAACACAGCATTTCTTAAGATGGTGCTCCACTATTGTTCCTGCAATTTCCTTGCAAGCTGCTGACACTCATTCTGCAAGTGCTGATATTGGCACATTCTTGCCTGATGAGGTGTAGGTAAAGCTTTTGGATGAACACGAATGGCAAAATCCAGCAGAGTTTCATCTACCTGTGGATATCTTCCTTTCCTAGATAACCATAAAGCAGTTGCTTGTTGCATTGAAAGAAAATGTAAAATTGTCATCATTCCTTCCATGACAGATATTTGTTTCATTAATATCAAATTTACACCCTGCTGCTCTGTTTCTCCGCTTCTCTGTATTCACATTATCTTAATGTTTTAATACCAAATCATGGAATAATCCATTAAAGATACTTCAAGTGCTAGTTAAATTTAAACTTAAATACCAGTTATATTTATTACTACATTGCTATGTGAACAAATAACACTACATATAAGTCTATTGAAATGGTAATATGAACACTGTGTGGTCAAGCTGGTGCCCATCCATGTGATAACTACGTGACAGTGCCCACCTGGCTGCCAATGATAGTAAGACACCACCAGCCATTAGAAACATCTTGATTTCAGAATGTTAATATAGGGAAGTGGGAATATATCTTGGAATTGATGAAATATGTAGATTTTAAATAAAGTCAAGAATGTGTTTAGATTTGTTCACTTAAGCATCAGTTCCAATGTTTCCCCTTTTCTCTATGTGGGATCATTAGTAGTTGCAAAGTGAGCTTGAGAAGGAAATCCAGGGATTCTACCCACACTTTTGCATAATTTAAATAAAAATACTCAGTGTGATTGTGTTTCTTTCTGCTGATGTTAAGAACACAGCCTATGTAAAGCAGCAAGGTTTTAAGTCTAGTTCAGTCCCAGACATGGTTTAGGGAGCTTGATTTGAAGACAGACATCTCATTTCAGGACTCTTTTTTTCCTGGTTCTCTTCGTCTATTACAAAAGCACATCAAGGAAGCCTTTCTCTCAGAGAAAATCTGAATATTCACTAATAACACCTGAAATGGGGCCAGGCGCGGTGGCTCACGCCTGTAATCCCAGCACTTTGGGAGGCCCAGGTGGGTAGATCACGAGGTCAGGAGATCGAGACCATCCTGCCTGACACGGTGAAACTCTGTCTCTACTAAAAAGTACAAAAAAAAATTAGCCGGGCGTGGTGGCGGGCGCCTGTAGTCCCAGCTACTCAGGAGGCTGAGGCAGGAGAATGGCGTGAACCTGGGAGGTGGAGCTTGCAGTGAGCCGAGATCGCGCCACTGCACTCCAGCCTGGGCAACAGTGCAAGACTCCGTCTCAAAATAAATAAATAAATAAATAACACCTGAAATGACTCAAAATGATTCTCTTTCTAGGATTATGTGCATTTTAATAGGGAACTCTGAAAGATAGAAAGAAGCCTTCAGAACCCAGAAGAGTTAGTCTCCCAAAGAGGATATGTGTGGGGTGATATTTTGGTTGAGAGAGATTTCCTAGTGCACCTCCTTTTTCTGCCTACTCGTGAAGATGGCTCAGCTTCCTAACAGACATGTGGGTGTAAGCCACAGATTTCCTCAGTGAATTGTCTCACCAGGGCCAGTCCCTGGGACTGGAGATTTGCTGAAAAGCTTCTTATTTTGAGATTAAAAAGAATGAAAGATATTTTTTGGAAGGCCAAGAATATCACGATCATGCCAGATATCCAAATTTCCCTAGCATTACTTTCTCATCTTTCAAATAATACGGTTAGATAGAGTAATCTCTAACATCCCTCCCTGCTCTCCCATTTTATCATTCTGTGTCATGATCCAGTGAAAAGAAAACTGGGAGAGAAGAGAGGATGACTGATTCCTGGTCCCAAATATGCCATCACTTAGTTATTTAACCTAGTACAGGTCACTTAGCCTCTCTAAACCTCAATGGCAAAAGGAGAAAGTTGAAGAAAACTTTGTCTAAAATTCTATCAAGGTCTACATTCTGTCCAAAGCTTCCACTTGTAAGGGATCATGTCATTTCTACTCTTTGGAAACCCTCATTCAGAGATACATATCAAATGTTATTTTAGCTCAGAAAAAGAGAACTTAGAAAGAGAGTAAACAAAATCAAATGGAAACCAATTTTGGATTCTTTAGATGAGTATTACAGTAAAGAAAGGGGAAACTTTAAAAGTATAAAATATAGAGAGGTTGTGGACCTAAAAGAATATCAACATAATGTACTATTTTATTTTGAAAGCCCTTTAATGAACATCCTTGGAAGGAAAATAAATAACTATGCCATTGAGAAAGGTAGAGTTTACAGTGTGTTTAATCAGAAAAGCCTGCTACGAAAAGCTAAATCAAAACCCCTGCATGACAGAGTGTTGATGACTTGCAAGGAGTGGCTACTGTTAGTAGCAGCAGCACCATGAAGTCCAAAGTGACAACAGATAAAGTGTAGCTCATTTGGAGTATGGGGTTTTGGGGCAGAACATAGAGATGATAAGCTCCATAAACATAGCTCTGGTCAATAAATTAGGGGGAAGCTCTACTATATGCATCATGAAAACCAGTGAAAAGCTCTCGAGTATATTGTTAGCAATGGAAAACATTTGTGGCCAAACCAACAATCATATTTAGGATACGATGCCAGAATTTCTGCCAGGCATCTTTGAAAGGGAATGTCTTTTTAAATAACATAATTTCAATTGACTGAAGAATGTGTTAATTCCTGCTGATGGTTCTTTGTGGTGTAATGAAAGTAATATCAGCATAATAATTAAGAAAGGACAGAATTCTTCACTGGTAGTCAATTATATGTGAGGGTGTGATGTTGTGCTGTGACCTCAAACAGGAGAAAAAGATTAGAACATAAAATTAACGTATGATAGTTGCAACCCTACAAGTAGGGGCCATGTTTGGATTATCTGTTTTCTCTCTTCACCCATAAATTCACCCTTTGAGCAATAAATAGCCAGCTCACATACAAGGCAATCTTCTGATTAGTTTTCACCTTGTTCCCCCAAAGCCACATAAAAAAGGTACCACTTTAGATGATGAAGCCAGACCTAATGGCCTAGCTGCATCATATAAAGGTTCCACACTGAATGAGCTGTGTGGATTCCAAAAGCTTAAAAAGCAATTCCTGGGTTTGAGTTTTCCATTAAAAGAGTTTTTTTTTTTTTTCTTTAAAAGAGCCAATTTGAAATCTACTAAGATTCTTCATGATGTTATTCCTGTTCTGCTGTGTACCTGAAGTGGTGACTCAATTTGTAGCCCATTAGACAACATGTGGGCTAAACCTTCAGAAAAATCAGAAAATGGACCCAGAGTCTGTATAACAATTCAATTAAAACTATATATTGATCTCATCTTATAATCTAGGCACTGGCACAAGGGATATGGAGGAAAATCGATGTATTAGTTATTTTTTTCTGTATGACAAATAGCTTCAAATATCTCAAGAACTTGCTGCAATGAATATTTGTTTGATACTCATGAGTCATAAGTTGGCTGTCATTTCAACGATCTCAGCCAGCCTAGGCCTAACACTACCTATGGTTCATGTCTGCTCCACATTGTAGAACTCAATCTGAAGATGCAGTGGCTCTTTGGGCCATGCTGTTTTCATGGATGGTAGGAGCTCAAAAGAGCTGGTGGAAACTTGCAATACATGTCAGTCATGAATTTATTGCCTCTCAACTCCAAATTCACCCTTCAGTACCTGCTCTGCAACAATAGCCTAGACTCTTAAATCATTTGTCCTTTATAGTAAACATGTCCTTTACAGTCAGCTTTGTCAGTAGAGGGACATTACAGGAGGAAGGGGCCTTCTTTTCCTGGTTCCATTGTGCTGATTTTTGCTTTTTCTTGCTTCTGCTGCATGGTGCATGTGTATAGGGACATCTAGTGGTGCTCTGTCCCAGCTATGTGCTGAGAGTGTACCAAAACTCAGTAATCCCACAGCCTGGCCCAGATCCAGTGATCTCCATGACATGGCCCTCCTAAGGTGGACACTGGTGAACTCCAGGCCTCATGCTGGCAGTGATACCCCAGCTCTCTCTGCACACCCACCCAAGTGCCTTGGCTCACTGGTGCCCCAGTGATTAGTTTCTACAGCCCTCCCACAAAGGCACCATGTATCAAGGGCTGTGTACCACCCTGCCAGTGAGTGGACTGCAGATACCCTGACTCCCTCTATGCCCCAGCCTATCAGCCTCTGTGGCTGTGTGACTGTGGCCCAGCTCTGGTCAGGGCAACCCAGCAAACTTCTTCATTATCCAGTAGGCTGTGGCCACATCCTCTGCAATGAGGTCTAAACGCATCCTTGGGGAACAGGCCCTCTTCTAAGTTTTTCCTCCTTGATTCCTCTCTCTTCCTCCCCACTCCTCTTTGTCTCTCTCTCTAAGTTATCCCTTAGAGTTACTTTTATGTCTTTATATTAAACTTCTGCACCACAAACCTTACCCTGTTTACCATGCTTTTCCTGGCCACCTCCTCGTTACTGGCCTCCCAACACGCTTCTTTCTTGATTTCAGTTAAAGATGATATTTAAGTCTGAAATCAAAGCCATCTCTTAAAGAGTTACTCATTTCCCTTGAGTATCTCCCATGTATACATGAGGTATACATGCTATTAAACTTCTGTTGGATTTTCTCTTGTTAATCTGTCTTTTGTTAAAGACATCCATCTCAATTAAGAACTCAGAAGGATAGAGGAGAAAATTATTTTTTCCTCCCCTCCACAAACATATGAGAAGTGAACCTCCAGCATTAGATTTTCAAAAATGAATAAGACATTATCATATGCCTCAAAGAGCTTCAAGTCTCATAGAGAAAACCTGCATATAAATGCATAATTTATAGGCCCAAAATTATAAAGTGAAACGCTGGACGTGTAAGTATAGAGTTAACAACAACAAAAAAGTATCAAGAAAATTGTGGAGGGAGGAACATCTGATCTGATCACGAGTCAAGAAGACCCATGGTGAATAGCAAGGTTGTGCGCAGAGTTAGACTTAAGGGGGAAGGGATGAAAGAGGCAGAAGGAATACAAACCATAGGAAGGCCAGAAAGAGTCATATCATGAGCTGACATTTGTATAGCATTTCCCACATTTCAAATTATAATCACACCCCACTATCCTATTTGATTTTTAATGAACTCATTGAAGTTAAACTATAGTGCCAATGCACAGAAATGTTTCCCAGCTGATGGGAAACATCTTGAAATGAATCCAAGCTTAGATTATTTCTGCTCAATGTAGAGCAAGAGTTGAAAACTGTTTTTATGTGAGAAAAAGACTATATATTAGCCCCAAGTGGGAATTGAGAAGAAAAATGTTCTATCCATTCAAATTGTTTCTAAACATAAATCAAATGTGACATTGGCCCCTGAGATATTATGAGCAGCATGGTATCATCCTTGTTTCTAACCAGAGAAATGTTATTGTTTTAAAATTCTGCCAAAATTCCCCAGGGAGCAATATTTCCTTCGTTTGTGCTTTTATTTCTCCCTCTCTGGAAGAAGCTACAATAACATTGTCTTACAGTCTTGTTTCCACATACACACGTGCATATATTCTCCTCATTCTCCAAAAATGGAACCCATATTTCAAGGGTCAGTCAAGGCCCACTCCTCTGCTTCATTTCATCCTTTTTCAGAACTCCCACTTCTCATACCCTGCTCCCATAGCTGGCTGTGAACCATAAAAAATTTTTTTCTGGGCCCCACTTGAATTTCACAATCTCTGGGGCTGGGTCTGCATGTTAGTTTCCCATATGATTTTAATGTGGCCCAGCATCCATCAGCTGGGAACCATCAATTAATAAACATCACATGATTAATACTGTACTTAATTGTCTGATTTATATGTTACTGTATGTTCTATATCAGTGCTTCTCAACCTTTAAAGTCCATATGAATCAGGGAAACATCTTGTTAAAATGCATATTCTGGGTCAGCAGATCTGGGATGGGGCCTTAGATTCTGCATTTCTTTTTCTTTTCTTTTTTTTTTTTTTTGAGACAGGGTCTCACTTTCTTGCCTAGACTAGAGTGCAGTGGTGCGATCTCAGCTCACTGCAACCTCCACTTCCCAGGCTCAAGCCATTCTCCTGTCTCAGCCTCCCAAGTCGCTGGAATTACAGGCGTGCAACACCATGCCTGGCTAATTTTTGTATTTTTAGTAGAGACGGGGTTTCACCATGTTGGCCAGGCTGGTCTCGAACTCCTGACCTCAAATGATTCACCTGCCTTGGCTTCCTAAAGTGCTGGGATTACAGGCGTGAGCCACCACGCCCGGCCTAATTTTAATTCTTATAACAACCTTAGGAGATAGTATGATTATTTGAGGAAACTAGAGAGGTTAGAAAAGTTACACAAGGTCATACAGCTACTAGCTGGCAGAACTGGGTCTAGAACCCAGATCTAGGAGGAAGAAGGAGGAGAGTAAATACCACTCTCCCAGCACTCTTTCCATTGATTTACCTTCTAGTTCTCTTATCCTACCATAAATCATTTCACCAAAGAGTTATTTCTCCCTTTCATGTATTCCCTGCCCCTGTCCTATTCTTAGATATACTTAAAAGAGAGCCAAGAGTCCCCAACACTGAGAATCACCTTAGCTCATCCCATACTCCAGCCTTCTTTTTTATCTTTTAGTGCAGCCAGCCCCACCCTGCAGTTTAGGCTGCTCTCATAGAGATGGCATAAGGATAATTTTGATTTGATAAGACAGATTAAAGGATAATGTTCAAAAAAGGTAAAATCATCACTCTTATGCAAGTATAAAATGATTACATCACATATTTTTATTTAACCCATCAATTAACAGGGACCTGGAAAAGACGTTACAACCAGTTCATAGAAGAAGGCAAAGAACCATAAATGTATGTACAGTTGTTGAAATAAGTTTGCAAAAAAGTGGTCTAACCATTGGGCAGTAATGAATTGCATTTCACTAGACACAGCTAATTTGCATTTCTATGTAATGTAATAAGTATTTACATTGCCATCAGTTTTCCACCAGTTAACATCTATCTCTTCAGAGTCATATAATA
Source organism: Homo sapiens (assembly GCF_000001405.40). NCBI lineage: Eukaryota > Metazoa > Chordata > Mammalia > Primates > Hominidae > Homo > Homo sapiens. The sequence continues at coordinate 16,215,753 of NC_000023.11, forward strand.
GCCTAGACAAAGGCAAAGGCGCACACCCTTGTGGCAAGAGATAATCCCCAGAGGTTCCAGCATTTCATTAAAAAAATACTCAGTAGTTTCTTTTGTCCTATAGGAACCAAGAAAGGAAACATCCTCTTTGCCCTCTAAAGGTTCAACTGAATAGCAACTGACAAAAGGCAGATTAACAGGAGAAAAGGCATGCAAATTTATTAACCTGTATGGGAGAGAATCACAGAGTGATTACTCCACCCCCCAATGGGATATAGAACCTTATATACCCTTTTTCTGTAGAGGAGGGAGGAGATGGGAAATGTAGACAATTATTTTGAGGGACAATAAGAGATTATTAGGAAGAATGAATGAACCAGAGATAAATTAACTTATATGTGAATCTCTTTGGAATTTTAATGAACCCAAGAGGCAGGTATTATCTCATGGAAAAGTTCATCCAGGTGTGGCTGCATTCTTCCGTCTTCTTTTCTGCAATAGATAAGGTAACTGGGAGGGGATAGAAGACAGTTGTGTTTCTTTTGATAATAAATTTTCTTGGTCAGATAAGGAACTTCCAGAGAGAGTTCTTCCCTACACTGGGTGGGAGAGGAACAAGGTTAGAGGGACCTTGATTCTGAGGCTTATTTCTGAGGCCTTTCAATTTTCAAAAGCATTTAGCATGCCCGAGTGCCATGTCTTAGTCCATTTGTGTTGCTATAAAGGAAAACCTGAGGCTGAGTAATTTATAAAGACAAGAAGTTTATTTGGCTCATGGTTCTCCTGGCTGAAAGATTGGGCATCTGGTGAAAGCCTCAGACTGCTTTCACTCAAGGCAGAAGGCAAACGGGAGCCAGTGTGTGCAGAGATCACATAGTGAGTGAGGAAGCAAAAAGACACGGGGAGGGAGGGGTGCCTCACTCTTTTTAACAAGTTCTTGCAGGAACTAATAGAGTGAAAACTCACTCATTACTGTGAGGGTGGCGCCCAGACATTCATGACAGATATGCCACCATGACCCAGTAATCTCTCATTAGGTTCAACTTCCAACATTGGGAATCAAATTTTAACATGAGATTTTTGTAGGGTCTGTGAAATAAAATATTTCAAACTTAAAATAATTCATACTTAAAGCTGTTAGTGTCACACGCATCTGTGTGAAGAGACCACCAAACAGCCTTTGTGTTAGCAACAAGGCTGTTTATTTCACCTGGGTGCAGGCAGGCTGAGTCCGAAAAAGGAGTCAGCAAAGGGTGGTGGGATTATCACTGGTTCTTATAGGTTTGGGATAGGCGTACAAAGTACATTCTCAAGGGCGGGGAGAATATTACAAAGTACCTTCTTAAGGGCAGGGGAGAATATATGTATCAGGGTGGGGCAGGAACAAATCACAATGGTGGAATGTCATCAGTTAAGGCTATTTTCAGTGATTTTGTGGATCTTCCGTTGCTTCAGGCCATCTGGATGTATACATGCAGGTCACAGGGGATATGATGGCTGAGCTTGGGCTCAGAGGCCTGACATTCCTGTCTTCTTATATTAATAAGAAAAACAAAACAATACAGTGGTGAAGTGCTGGGACAGCGAACATTTTTTGGGGTGGTATGGAGAGATAACGGACGATGTTTCTCAGGGCTGCTTCGAGCGAGATTAGGGTCAGCGTGGGAACCTAGAGTGGGAGAGATTAAACTGAAGAAAGATTTTGGGGTAAGGGGTGATATTGTGGGGTTGTTAGAAGGAGCATTTGTCGTATAGAATGATTGGTGATGGCCTGGATGTGGTTTTTATATGAATTGAGAAACTAAACAGAAGACACAAGGTCCAAATAAAAGAAGGAGAAAAATAGGTATTAAAGGACTAAGAATTGGGAGTACCCAGGACATCCAATTAGAGAGTGTCCAAGGGGGTTCAACGTAATTATTTGCTTGGTTGGAGAGTTTTTGGGCTCTATCCTTGAGTTTTTTTTAATGTTGACATATACCAGGCCAGATTGATTTAGGTAAAAACAACACTCTTCATTTAAAAATATACAGAGTCCTCCTTTTTCAGCAGTGAGTAAATCGAGGCCTCGGTGATTTTGGAGGAAAGAGAAATGCAAAGCCAGCAATTGTTTGTTAAAGAAGGATTAGAAATGGCTAGGAGAGAGTGAGTGAGATTGATAGTGTGGTGGAGATAGCTGGGGAAAGGTAGAGGGTGGCATAAGAACGGGAACGAGAATAAGAGTGAGTATAAAAGTAAAGAATAGGACTTCATCAGGGTGAAAGTGTTGGAGTGTGTCCTGTCAGCAAAGATCATCTATCCACTCCAAGAGGGAGTCAAGAGTGGCGGATTGGGGATAGATTTTCACAATGGAAAGGAAATGAGAAGTTTTAAGAGGCAGGCTAATGGCTTGTAACCTACATGGAAGAGGTTATGAATACAACAGGCCTGTGAGGCTGGAAGGAGATACAAATTTTTTTGGTTTAAGAACCATCTGCCTTGAGTGGAGAGGGAGTGATAGGTGGAAACTTCAGTGGGAGAGTAAATAGGAGTGACCAATGAGAAGGAGAAAAACTGGCCATGAGGGACAGAAGTTGGAAAGCTAGCTGCTTCTTTAGCGACCTTATCAGCATAAGTGTTGCCCTGAGCAATGGGATCTGATGGCTTTTCATGGCCCTTGCAGTGAATGACTCCAGCTTCCTTTGGAAGTAAAGCAGCTTTAAGCAGAGTTTTTATTAAGGAGGCATTAATGATGGGGGACTCTTATGTAGTGAGGAAATTTCTTTCTGCCCATATAACAGCATGGTGGTACTGGATATGGAAGGCATATTTAGAATCAGTATAAATATTGACAAGTAGTCCCTTTGCAAGAGTGAGGGCCTGAGTTAAGGCAATGAGTTTGGCTTGCTGAGAGGTAGTGGAGGGGGGCAGGGCAGTAGCCTCAATGATAAATGTGGAAGATACTATAGCATAGCCTGCCTTTGCTGGTGAGTGGCAATTAGGCCTGGTGGAACTGCCATCAATAAACCAAGTGTGATCAGGGTGAGGAACAGGAAAGAAGGAAATATGGGGAAATGGAATGAATGTCAGGTGGATCAGAGAGATACAGTCATGGGGGTCAGGTGTGGTATCAGGAATAATGTGGGAGGCCGGATTGAAGTCTGGGCCAGCAACAATGGTGATTGTGGAAGACTCAACAAAGAGTGAGTATAGCTGAAGGGTCTTGGGGGCAGAAAGTATATGCGTTAAGTGTGAGGAAGAAAATAGATTTTGAAAGTTATGGGAACTGTAGAGAGTAAGTGGAGCATAGCTTGTGATTTTGAGGGCCTCTAAAAGTATTAAAGCAGTGGCAGCCACTGCATGCAAACATGAGGGCTAGGCTAAAACAGTAAGGTCAAGTTGTTGGGACAGAAAGGCTACAGGGTGCAGTCCTGGCTCTTGTGTAAGAATTCTGACCACACAGCCCTACACTTTGGCTGTGTGTAATGAAAAGGGTTGGGATGAGTTAGGGAGTGCTAGTGTGGGAGCAGCTTTTAGGGCTGTTTTTTAAGGAATGGAAAGGGGAGTGGGGAAAGGATTTAGGATTTATGGGGTCAACTAGGTTTATCTAGAACAGAATAACGGGTTGTGGAGGAGATGTTGAGGATAGGAGAGTATATGGGTTTGGCACCACGGGGTGGATAGGCAAGACAATTTGGTTGATAAGGCACAGACCCTGAACTAACCTGTAAGACTTGTCCAGTTTTTGGACAGGTAAAATGGGGGAATTGTAAGGGGGAGTTTATAGGCTTTAAAAGGCCAGGCTGTAGCAGGCAAATGATAACAGGCTTTAATCCTTTTAAAGTGTGCTGTGGGATGGGATATTGGCATTTAGCGGGGTAAGGGTGATTAGGTTTTAATGGGATGGTAAGGGGTGCATGATCGGTTGCCAAGGAGGGAGTAGAGGTGTCCCATACTTGTGGATTAAGGTGGGGAGATACAAGGGGAGGATGTGAAGGAGATTTGAACTGGGGAAAAAGGCGGCAATGAGGTGTGGCTGTAGCCTAGGAATAGTCAGGGAAGCAGATAATTTAGTTAAAATGTCTTGACCTAATAAGGGAGCTGGGCAGGTGAGGATAACTGAAAAAGAGTGCATAAAAGAATGTTGTCCAAGTTGGCATCAGAGTTGGGGAGTTTTAAGAGGTTTAGAAGACTGGCCGTCAATACCCACAACAGTTATGGAGGCAAAGGAAACAGGCCCTTGAAAAGAAGGTAATGTAGAGTGGGTAGCCTCCATATTGATTAAGAAGGGGACGGACTTACCCTCCACTGTAAGAGTTACCCAAAGTGTCTGTGACGGTCCAGGAGGCTTCTGAGGCGATCGGGCAGTGTCAGTCTTCAGCCACTCAGCCAAGAAGATCTGGGAAGGAGTCAGAGAGCCTTGGGCCAGAGTTCCAGCGGCTCTGGGAGTGGCTGCCAGGTGAGCTGGACAGTCCGATTTCCAGTGGGGTCCCACACAGATGGGACGCAGCTTAGGAGGAATCCTGGGCTGCAGGCATTCCTCAGCCCAGTGGCCAGATTTCCAGCACTTAAAGCAAGCTCCTGGGGGAGGCGATCCTGGAGGAATGCCTGGCCACTGCGGTTCAGATGTTTTGAAGTTCTTGTGTGCTGGAGATGTGGCTGGGGTTTCTCTCACAGCAGAGGCAAGTAATTGCAACTCTTCTCTCTTATTGCACACCTTGAAGGCAGGGTCAATTAAGTCCTGTTGTGGGGTTGAGGGCCAGAATCTAATTTTTGGAGCTTTTTCTAATGTCGGGAGTGGGTTGGGTAATAAAATGCATATTGAGAATAAGACGGCCTTCTGGGCCCTCTGGGTCTAAGGCAGTAAAGTGTCTAAGGGTTGTTGCCAAACGGGCCATGAACTGGGCTGGGTTTTTATATTTGATGAAAAAGAGCCTAAACACTAACTGATTTGGGAGAGGTTGGATAAAGAAAAAGGAGCATTAACCTTGGCTATGCCTTCAGCTCCAGCTACCTCTCTAAAAGAAAATTGTTGGGCAGGTTGGGGAGGGCTAGTCGTGGAATGAAACTGTAAGCCAGACCTGGCGTGAGGAGGGGAGGTAATAGGAGGGTTATAGGGTGGGGGAGTGGAGGCTGAAGAAGAGTTGGGACCTGGCTCGGCCTGGCGACGAGCAGCTTGAGGAGAAGGGGAGAGGTCAGATGAGTCCGTAGAAAAGAAGCATTCAAAGGACTCAGAACTTGGGGTGGAGACTGAAGGAACAGACAGGAGAGAAAGAAGAAAGATTTGGAACGAGTCGCATTGGGAGGAGAGACTAGGGAGGGACTGATGTGTAAAAGAATGCCTGGACGTCAGGCACCTCAGACCATTTGCCCATTTTTCGACAAAAATCATCCAGGTCTTGTAAAATGGAGAAATCAAAAGTGCTGTTTTCTGGCTACTTGGAACTATTGTCGAGTTTGTACTGGGGCCAAGCGGCATAGCAGAAGAAAATAAGATGTTAAGGTTTTAGGTCAGGTGTGAGTTGAAGAGGTTTTAAGTTTTTGAGAACACAGGCTAAGGGAGAAGAAGGAGGAATGGAGGGTGGAAGGTTGCCCATAGTGAAGGAGGCAAGCCCAGAGAAAAGAGAGGGTAGAGACATGGAGAAGGGGGTTGGGGATGAGCAGCCCTGGGCTGCAATGTGGGTGAGCAGCCTAAGCAGGCGTCCCTGCAATTGACTTGCCACCAAGGAAATGTGGGTGAATGACCAAGGCAGGCATCCCCACAATGATCAGACACCAATGAAATGTGGGTGAATAATCAGGCAGGTGTCCTCGCAGTGATTAAACACCAAGGGAAGACTGTCTTCTCAAGTCCGTGACCGGCTCCGGAGTTTTGGGTCCATGGATAAAATGTGTCTCCTTGTCTCTACTAGAGGGGAAAAAGAACTGGAATTGGAAGGACAGGGAGATTGAAGGGTAGCGAGAGAGGAAGATTGAAGGGTAGCAAGAGAGGCTGGAGAAGAGTGAACAGACGGCTTACCTGATTTGAAATTGGTGAGATGTTCCTTGCGCTGGTTGGTCAGAGGGCCCAAGGTCATAGGTGGATCTCCTCATGGAGTGAGGATGAGGACAGGGGACTGCTCTCCCGAAGGAGTCCTCCTGTCCCGGGTTTTGGCACCAAATGTCATGCACGTCTGTGTGAAGAGACCACCAAACAGCCTTTGTGTGAGCAACAAGGCTGTTTATTTCACCTGGGTGCAGGCAGGCTGAGTCCAAAAAAGGAGTCAGCAAAGGGTGGTGGGATTATCATTAGTTCTTATAGGTTTGGGATAGGCATACAAAGCACATTCTGAAGGGTGGGGAGAATATTACAAAGTATCTTCTTAAGGGCAGGGGAGAATATATGTATCAGTTAGGGTGGGGCAAGAACAAATCATAGTGGTGGAATGTCATCAGTTAAGGCTATTTTCAGTGATTTTGTGGATCTTCTGTTGCTTCAGGCCATCTGGATGTATACATGCAGGTCACAGGGGATATGATGGCTTAGCTTGGGCTCAGAGGCCTGACATAACTTTAAATTATTCTTAGCCTTGAGAGGAATGTGGCTATGCAGCCTGAGTCATGCAACATGCAACTGCAACTTCTGCCTTTTTTTCCCCTGTAAATAATAAAATCAAATGGAGCCAGAGATAAGACCCACTCAGATCACTATCCCTCCTAATGGAGTAATAATGTCATCTTCCTTGGAATGTAAATGTAACCAATCAAATTGTTGTGAGGTATGCACTGGTCTCTATGGAAAATGTTGTAATCCTGCTAAAATATCTCTGTCTCTGCCTATATAAGTGAAACTTTTACTTCTCCACTTTTTGGAATGCTGACCCCATTCATTTGGAGTCTGTTCCCAGGTGGCATTCCTCAAGCTTGGTGCTCAAATAAACTCTATACTGAATCATATTTTCTGAATCACATTATTTAAGGTTGGCATGTCAAACAGACCAAACTACAGCATTGTAGCCCTAGCCCCCTGAATCTCATGTCCTTCCCACATGCAAAATACAACCATCCCTTCCCAATAGTCTCCCAAAGTCTTAACTGGCTCCACCACCAACTTAAAAGTTCAAAGTCTCATCTGAGACCAAGGCAATTTCCTTACAGTTGTGAATCTGAAAAATAAAAAACAATGTATTTGCTTCCAAGATAAAATGGTTGTACAGGTATTGAGTAAACATTCCCATTCCAAAAGCAAATCCAAAACCTTGCAGGGCAGAAATTAAATCTTAAAACTTCAAAATAATCTCCTTTGAATCCATGACCTACATCCTGGACACACTGGTGTAAGGGATAGGTTCACAAGGCCTTGGGCAGTTCTGCCCCCATGGCTTTCCTGGGCACAGCCTTTGTAGATGCTCTCATGGGTTGGAGTTGAATGCTTACAGTTTTTCCAGGCTGGAGTTACATGCTGCTGATGGCTCTATTAATGCTGGAGTCTCAAGAGTGGTGGTCCTACTCCCACAGCTCTACTAGGCAATACCCTGATGGGAACTCTGCAGAGGCAACAATTCCACCTTTCTTCTCAGCATTGCCTTGGTAGAGCCTTTCTGTGGGAACTTTGCCCCTATAGCAGGCTTCTGTCTGGGCACCAAGACTTTCCAATATACCCTCTGAAATCTAAGTGGAAACTGTTAAGCCTCCACCACTCTTGCATTCTGGGAGCTTGCAGAATTAAAACCACATGGAAGCTGGCAAAGCTTATGGCTTGCACTCCCTGGAGTGGTACTTGGGGCCCCTTGAGCTGTGGCTGGAGCCAGAGCAGCTGGTATGCAGGGAGCAGCATCCCAAGGTGGTGCAGTCTAGCAGTACCCTGGTTCTGTTCCCTAAAACCATTCTATCCTCCTAGGCCTCTGGTCCTGTGATGGGAGGGAGTAATCTTTAAGATGGCTGAAATGCTTTGGGGGTCTTTTTCCCATCATCTTTACTATTAGCACCTGGCTCCCTTTTATCGGTGCTAATCTCTCTAGCAAATGATTGCTCCATAGCATCCTTGGATTCCTCTCCTGAAAATGCTTTTTTTTTTTTTTCTCTACTGCATGGCCAGGCTGTGAATTTCCCAAATTTGTATGTACCGCTTCCTTTTCAATTATAAATTCCACCTTTAGGTCATTCCTTTGCTGCCATATCTGATGGTGAGCAGTTAAAAGTAGCCACATTACTTTTTGAATGCTTTGCTGCCAAGAAATTTCTTCCCCAGTTATCCTAGGTCATTGCTCTTAAGTTCAGCCTTCCATAAAGCCCTAGGGCATAGACATAATGCAGTCAAATTATTTGCTGCAGTGTAACAAGGGCGATCTATGCTCCAGTCCCAAAGTTTCTCATTGTCATCTGATACCACAGTTCAGCATGGCCTTTACTATCTATATTTCTATCAGCTTTTTGATCACAATTATTTAACCAATCTCTAAGAAGTTCCAACATTTCTCGTCTGTTTGAATTCTTCTGAACTCTCCAAACTCTTCTAGCTTCTGCCCATTACCCAGTTCCAAAGCTGCTTCCACATTTTCAAGTTTCTTTATGGCAAACCCCACTCCTCAGTACCAATGTTCCGTCTTAGTCCATTTAGTGTTGCTATAAAGGAATACCTGAGGCTGACTAATTTATAAAGAAAAGATGTTTATTTGGCCCATGATTCTGCTGGCTGAAAGATTGAGTATCGGCTGAAAGCCTCAGGCTGTTTCTACTCATGACAGAAAGTGAAGGGGAGCTGGCATATACAGAGATCACATAGTGAGAGAGGAAGCAAAAATACAGAGGGAGGAGGTATCATGCTCTTTTTAACAACCAGTTCTCACAGGAACTAATAGAGCAAGAACTCACTCATTTTTGCAAGGACAGCACCATGCCATTCATGAGTGATCCACTCCCATGACCAAGCACCTCCCACTAGGCCCCACCTCCAACATTGGGGATCAAATTTTAACATGAGGTTTAGAGGGTCCTACAAATCAAACTATAGCATGCCATATTTTGAGGAATCATCTTCTGTACCCTAATAGTCCATTTTAAGGTTTTATATTTTTCCTTATACTCTCTTTCTCCCTATCTCTTAGAGATCAAAGTAATCTCTATGAATGATTATTTATGATCACAAAATAAAACTAGTCTCATTAGATTTGGCCTGATTATTTACATAGGTGTAGGAAGTTTTAGTTTACCACATAGGCCTTCCTAAATTAGCTTTGCTGGAAGTTTACATTAAAAACTCAGATTTAACGACCTCTACTATTTGCAGTCCTGAGGCTAGGAAACCAAGCCCAAGAAATGCTCTGCACAAAATTTCATTTGCACTATCTATACCTTCTCCTCAAGGTCCCGCAAGTGTACTAAGGTTCCTGGCTCCTGGCCTGCCAGAAAGCAATGTTTCTGAGCTCATGTAAGGCTGGACTCTCTAGGTATCGTGAGTTTTCCTGGAAGGATTTTGTGGGCATTTGCTCCAAAAGTAAAGCCAATTTTAGTCCATAAAAATGTCTGGCATATCTAATTCAATTAGCATAATTCTCAAATATGACACTTCAGGCACGATCTTGCTCATATAACTGTTTCTTCTAATTATATTCTAGTAAAAAGGATGGCAGGTTCTTAATTAAACTATGCAAATAACTATATTTCTAGGAAAAATAAGGAAACAAAATTTTGGAATTCAAGGGGCAGTGGTAGAGGGAGAAAAGGTGTCAGAGAGAATCAGATATAATTTTAAATGTTGTGGGTTACAAAAATGTTTATCATCTGATGAAAAAATAAAATGTGCCAAATCCATACAATGAAATATTCCTTTTTATTCAGCAATCAAAAGGAATGAAGTACTGATATACCTACAATATGCATGTACCTTGAAAACACAATGCTAAGTGAAAGAAGCCAGTCACAAAAGACCACATTGCTGCATGATTCCATTTATATGAAATGCCTAGAATAGGCAAATCTATAGGAACAGAAAGTAGATTAGTTGTTGTTGGGGGCTGGAGATGATGGGAGGAATGACTGCTAATAACTACAGAATTTCTTTTTAGGATGATGAAAATGTTCTAATTGTGTTCATGGTGTGGTGATGGCAATATTCACTCTGTGAATGTACTAAAAAGCACTGAATTTTATATTTTAAATGGGTGAAATCTACGGTATATAAATTATATCTCAGTAAAACTGTTTAAAAATGTTGCGGGTTACAGATAGCTTAAGTAGAAAAAGAAAAGTTTTCTTATACAATACAGGAAAAAAACCACTAAAACAGCTTTATTCCAAACAAATTCAACTTTATTCCAAACAAGTAATCACAACAAATTTTCTCTTATCAGTTTATTCAGTCCTATGTAAAGTTATTATTCTGATGGAGTGTCAGTAGTGTTATGAAACTATTTACTTGTTGGCTAAAAAGAGTTCTGAAAATCCTGACTCAGTCCACTGATATGATTTCAAATATGTCTAAATGACACCATCAGAAGCCTGTACTCAGGATTTTTTTCATAGTGTCAATAATTACCTGTCATAGTCTTTCACAGCACTCTGAGATGGTTCTTCATTTACTGAAGACAAAAACATGATTTATAGCTTATAATGATAATTAGAGTAAAATAAAAGCTATCTGTAGAGCAAGGAGACTTTCACTGAAAATCAACTTTCACTAAAAATTCTCATATGTGAAATGTTTGATGAAAGTTTATAAGAATAATGCAACTGACAAGGAAATTGCATTCTTCCAGGACGTGAAAAGCAAAGATAATAAAGTCATTCTAAAAATGTCCACAAAATGTCTTGAAAACAGTGATTATGCCTATTTTCAACAAAGCTAGTAAACATTACATTTGATGTATAAAAATGGAAGAAGACAAAAATGGATGAACATATTTTTTTAAAGGGAAAAATCCTGATATATATAATAATCTGAAACATAACTAATATACCAAGAAATATACCAAGCAAAAATCAAAATATATCAAGCAAAAATCAAAGAAGTTGTCAGAGGAGTCTTGCACACTTGGTTAAAATACAATTGTGGGTGCCTGAGAAGTAACATTTGGCTCTATATTACATCAGTGTCAATAAAACATTTTAAAATAAAAAAAAAGAAGGCAACATGATTGTAAAGAATCTTTGTTCTTTTACAAGTGAGGAATGACAAACCTTTGTTCTTTTTTTTTTCCACATAGTCAAAGATATAATAAAATCAACATAAAGCCCAGGGAATTATTCTGGTTAGACACAGAATTTCTATCTGGAAAGTATAAAACAACTGTCTCTAATGTAGGCAAAGCCAATAAGCAGTAAACCAAGGAAATAAAGCCACCAAAATTGAGCACACTTTGCTAAGATTTTAACACATTTTATAACTTGTTTTCAAACTTGGGTATTATAAGCCAGGGCAAATGAGATTTACTTTCCAAGGTTTGTCCTTCATTAGCTCCTTCACATTCTGGAACAATCTGACACTTTAAGACAGATCTTAGGGCACCCAAAAGGTCAGCATTAATTTCACTGTAATAGTAAGATGTTACTAACATGCAATGTATTCATCATTGCTATTTTTAAAGGAACCAATAAGTAAGTATTTTAAAATGGTCTCAGTTTTCATTTCTACTATAGTATGTATTGATAGTTAACCTACATATACAAAAGTTTTTTTGGGCTCCTCAGTAAGCTCCAAGAGTATAAAGAGGTTCAGACACCAAAAAGGAAAAAGAAGCTGAATACTACTGCATTAAGGCATACATACTCTTTTTCCTTGAGAAAAAAAGGCACATGCACAGTTGTGTTTTTCTGCCACTATTTCTGCTAGGGTATCTCAGCCACTCATTAATTATAACCTTTAACAAAAGTAACTAACTTCTATTACATGAAGTAAACAGGGAGGGGAAAATAATTGAGAACTTTTGGCCCTCCACAAGTGTTTCAGCAAACAGGCAAAGCTCTTCAGACAACCTTCTACAGTCACACAACCCCTTTTTATACTTTGTCAAAGTGGCAAAAATGAACACATTCTTTGACATGGCCGAAAGATATAACCTCTTCTTTGGTATACACAAATTAAGAGCAAAACTTTATAAAGATAAAATTATGCTTGGTAATTATATGACCTAGGTATCGAATGGTGATTCATTAATTAACTCAATTTACTATCATCCCCACTGTCAGGCCTCTGAGCCCAAGCCAAGCCATCATATCCCCTGCACATACACATCCAGATGGCCGGTTCCTGCCTTAACTGATGACATTCCACCACAAAAGAAGTGAAAATGGCTTGTTCCTGCCTGAACTGATGACATTATCTTGTGAAATTCCTTCTCCTGGCTCATCCTGGCTCAAAAGCTCCCTTACTGAGCACCTTGTGACCCCCACCCCTGCCAGCCAGAGAACAACCCCCCACTTTGACTGTAATTTTCCTTTACCTACCCAAATCTTATAAAATGGCCCCACCCCTATCTCCCTTTGCTGACTGTCTTTTTGGACTCAGCCCGCCTGCACCCAGGTGAAATAAACAGCCTTGTTGCTCACACAAAGCCTGTTTGGTGGTCTCTTCACACGGACGTGAGTGAAACCCATCCCCAATTTTTTTTACATTTTTTTTTCTTTTTCTTTTTTTTTTTTTTTTGAGACAGGCTCTTGCTATATTACCCAGGTTGACCTCAAACTCCTGGGTTCAGGCAATCCTCCTGCCTCAGCCTCCACACACCACTGTGCCTGCCCCTATCATCCCCAAATTTTAAGGTACTTTAAAATTGTGGAAATTATCTTTAAGCTGACATACTACAAAACATAATTGCTGCTGAAATTCAAAGTTTTTTAGAATATAATTTCTTGACCTTTTGGCTAAGATCAAATGTAGAATAATGATGCAATTTAATTAACATAAATCTACATTTTCCATAATCTTAAACATTAGGAGTAATGTTACCTTATTTGATCTGTATACATTTAGGAAAAACATATGCAAATAGAATAAAAATGTATTCAACACTGGTAAGTCAGAGAAGACATAGTTGTTTTTATTAAACCAAAATTATTTAATTAGTCTTATTTGCCAAAATTACATGGACTTGGATTCTTAAAATATTTTTGAGTTAGTTTTTCTGAAAACTTTTTAGTACCTTTAAAATATTAGAAGTGTCCTTATTTTCTGAAATATGGGGAATATTCATTTTCTGTATGCATTCATTTATATCTATAAACCAATGTAGATTGACAGTTCAAGGAGCTCAGAATAGAGTTTCTTTAATTTGAGATGCTTCATAATCTAATTGGTTAACATCCTCCAGAGATAGGAAAACTGCACACTCAAAAGGGGGTAAAGATCTTTCCGAATTATAGCTTCAGTTCTAAAATTGTAGCCATGGGTCAAGGGTACACAGAGAAACACAAAAGCTCACTGGTCCAGATATCAAAGAGCTCTTCTCTTTCTGGGCATAAAATTCTTTATTGATTTAATTTCACAAAAAAGCAAATGGACAAACAAACAAAAACCTAACAGCCCAGATTCTCTGATATCACTTTTCAACATAGAACAGATCTGTACCATCCATTAATCTATTTACAGCGATCACTAAAGGATGAGATCACAAAACAAAATTTCAAACAGTTGCAGTATAGCATAGTGTTTAAGGATGTGGGCTCCAAATTCAAGCTGCCTAGGATGCAATCCCAGCTTTACCACTTATTAGCCATGTGACCTTGAGGAAGTCACATTTCTTTGTTCCATAAAATAAGGATAATAATAGTACCTTCCTATTGGGTTGTTGTGAGTTTTGATATGATAATAAGAGCAACTGGCATGTTGTTAGCCGTGTTCTTATGTTAATTCTTCTTGATAGACACTAAACTTCAAATAAAAAGCCCTAGCTTATAAATCAATGACTTCAAATGCAGCAGGACTCTCTGTGATAACTCAGAAAATGCCTTATTAGTCTCCGAGTTTCTTCCCATCTCAATTCCCTGAATGGGTGTTCCAAGGTCTCTCTCCAAGGCCCAATAACTTACTTTTTCCATCCTCCCTCTTATTAGCTGTCAGTTCCTCCTCCTACTTTATTGACAAAATGAAGAGCATCACGTAGAAATTCTATCAGCTTTTAGTTTACACAAACTGCCTACCCCAACACTACTCCCATTCTCTTTGTTACTGTGTCAGAAGAAATGAGTTACCTTTTCCTATAGAAGGACAATTCCATGTATTAGATCCCACAACATTTACATCTCATCAAAGACTGTTACCCAATATTTACCTCTTTCTCTGTTTCTGTCAACTGCTTCCTCCACACAATCTTTTTTAAAAATCAAGCATATGTGTTAAAATGACTCCAGCCTATACAAAGCAAAAACTTCTTCAACCCATCCTCCCCAATGTGTTTCCTTTCTTTAAGAACTATACTTCTTCAAAGAATACTGTAGCGTGCTCCTTGTCTCCACTTTCAAATCACTCCTTTACCATCTCAATCAATTTCTGTTTTATGTCCATCTGCACCAGGTCAATGGAGTGATCCCATTGTTACCACTGATGGCCTCAATAATGCCATATCCCACAGGCATGTGTCCATCCCCACCTCACTTGTCTTTATAGTGGTGTTTGACACTAATGACCACTGACTAGATAGGACATTTTATTCAATCATGATATCCTTCAAGGATGTTTGGCTGTTTTTGATCTTTTATGTTCCACGTAAATTTACAATCAGTTTGGCAAGTTCCCAGAAAAAAAAAAAGTTGAGATTGTTTTGAGATTGCATTGAATCTCTATATCAATTTAAGAAGAAGTCACATTGTTATAATATTGAATTTTCTGCTACTTAAAGAAAATACATCTATCCATTTCTTTAAATGTTTTTCAGTGTTGCTATAAAGTTTTTATATATTTATTTCTATGGAGTTCTTCAGCATCTCTCACCTGAGATTTATTCCCAGGTACTTGCTGTTTCTTTTTTATTTATTTATTTATTTATTTATTTTATTTTATTATTATTACACTTTAAGTTTTAGGGTACATGTCCACAATGTGCAGGTTAGTTACATATGTATACATGTGCCATGCTGGTGTGCTGCACCCATTGACTTGTCATTTAGCATTAGGTATATCTCCTAATGCTATCCCTCCCCCCTCCCACTACCCCACAACAGTCCCTAGAGTGTGATGTTCCCCTTCCTGTGTCCATGTGTTCTCATTGTTCAATTCCCACCTATGAGTGAGAACATGTGGTGTTTGGTTTTTTGTCCTTGAGATAGTTTACTAAGAATGATGATTTCCAATTTCATCCATGTCCCTACAAAGGACATGAACTCATCATTTTTTATGGCTGCATAGTAGTCCATGGTGTATATGTGCCACATTTTCTTAATCCAGTCTATCATTGTTGGACATTTGGGTTGGTTCCAAGTCTTTGCTATTGTGAATAGTGCCGCAATAAACATACGTGTGCATGTGTCTTTATAGCAGCATGATTTATAGTCCTTTGGGTATATACCCAGTAATGGGATGGCTGGGTCAAATGGTATTTCTAGTTCTAGATCCCTGAGGAATCGCCACACTGACTTCCACAATGGTTGAACTAGTTTACAGTCCCACCAACAGTGTAAAAGTGTTCCTATTTCTTCACATCCTCTCCAGCACCTGTTGTTTCCTGACTTTTTAATGATGGCCATTCTAACTGGTGTGAGATGGTATCTCATTGTGGTTTTGATTTGCATTTCTCTGATGGCCAGTGATGGTGAGCATTTTTTCATGTGTTTTTTGGCTGCATAAATGTCTTCTTTTGAGAAGTGTCTGTTCATGTCCTTCGCCCACTTTTTGATGGGGTTGTTTGTTTTTTTCTTGTAAATTTGTTGGAGTTCATTGTAGATTCTGGATATTAGCCCTTTGTCAGATGAGTAGGTTGTGAAAATTTTCTCCCATTTTGTAGGTTGCCTGTTCACTCTGATGGTAGTTTCTTTTGCTGTGCAGAAGCTCTTTAGTTTAATTAGATCTCATTTGTCAATTTTGGCTTTTCTTGCCATTGCTTTTGGTGTTTTAGACATGAAGTCCTTGCCCATGACATAGGCATGCCTATGTCCTGAATGCTAATGCCTAGGTTTTCTTCTAGGGTTTTTATGGTTTTAGGTCTAACATTTAAGTCTTTAATCCATCTTGAATTAATTTTTGTATAAGGTGTAAGGAAAGGATCCAGTTTCAGCTTTCTACATATGGCTAGCCAGTTTTCCCAGCACCATTTATTAAATAGGGAATCCTTTCCCCATTGCTTGTTTTTCTCAGGTTTGTCAAAGATCAGATAGTTGTAGATATGCGGCGTTATTTCTGAGGGCTCTGTTCTGTTCCATTGATCTATATCTCTGTTTTGGTACCAGTACCATGCTGTTTTGGTTACTGTAGCCTTGTAGTATAGTTTGAAGTCAGGTAGCGTGATGCCTCCAGCTTTGTTCTTTTGGCTTAGGATTGACTTGGCCATGCGGGCTCTTTTTTGTTTCCATATGAACTTTAAAGTAGTTTTTTCCAATTCTGTGAAGAAAGTCATTGGTAGCTTGATGGGGATGGCATTGAATCTATAAATTACCTTGGGCAGTATGGCCATTTTCACGATATTGATTCTTCCTACCCATGAGCATGGAATGTTCTTCCATTTGTTTGTATCCTCTTTTATTTCATTGAGCAGTGGTTTGTAGTTCTCCTTGAAGAGGTCCTTCACGTCCCTTGTAAGGTGGATTCCTAGGTATTTTATTCTCTTTGAAGCAATTGTGAATGCGAGTTCACTCATGATTTGGCTCTCTGTCTGTCTGTTATTGGTGTATGAGAATGCTTGTGATTTTTGTACATTGATTTTGTATCCTGAGACTTTGCTGAAGTTGCTTATCAGCTTAAGGAGATTTTGGGCTGAGACAATGGGGTTTTCTAGATCTACAATCATGTCATCTGCAAACAGGGACAATTTGACTTCCTCTTTTCCTAATTGAATACCCTTTATTTCCTTCTCCTGACTAATTGCCCTGGCCAGAACTTCCAACACTATGTTGAATAGGAGTGATGAGAGAGGGCATCCCTGTCTTGTGCCAGTTTTCAAAGGGAATGCTTCCAGTTTTTGCCCATTCAGTATGATATTGGTTGTGGGTTTGTCATAGATAGCTCTTATTATTTTGAGATACGTCCCATCAATACCTAATTTATTGAGAGTTTTTAGCATGAAGGGTTGTTGAATTTTGTCAAAGGCCTTTTCTGCATCTATTGAGATAATCATGTGGTTTTTGTCTTTGGTTCTGTTTATATGCTGGATTACATTTATTGATTTGCATGTATTGAACCAGCCTTGCATCCCAGGGATGAAGCCCACTTGATCATGGTGGATAAACTTTTTGATGTGCTGCTGGATTTGGTTTGCCAGTATTTTATTGAGGATTTTTGCATCAATGTTCATCAAGGATATTGGTCTAAAATTCTCTTTTTTTGTTGTGTCTCTGCCAGGCTTTGGTATCAGGATGATGCTGGCCTCATAAAATGAGTGAGGGAGGATTCCCTCTTTTTCTATTGATTGCAAGAGTTTCAGAAGGAATGGTACTAGTTCCTCCTTGTACCTCTGGTAGAATTCGGCTGTGAATCCATCTGGTCCTGGACTCTTTTTGGTTGGTAAGCTATTGACTATTGCCACAATTTCAGAGCCTGTTATTGGTCTATTCAGAGATTCAACTTCTTCCTGGTTTAGTCTTGGGAGGGTGTATGTGTCGAGGAATTTATCCATTTCTTCTAGATTTTCTAGTTTATTTGCATAGAGGTGTTTATAGGATTCTCTGATGGTAGTTTGTATTTCTGTGGGATCGGTGGTGATATCCCCTTTATCATTTTTTATTGTGTCTATTTGATTCTTCTCTCCTTTCTTCTTTATTACTCTTGCTAGTGATCTATCTATCAATTTTGTTGATCCTTTCAAAAAACCAGCTCCTGGATTCATTAATTTTTTGAAGGGTTTTTGTGTCTCTATTTCCTTCAGTTCTGCTCTGATTTTAGTTATTTCTTGCCTTCTGCTAGCTTGTGAATGTGTTTGCTCTTGCTTTTCTAGTTCTTTTAATTGTGATGTTAGGGTGTCAATTTTGGATCTTTCCTGCTTTCTCTTGTGGGCATTTAGTGCTATAAATTTCCCTCTACACACTGCTTTGAATGTGTCCCAGAGATTCTGGTATGTTGTATCTTTGTTCTCGTCGGTTTCAAAGAACGTCTTTATTTCTGCCTTCATTTCGTTATGTACCCAGTAGTCATTCAGGAGCAGGTTGTTCAGTTTCCATGTAGTTGAGCAGTTTTGAGTGAGTTTCTTAATCCTGAGTTCTAGTTTGATTGCACTGTGGTCTGAGAGACAGTTTGTTTTAATTTCTGTTCTTTTACATTTGCTGAGGAGAGCTTTACTTCCAACTATGTGGTCCATTTTGGAATAGGTGTGGTGTGGTGTGGTGCTGAAAAAAATGTATATTCTGTTGATTTGGGGTGGAGATTTCTGTAGATGTCTATTAGGTCCGCTTGGTGCAGAGCTGAGTTCAATTCCTGGGTATCCTTATGAACTTTCTGTCTCATTGATCTGTCTAATGTTGACAGTGGGGTGTTAAAGTCTCCCATTAGTATTGTGTGGGAGTCTAAGTCTCTTTGTAGGTCACTCAGGACTTGCTTTATGAATCTGGGTGCTCCTGTATTGGGTGCATATATATTTAGGATAATTAGCTCTTCTTGTTGAATTGATCCCTTTACCATTATGTAATGGCCTTCTTTGTCTCTTTTGATCTTTGTTGGTTTAAAGTCTGTTTTATCAGAGACTAGGATTGCAACCCCTGCCTTTTTTTGTTTTCCATTTGCTTGGTAGATCTTCCTCCATCCTTTTATTTTGAGCCTATGTGTGTCTCTGCATGTGAGATGGGTTTCCTGAATACAGCACACTGATGGGATTTGACTCTTTATCCACTTTGCCAGTCTGTGTCTTTTAATTGGAGCATTTAGTCCATTTACATTTAAAGTTAATGTTGTTATGTGCGAATTTGATCCTGTCATTATGATGTTAGCTGGTTATTTTGCTCATTAGTTGATGCAGTTTCTTCCTAGCCTCGATGGTCTTTACAATTTGGCATGATTTTGCAGTGGCTGGTACCAGTTGTTCCTTTCCATGTTTAGTGCTTCCTTCAGGAGCTCTTTTAGGGCAGGCCTGGTGGTGACAAAATCTCTCAGCATTTGCTTGTCTGTAAAGTATTTTATTTCTCCTTCACTTATGAAGCTTAGTGTGGCTGGATATGAAATTCTGGGTTGAAAATTCTTTTCTTTAAGAATGTTGAATATTGGCCCCCACTCCCTTCTGGCTTGTAGAGTTTCTGCCAAGAGATCTGCTGTTAGTCTGATGGGCTTCCCTTTGTGGGTAACCCGACCTTTCTCTCTGGCTGCCCTTACCATTTTTTCCTTCATTTCAACTTTGGTGAATCTGACAATTATGTGTCTTGGAGTTGTTCTGCTCGAGGAGTATCTTTGTGGCATTCTCTGTATTTCCTGAATCTGAATGTTGCCCTGCCTTGCTAGATTGGGGAAGTTCTCCTGGATAATATCCTGCAGAGTGTTTTCCAACTTGGTTCCATTCTCCCTGTCACTTTCAGGTACACCAATCAGATGTAGATTTGGTCTTTTCACATAGTCCCATATTTCTTGGAGGCTTTGTTCATTTCTTTTTATTCTTTTTTCTCTAAACTTCCCTTGTCGCTTCATTTCATTCATTTCATCTTCCATCACTGATACCCTTTCTTCTAGTTGATGGCATCGGCTCCTGAGGCTTCTGCATTCTTCGCACAGTTCTCGAGCCTTGGCATTCAGCTCCATCAGCTCCTTTAAGCACTTCTCTGTACTGGTTATTCTAGTTATACATTCGTCTAAATTTTTTTCAAAGTTTTTAACTTCTTTGCCTTTGGTTTGAATTTCCTCCTGTAGCTCAGAGTAGTTTGATCGTCTGAAGCCTTCTTCTCTCAACTCATCAAAGTCATTCTCTGTCCAGCTTTGTTCCATTGCTGGTGAGGAACTGCGTTCCTTTGGAGGAGGAGAGGCGCTCTGCTTTTTAGAGTTTCCAGTTTTTCTGCTCTGTTTTGTCCTCATATTTGTGGATTTATCTACTTTTGGTCTTTGATGATGGTGATGTACAGATGGGTTTTTGGTGTGGATGTCCTTTCTGTTCGTTAGTTTTCCTTCTATCAGACAGGACCCTCAGCTGCAGGTCTGTTGGAGTTTGCTAGAGGTCCACTCCAGACCCTGTTTGCCTGGGTATCAGCAGTGGTGGCTGCAGATCAGCGGATTTTCGTGAACCGTGAATGCTGCTGTCTGATCGTTCCTCTGGAAGTTTTGTCTCAGAGGAGTACCCGGCCATGTGAGGTGTCAGTCTGCCCCTACTGGGGGGTGCCTCCCAGTTAGGCTGCTCTGGGGTCAGTGGTCAGGGACCTACTTGAAGAGGCAGTCTGCCCGTTCTCAGATCTCCAGCTGCGTGCTGGAAGAACCATTGCTCTCTTCAAAGCTGTCAGACAGGGACATTTAAGTCTGCAGAGGTTACTGCTGTCTTTTCGTTTGTCTGTGCCCTGCCCCTAGAGGTGGAGCCTACAGAGGCAGGCAGGCCTCCTTGAGCTGTGGTGGGCTCCACCCAGTTGGAGCTTCCCGGCTGCTTCGTTTACCTAAGCAAGCCTGGGCAATGACAGGCGCCCCTCCCCCAGCCTGGCTGCCACCTTGCAGTTTGATCTCAGACTGCTGTGCTAGCAATCAGCGAGACTCCATGGGCATAGGACCCTCCAAGCCAGGTGCAGGATATAATCTCCTGGTACGCCGTTTTTTAAGTCTGTCGGAAAAGCACACTATTAGGGTGGGAGTGACCTGATTTTCCAGGTGCTGTCTGTCACTCCTTTCTTTGACTAGGAAAGGGAACTCCCTGACCCCTTGCGCTTCCCGAGTGAGGCAATGCCTTGCCCTGCTTCAGCTCATGCACAGTGCGCTGCACCCACTGTCCTGCGCCCACTGTCTGGCACTCCGTAGTGAGATGAACCTGGTACCTCAGATGGAAATGCAGAAATCACCCGTCTTCTGTGTCGCTCACGCTGGGAGCTGTAGACCGGAGCTGTTCCTATTCGGCCATCTTGGCTGCCCCCCCCAGGTTGGTGTATTATTGTCCCCAGTGAAGATAAGTAACTCACTCAAGATCAGAAAGCTATTTAGTGGAATGTTTTAACTACTATACATGAGAATTTACTTTGATGTCATTTCAGGATACATTTTTATATACCTTACTCCTCCTGAATTTAGTTATAATTTTTGTCTGTTTCTTTTATTTGTTCCGGCATAAGATTTTGTTTGACAGAAGTATTTTTTCTACTGCTAATTTGGGGGGAAAACCATCAAAGTTTAAAATCTTCCATAAAAGGAATTATGGAGAGAAAACAGATATGGTTTTGCTTTATGGAATCTGAAAAAAAAGGCCAAATTAGCTTATGCTGAAATCCTACCTTTGGCATCCTGAAGAATGACACGAATAATAGATGAAAATTATTAAAATTTAATGATTCCCTGAGATTCCAAGGAATGAATATTTTTGTCTGTTCAGGCTGCTATAATAAAATATGATAGATTGGGCAATTTATAGATAATAGAAGTTTAGTTCTCACAGTCCTGGAGGCTAGGAAGTTCATGATCAAACAGATTCATTGACTGGTGAGGGCTCACCCTCTGTTTCAAAGATAGCATCTTCTTGCTGTGCCCTTACATAACATAAGGGACAAACAGGCTCCCCAGAGCCTCTTTTATAAGGGCAGTAATCTCATTCATGAGGGCAGGTGACCTAATCACTTTCCAAAGGCCCACCTCTTAATGCCACCCCGTTGAGGATTAGGTCTCAACATATGAATTTTGGGAGGACACAAACATATTAGACCATGGCAGATGATGGAAGAAGATGTACTGAGCTCATCTTCAAAGTTTCTAAATTTTCATTCACGCCATTACGTTGCCACTTGTTCTATGCATTCTCATGATGCTCTCCATTTGTAAAGTGTTTTCTCCAGAGAAGAGTCCCCAAGGAACAGTGAGGCACATGGCATGCAAGACTCCCCATAGGAAATAACTCTTTACCCACGTCCTTTGTTCTGACACCCAAAGCAGCTCTGGGCAGACAAAGCCTCATTCCAAGAAGTATCTTCACAGCAACTGTCAATAGGGACAATCACCAGGTTTCAAATAAAGGCCAATCCAGGGGCACCTGACACAACCCCCCTCCTCCCATTGCCACAAGCCAGCAGGTGGGCCTTCTCTGGAATAACATAAAAACCTAAACAGAGTAACTCATCTGAAATGATTTGTAATAATAAAATGGTGCCCAAAGAGCCTTGTGGAAACATCTGAAGTTCCAAGGCAGAGGTTATCCTAGGCTTGTGGGGGATAACTTTGGAAAAGACTGGTCTAGTTATTTAAGTCAAGCAGGCCCAGCTGTTTTGCATTTGAGAGTGCAGACTGCGTAAAGAAACAGATCAGCAGAATAACTTGGCGTTTTAGTTCAGTAACTTTAAGATTTTTCAATATCATGATCTTATTTCACCTTCCTGAGATGGGACCAAAGCACAGCTACTTCTCAGCACCAAACAAATGCATTGTGAAGTTAATAGGAAAGAGAATAAATCACTGATTGGGGTGGCAGAGAAGAATTCCTTACAGCTTACTTCAAAACCAATATTTAAAGGATTTTTATTAGACAAAAAGTTTTCTAGAAAATATTATTATGGGGGCCTCATTTACTGTATTCTTTTTGTAATACAAAATAAATGATTTTAGCTACGACCTGACTAGGGAAATGGTGAATGGACGGAGAGGGAATGTTGGTATTTATTAGCCATTTGGTATAACGGAAAAAGCATTGAACTTGGAAATTAAAAGAGCTGGATTTGTTATGAGTTAATCATGAAACCTTGGATAAGTCACTTAGCCCAGTGAATCTCAAACTGTAGTGATTCTGAAAAAAATCACACGGAGAACTTGTTTAAAACACAGATTCCTGGGATAGGGCCTGAAACTGCATTTCTAACAAACTGCCAGGTGATGCTGATGCTGCTGATCTGGGGGCCACACTTTGAGGAGTAAGGGAGTCTTAGGCTCTACTCTCCTTATTTTTAAAAGGAGTCTACCATGTTAGATGATTGCATAGGTCTCTTCTGGCCCTGTAAAATTCTCTGAGGCCCAATTTTGTTTCACTTGTCCTTCTGAAAGTGTCTGCGATTTTTCTTTCTAATGGAGATGGCTAATGGTAGGACATAAATTAGATCACTGAGGGAAAAGCTGTCTTAGGGAAATTTTGCTGTTGTAAAGGTATTAACCATTAGGAACAGGTGCCTACTTAAATATTTTACATGACGTTTGAGTCTCCTAAGTGAAATGGAAAGAATCCTCTGGAAGGCTTCAGTTTAATTCTTGACTCTGCCACTTCCTAGCCCCATCACCTTAACCTTTCTTAGTTTCTTCATCCATAAAATGGGAAAACCAATTCCAAGTCCTTCCTATAGTGTTGGTCCCTAGAATATGCACTGAAAAGCACCTTGTAGGTTGGAAGGAGCCATGCAAGCGTAAGAAATGGCTGTATGCCAGGCGTGGTAAGCAGAGATCACAACACGGAGGCACTGAGCTGGTTTCAGGGTGATTCACTAGTGGTCATGTGGTTTTCTAACACCACTCTACAAACAGCATGGATCTTTGTTACAGCTCTGTATCTTAGTTTGTCCACAAGAATGTCTGTTACCTATTTTGTATAGGCCTGGCACTGAAAGGAGAAATCAAAAATCAAACGCTAATAACTGTATGAGTCACAGAAGCAGAACCACTAAGAGTAGTATGAAAGAAGAAATTCATTATAAAAATTAGACCTTATCAGTGGGGGAGGAACTGGGGAAGCAAACATTGGACAACAGGAGGTGGGCACTGAGGGGTCAGGGGAAGGTCACTAATCAGCCCTGGCATTACTGAATGAGAGCTTCTGGGCAAATTCTGGAGCTTAGCAGGTCCAGTGGCTGGAGTCAGACCATAGAGAGGAGCTGGTAGAGCTGTCATGGGAAGTTGTTGGCTCTTTGTGGCCACTACCTCTGTAAGTTTGTAGGGCAGCAACTCGTAGTGGGCCTGGGATTGCTGTTGGTCAGCAGGGGCTGAAGAGCTGAATGTGGAGGTGAGGAGAGTAAGGAGCAGATGGCCCCATAGACAGCTCTGCATCTGTGTCTCGCCACCTCTAGCCAACAATGACCTTCAGAATGCGATGGGTGCTGCTTCCCTTCTGTCTCCCAAATCTCGTATAGTCTCGCCTTTGGCCAACTCTCACTATGAACAATGTAGGAAAGGAGATTCTGGAAAACTTCATTCCTGGCATACAAAATTGACCATAAAATAATCCAGCACACTATCTGACAGCATTTCTGATGCATATACTGACTGAATAAGAGGGTATCATCTTATCCTAGGGGGACAAGTCATTCATCTCTAAAAGAGATAGAAAACAGCACTGTTTATGAAGAATAAGATGCATCACTCCCCTGAATAATACATTATAGTCATTTAAGCATCTTGAGAATGCACACACATGTGTAAAAAGTATAAGGCCTTATTTGTGTAGGTGTACACACACACAATCACAAAATACAAGCAATCTCCAGAAGTAACCAATACAAGCTCACATGACTCTCATCCCCACAGGATGACCTAGCAGAACCTGGAATGCAGGGAACACCAGTACACACTGTTAGAAGTGGGGGACAGCTCTGCATGTGGCTCCTGGAGAGTGTTTACCCAGTGTGTAAATAGCGGATAAGGCAGAAAGGGGAAACAATATGTGGTGCCTAGACTGTTGGTCCTCATTACTTGCAGATGCCATATTTATAAATGTACCTACTTGCTAAAGTTTCTTTATAACTCTCAAATCAATACTGGAGGTGCTTTTGCAATCATTCACAGACATGCTTAGGGTGGTGAAAAATGTTACTCACTCAATGCACACCCCCTCAGTTGAAGTCAAACAAGGCGTCACTCTGGCTTCTTGTTTCAACTTTCAGACTGTAAACAAGTGTACTTTTCATGGTCTGTTTAGTGCCACATTTTTGTGCTTTTTGTAGGTGATTTTGCTGCTTAAAGTGACCCCCAAGTATAGTGTTGAGGTACTGTCTAGTGTCCCTAATCATTATAAGGCTTTGATGTGCCTTTTGGAGAAAATACCTGTGCCAGGCATGAGTGATAGTGCTTTTGAAAAGGAGTTCAATGTTAATAAATCAACAATATATATTAAATAAGGTGTCTTTAAATAGAAACAAACATAAGATAAGGTCATGTATTGATCAGTTGATAAAAATGTTGTTATCAGAGACTCACAGGAACCTGTATTTCCCCTAGGAATACTGCTTCAGTATTCAGTAATGCAGTATTCAAGTATTCATGATGACTTCATAACTACTGCAAATAATGAGATTCAACAGTACATCTCTAAGAGGAAGGATGAATTACTTTCTGCTTCTCAAAAAGGCATAGATACAATGAGGAAAGGCAGATCCCAATCTGTCAGCCTTTTGTTGAGGCCTAAAATGATATTCTTAGTTTAGTGCTTTTCCAGCCCATTGCAATGCACATATCCCTGGGGTGACTGCCCTGTAAACTTTATCTGCAAATTACGCTTTAGTATGAATGAATCCCCAGTATTTTCCTGAGATCAGGTTATTATAGGGATGGCAGAGTAGACAGTTTGAACTTGGCTAGTTGAAGCAGGTTCAGAAAAGATTCCACATGAATGGGGAGGGGTTGAAGCAAAAGCAACTTGAGGTCCACAGACAACATTTTGTTTTGTTTTTAAAAATTTCATATCTTAACCTTATTGAAGAATATGTTATTCCCTTCTATTCACCAGCAGATTGTAAACTCCTTAAGAATCAGACATTAAAAGGTCTTGAATATTTGGAACTTTCCTATATGTTGTTGTTTTTAAGAAAATTATTTTTGAGCCAATATTTGCTTACATTATCTGCATAATATCTGTATATTTGTCACTCTCTTGCTCTAGGTCAGCCTTCTCTGATATCTGAACAGAACCTCTTTGGGATTACACAAAAAAGAATAGCCATAGGGAAAAAATGTGCTTCATATATTAAATGTGTAATGTTTTGCCATTCACAGAAGAATATTGAGGAAAAGAGAGAAGACATAGCAAATCTGAGACATGGTTTCCTTTTTTCCTTTCCCAGTCCTTCTCTCCCATTCTACCATTAGTTTTCCTTTTTTTCACTTTTTAAATAAATTTTTTATTTTTAATTTTTGTGTGTACATAGTAGGTGTATATGTTTATGGGCTACATAAGATGTTTTGATACAGGCATACAATGTGAAATAAGCACATCAGGGAAAATGGGGTATCTATCCCCTCAAGAATTTATCCTTTGTGTTACAAACAATCCAATTACACTCTTTATGTTATTGTAAAATGTACAATTAAATTATTATTAACTATAGTCACCCTGTTGTGCTATCAAATACTAGGTCTTATTCATTCTTTCCATTTTTTGTACCCATTAACCATCCTCACCTTCCCTTCATCCCCCACTACTCTTCCCAGCCTCTGGTAACCATCCCTCTACCCTCTATCTCCATGAGTTCAATTGTTTTGATTTTTAGATCTCACAAATGAATGAGAACATGTGATGTTTGTCTTTCTGTGCCTGTCTTATTTCACTTAACATAATGACCTCTAGTTCCAACCATGTTGTTGCAAATGATTAGATTTCTTTTTTTTATGGCTGAGTAGTACTCCATTATGTGTATGTACTGCATTTTCTTTATCCATTCATCTGTTGATGGACACTTAGGTTGTGTCCAAATCTTAGCTAAATAATGCTGCAACAAACATGCAGATATCTCTTCGATATACTGGTTTCCTTTCTTTTGGTCATATACCCTGCAGTGGGATTGCTGGATTGTATGGTAGCTCAATTTTTAGTTCTTCTGAGGAACATCCTAACTGTTCTCCATAGTGGTTGTACTAATTTACATTTCCACAAACAGTGTATGAGGGTTCCCTTTTCTCCACATCATCTCCAGCGTTTGTTATTGCCTGTCTTTTGGATATAAGCCATTTTAACTGGGTGAAATGATATCTCATTGTAATTTTGATCTGCATTTCTCTGATGATCAATGATGTTGAACACCTTTTCATATGCCTGATGGCCATTTATGTCTTTTTTTGAGACATGTCTATTCAAACCTTTTCCCCATTATTTAATTGGATTATCAGATTCTTTTCCTATAGAATCATTTGAGGTCCTTATATATTCTGGTTGTTAATCCCTTGTCAGATGGGTAGTTTGCAAATATTTTCTCTCATTCTGTGGGTTGTCTCTTTACTTTGTTGATTGCTTCCTTTGCTATCCAGAAGCTTTTTAACTTGATATGATCCCATTTGTCCATTTTTGCTTTGGTTGCCTGTGCTTGTGGGGTATTACTCAAGAAATTTTTGCCCAGACCAATGTCCTAGAGATTTTCCCCAGTGTTTTCTTCTAGTAGTTTCCACCATTTATTTTCTTCTGACATAACGATATTTCAAATCTTCCAATGTGCTGTATGATCACTTATCTCTGGGTCTTGCAAAGCTGGCACCTTGTCATGACATATGATTTTCTATGCCTTCCTTAACCTCTTAACTGCTCTTCATTTTTAGATCTCAACCTAGATTTCCCCTCATTAAACTTATGAGGCTCCCTAAGTTTTCCTTAGGTGTGGCACTGTGAACTTCTCATAAAATATCCTCATGTAGCATCATATGTTTCTTATAGACTAGCACTCCTCACGTGGGATCAAAATGCTCTGCTTACTCTGAGTTCTCTACTGGGCTAAAGTCTCAAAGATTTGGGAAAGATTTATCTTGCTTAGCACTGTGAGCAGTAGTTGCGTGATAGGCATGGGATACATTATGGTTGAATAGGTAAATAGCTAGCATGTCTCTTTCAATTTTGAGTCAGAAAAAAAGGAAAGATTTCATATGGGCTTTTCTAGCCCCCTGACAAGAACCTCTGAATGTTATCCACTGTTTCCATCCCTTGAGTCTATGCACGTTAACTTAAATATCATAGCTGTATTTTACGGACAGGTATAGCTTTGTAACAAACAATCTTAGTGGCGTACTGATATTTTTTGTGTTCATGTTAGCTGAGGAAGCTGTACTTTATGCTTTTATTCTGAGAGTTGGTTGTGGTGAATTTTTCCCTGTGGTTCATTTTGTGACCCAAGTTAAAGGGTTAACAGTTATACAGGAGACTTCTGCTCATGGTAAACCATGCGAGCAACTCTCAAGCCTCTGCTTATGCCATGTGTACTAATGCCCTATTGGTTTAAACAAAGGGCAGGTGAAGAATGAGAACTATTCTACCCCTCTGGGTCAATGTTGACAAGTTTCCCTCTTCTGGAGGAAGGGCACAG
This sequence comes from Homo sapiens, assembly GCF_000001405.40. NCBI lineage: Eukaryota > Metazoa > Chordata > Mammalia > Primates > Hominidae > Homo > Homo sapiens. The sequence goes on from NC_000023.11 coordinate 16,244,181, forward strand.
ATGAGGTTCTCCAGTATAACAATTTTGCTTTACATCTTGGGAAAGTATGAAATAGGGCATCAGATGTTTTGTAATAATATTGTAATAGTATAAGGAATTGGTGGGCCCTGTCCTACATGAAAATTTCCAAGACATCTCCTCTCTGGGTAACTAAAATCTCCCTAAGCAGAGGCCTTCCAGAGAAATAGTTATTAAAACACAAAGCAATGAAGGACTGCTTTAAACTGAGAGCACCATCTGCAAATAGCTCACCAAACCATTTAATTCGGACGACTAGCATTTTATGAACATGAACTGTGGGTCTTCCCATGACCGTGGCTATACCAATGGTGAGGTTTGGCAAAATGTTTTTGAGTTTTCCAGCAGGATTGATAGCATTAATTCCCATCAGGAAGACTTTCTCCTGTGGATTTTATTGTTTGTTTTTAAAATTTAAATCTTTTTTTTTTTAATCTGGAATTTACTTCTGGATGTGGTGCAAGCTAGGGTTTCAATTTTATTTTCTTCAAAATGTATAGACAGATGTGATAATACCATATATCTCTTTTCCTACTGAATTAAAATACTGACTTTATCCCATCTTATATTTTAATATATTTACTGAAGTATATTTCTGTGATCTCTATTACACTCCACCACTTTATTTGCACATCTCTATGCCAATACTATATTATTTTAACTATGCTGGTTTTATAGTATGTTAATAGCTAAGATAAGCCCTCCCATATATTCTATAACCTTCTCTATAATAATTTTCCTGGGCATTTAGACTTATATGTACTTTAATATCTATTATGTACTTAAAATTCCCATTGGGATTATAATTAATATTTCACTAAATTATGTATTGATTTTAAGTGAATGAGTTTTTGTGACACCAAGTATTTCCATTAAAGAATATGTATGTCTTATGAAAAAATGCTCATCATCACTGGTCATTAGAGAAATGCAAATCAAAACCACAATGAGATACCATCTCATGCCAGTTAGAACAGCAATCATTAAAAAGTCAGGAAACAACAGATGCTGGAGAGGTTGTGGGAAAATAGGAATGGTTTTACACTGTTGGTGGGAGTGTACATTAGTTCAACCATTGTGGAAGATAGTGTGGCGATTCCTCAAGGATCTAGAACTAGAAATACCACTTGACCCAGCAATCCCATTACTGGGCATATACCCAAAGGATTATAAATCATTCTACGATAAAGACACATGCACACGTATGTTTATTGCGGCACTATTCACAATAGCAAAGACTTGGAACCAACCCAGATGTCCATCAATGGTAGACTGGATTAAGAAAATGTGGCGCATATACACCATGGAATACTATGCAGCCATAAAAAAGGATGAGTTCATGTCCTTCGCAGGGACATGGATGAAGCTGGAAACCATCATTCTCAGCAAACTATCGCAAGATCAGGAAACCAAACACTGCATGTTCTCACTCATAAGTGGGAGTTGAACAATGAGAACACATGGACACAAGGAGGGGAACATCACACACTGGAGCCTGTGGGGAGTGGGGGCCTAGGGGAGGGATAATATTAGGAGAAATATCTAATGCAAGTGACGAGTTGATGGGTGCAGCAAACTACCATGGCACACGTATACCTATGTAACAAACCTGCATGTTCTGCGCATGTAACCCAGAACTTAAAGTATATATATATAAAAAGAATATGTATATCTTCCTATTCAGATATTGTTTTATGCCTTTAGTAATAGATGTAAAAGATCAAGGTTTGACTTAGGACAGAGAGAAGGCCAGTGTGGCTGGAACAGAGAACCAGGGTGGAAAGAGGGGAGATGAATGACCATAACCTGGAGGTCATTGTCACTCTTCCACATGACGACTGAAGATTTATTATGTGTTAATGTTAATGTTTATTCCTCAGAGGGCATTTTTAAAATCTCCCTTATTTTCAAGTTCTGGAGGAAGCCATACTGTGTATGTATTTATCACTTCAAAAGATGTTTTGTTTTTATAACTTGTTAAAGCACTTGTTAAATGTTACCTGAATAGAGACAAAAAATAGAATGGTGGTTTCCAGGGGCTGGAGAGAGAGGGAAATGGAGAGTTAATCTTTAATGGATACAGAGTTTTGGCTTGGGAAGATGAAAAAAGTTCTGGAGATGGTGGTGATGGTTGCACAACAGTGTGAATGTACTTAATGCCACTAAAGTGTATACTTTAAAAATAGTTACAATGGTAAATTTTATGTTATATACATTTTACCACAGTGAAATAAAGCAAAAGCAGCATGCAATTAGCTGGAGAAGAACCACATCAACCTCTATATGGGGTGTGGAGGCAATATTTGTTTCTTATAGCTAATATATACATATTTTTTAACAAAACCAAGTGCGTCTGCAGAATACAGTTAATATTTTTAGGGAAATCATGATAGCTGCTACTATATTAACCTTCAAAGAGAAAAGGCAGAGACATTTTAAAAGCTACTATTATTCAGTAGCTTACAAGATTTATTTCAGTTCTTTTGTATAAATAGAAAATGCACAAGTCTTTGAATAATAATTTATACTAAATGAGAATAAAGTCTATCTAAGAAAATACTTTTAAAGTATTACCATTGAAATGAAAATCAGCAATGAGAAGTTTCAAAGATTTCATTGATTTCTGATAATATATTCATAGATTTCAGTTGAAGAACTCTGACATTGACATGTTTCTTATGCTTGCTTTAAGACACATCTTGGAAAATGCCAAAGTAGTGGGCACCATTTGCTTCTGGAACCCTTTTATTTCCCTTCTGTATCCAGTCCCTATATTCTGGTATCCCTTTCCTTATCTTTCAAGTGTTCAGTGTACTTGGTGCTACTTTGATCACTTTGGTCTGATATGCAGCCTAGCATTCAGGAAAGGATGTGTGCTATGAGTTAGAAAGTGCTTTGTTTGAATCCTAGTTTGAATTTCTATCCAGTTCTATGACCTTGTGCCAGTGAATTAACCTCTCTGAACCTTGGTTTCCTCATTCATGATATGAGGATGCTCCTCTCAGTTACCTTGCTGTTATTACAGTGTTGCTTTGAAAATACTAAACCAGTGCCTGACTTTTCTACAGTATGTGATGTGATCAATAAATGCTATTCTCATCTCTTTTCCTGCGCCTCCTCATCCAGCCCTGACTTCAAAGACTTGGGTAATTTATTTATCTCTCCTCCTTCTCCTCATTCTCAATCCAACTCCCATCAAAAATGCAATTTCTTCTGTGTGACTAATATTAACTACTTGTTTGTTGAAAAGCAATCTGGACTAAACTAATGCACAACAAGGGGGAAAATAACACCTTGTCTGCTAAACTACTTGCTGTGGTTGTTGCATATTAAAAGAAGGTGCTTATAAACCTGACTGTAAGTGCAGTAACTTCAGGTGTAATTCAGAGGAGATATTTTGGGGACATTATGGGAATGGAAAAAAAACAATTATTGCTCGTTTTGAGAGTTTTATATTTTGTTTAAAATTTTTAGTTAAAGATTTTGGGGTATAATTTCTCTGATAGGTGGTTAGCTGTGTCATAGGTCATGCCATTAAAACTGTAGGGTGGGTGGTTACTGTAGGGTTAGTAAATAATAACAGGTGAATATAAAAATGTATCTAGAAACACTGGGTAGCTGGATATTTGATGGGAAGAAGAAGCTTGGAGCAACTTCATGGAAAGAAGGAAGCAGGTCTTTCATCAAAGAGCATCAGAAGAAGATGAGAAGAGCAAGAGGGAGAAAGGAGACCCATGGCAGCCTCCACTGATCAGGAAGAGTAAAAATGTTTCTGCAAGGATTAGGAGGTAATAGTGCAGTTGGGAGAAAAGGGCTTGTAAAATTCATGGCCCTGTTATGGCCATGGCTCTTGGTTATCTTTCTGAGAACAAAAACATGGGTCTCTTCCTCAGTTTGTTCTTGGGGCCCACAGAGTCCAGAGGTCACTTTGCTGCCTTTTAGCTCCATACTTCAAGAAGTGTTTTCTTATGATACTGTCAGCTCAGTCTGCATTTTGGATAGATTTCCCAAATCTCACAGTACTGGAGTGGAGAGTTTCCCTTTTTGTCTGGTTTTCAGTATCCCGTTTAAGTGAAGATAGATAAAATCAAACATGTAGCATGTTCTTTTCAGTTGCCGAACAGAGAAAAGTATAATTCAAAATAGAACAAATATATTATTTACTACATAATGTGTTTCCAAGAAAATGGTGCTAAATGGGTGGTCTTGTCATTACCAGACTTTATCACTCACATTATGCAAACATGGAAAATAGCAGTGAGCAAAGGGGCAAATGTGAATTTAGAGGAAAATGTATTTGCTTCAACAATGAGCTCTTTCCTCCCAGTTGAATTTACTACAAGTAGCTCTCTCTAACTGAAAAAAAAAATCCAAACTTATTATTACTCTTTGGTTGTCCATTCAATGATGACTCAAAGTCATCCTTGACATTTTGATCTTGCAAAATAAGTGGTTACTGTGGAGGTCCTATCCATGGACCATTTCATGCATACTTTCATTTTCTAAACTTCAATATTAATAAAAAGCATCCAGAGCCAGTGATTTTTAAGGTTTCAGGAATAATCACATCTTTGACTGTGAGCGTTATAATCCCAATGTGAATTATTTTTACTTCAATGATATGACTTTTTTTTTTTTAGTATTTACTTCCAATAATAATTATAAAACTTATGGAATTTTTTTCACTTCCTTCCACAAAAAAGGTGAAAATGAAGAGGCTAGGGAACCACATATGTTTATTATTTCTTTTCTTTCTTGGAATTGTGTTATCTCAAGACGGTTGGCTATACTGAACTCAAATCACTAAATACTAAATTTCTGCCAATTGTGTGCAGGACAAAGTTGTGGAGGTTGGGGGAGTTTCATGGACATATAGACAATATGTCCTCTGGTCCAAGCTGTTTATGATCAGTGTTAAATCAGAAATCCATAGAACAGGATACTAAAACACCAACTTTTCTTCTTAAAAATATGCTTTACTCATTTAATCTTCCAGTATTTATGAAGTAGGATTATTCTTATCCCCATTTTATAGATAGAAAGCTGAGGCTCAGGGAGGTTGAGCTAGTTAGTGGCAGAGCTGAGGTTTAAATCCAAGGCATAAACCCAAGGTTAATGCTCCAGTTCTCTGGTCTGAGCTTTTAATCACTCTGCAACACAGCCTTGCCAAAAGAGGCAAACTCTAATACAACAATAATGATGAGAACAAAAAAACAAAAGAAGACAAAAACTGAGATATAATCAGTGTTTTATCCTGAGATGAGCTGGGAATCAGTACACTTTCAATTGAATCTCATGGCCTTTAGAATGTTAGTACAGGGAGAAATAAAAAATACCATCTAGTCCAGTTGTCCCATTGCTGGGCACTTAAATAACTGTTTATCGAGGAATGGACTTTACATATGAGACACCCATGTTCCAGAATATAAATGATGTGTCCAGGGTCATAATTTAATTAAATTATAGTTTTGTAAGGGATCTGAGAAATGTTCTAGAAATTCTCCCAAGCAAAGCTGGAACACAGTCTCTCCATGAAATTCTTTCAGAGACTAGGCTGTCCTTTACATAAAAGTTAATTCCTCAAGAACAATGACACAGTTATGCACTGGGTGCTGTAGGAAAAGAGAACATACAGAGCGGTGGTCCTTTAGCCATATTAACCAACTATAGTAATCCTTATGAATCATTATTCCCATTTTACCATTGAGAAAGCTTAGGTTCAAGAAGTCCCCACAGTTACTCAGTTGTGGTGCAGGATGATCTGACAGCAAACCCAATGTTCATTCTCCTATACTACTCTTCCTTTCATTAAGAAATGTTCCTTCTCTAATGAAGATCAAACAATGATTGTAGCAGAACTGCTGGTGCCCTACCCGGATCCTTTTACCTAGCCAGAGGGCCCATCACCCAACTGCTGTGAGTGTTGCCTAATGTCCATAGCTGCCCCTTTCTCCAGAGAATTGCCAGCCCTAACAGGAAGCTCAAAGCTTGGGAGATTATGTCTTTGCCCTTCCCAAGGGCAGCCAATGACAGGCAACGTAGGGTACAAAATATCAGTCCCCTTTCCTCAAGGTGGGACAAATCTGTAATGCCGTTAATGCTCCAGAGTCTTCTGTGGATCAGGACAAGCATAGGTTTTATCTGAGAACAGATTGATGCTCTTCTCTTTCTCCTTCCCCATCCGGCTTCACTTAGTTTCTTTCAATTCCTCCACCCCCACCAAGAACAAACCCTTAAAAAATCACATTCATCCAAAGATTCAAAGTTTAGCCACATTTGATGGAAACTTGCCAGAATGTTTATGACTTGCCTTCCTTCCTGAACAGCATACCCAAAACAGTCTTCCCATTGCTTGAAGTAATATTGTGACATCCTCAAAGAAAATATAAGTGCACTGGGGAGTTTGTTTTGTGCTGAGTGACTTTATCTTGCCTAGCTCTCTCCTTCAGTGGCAATTTCTCAAGGCTTTGAAGTTCAGCATCCCTGGACTATAAAACCTAATGTCTGATACTTTTTTTTTAACCCAAACATTTAACATCTTTGAAATTGGGGTGTGTTATATATTTGTTGTTAGTCTAGATTGAATTCAAACTTTTCAACAGAGGAATTGTCTTTGTTTCTGCTCATCATCTGGAGCACTACTAACCTGACAACTCTTTAAATTAAATTCTCATGTTTTTACTTTTTAAAATCATGATGAATTCAGTCTGCGAATTTACTTGTTTGAATACCAGTTTGTGGTTCAAATCTCAGGGGAGATTTTTTTCCCTTCCTCTAATTAGAGGAAAGATTGAGGCATGCAGTTTTTTTTTCTGTTCTTTTCTACGTGGTAGCTTTATTTCTTCTTTATCCTTGCACTGAAGGTGTAGCCATTTTCTACCCTAAGTTTTACACAGTGGTCTCCTAATAAACTCCCCACATTTGTGGTATTTTTTACTTTCTATGTCATACACAAAATAATGGGCATCTTTCAATCAATGGCATAAAAGCTTGATAAAATACACAAATAATCCTAATTATCACCAGATAAATTAGCATTGTGGAGTCATTGGTGATCTTGACAAGTTTCGTTTCTGTGCAGTCGTGTGGATGAAAGCCTGATGAGAATGGACTTAAGAGAGAATGGAAGTCAGTACAGACAACTCATCTGAAGAGTCTGCTACAAAGGGAGCACAAAAATGAGGCAGTAGGTGGGGAAGTAAGTGGACCAAGGAAGAGGGGTCTCTTAGAGACGTAACACTGTGTTTGTGTGCTGCAGGGGCTGATCCCATAGAGAGGGAGATGAATTGCTGAAACTAGGTCCTGGAATATGCAAAAGGGCATGAAATCCAGTGCACATCTTGAGGGGCTGGCTTTACACAGGACAATGGACGGTTCATCAATGGTAACTGGCAGGTCAGCAGAGTATGCAAATACAGCGGTGAGAGTCTGGGGAAGTTCTTTTCTGATTCCTTCCACATTCCCGATGAAGCTGAAAGCAAGGTTAGCAGAACTGAAGACAGGGAAAACGTTTTGAAGGTTTGCAGAGAGAAGAGGGAATATGTAATATTCATCAAGGAGAGTGAGAGGGTGAATGGGGCAGGCAAGCAGAGGATGATTGCTGGCAGCACTAAGGCCCACTTGAAGTTTTGGTTCTGAATTGACCGGTCTGAGAAAGACCAGTCAATATGGTCTGTAATTTTCTTCAGGCATGGAGTAGGCAGAGAGGTTAATTTAACTGGGACTGTGTTTTGCAATGCTGAGTGTACTGAATGTGCTGAGAAACAGGGAACTGAGGAAGTATGCAAAGGAGTGACTACAAGGACGGTTCACGGACTTTAACCTGGAAAAAGAGAAAGGAGGGGCTATAAATGGGTTGAAATGATAGAAAGATCAATGAATTTGAGCTCTTGGTGGCAATAAAGTTCCAATAATACTGCGACTGTACTGGTATTAGAACATTTGAGATAGAGAGATAGGAGGTGGTGATTAGAGAGGAGGATTCAAGAGGTTGAGAATGTGACAGGTTGGTAGTAATTGATGATAAAGCCCATAGTGTAACCAGGTGTAACCAGGGGCACGAGGAATTAAAGTAAGCTGGAGAACTATCTTGTAAAATACAAGTTCAAGAGTCCTGGAGGGCAGCGTGTTGGAAAGTTTATCTCTCTGTCTATCTACCTATTCTCTCTCCCTCTCTGTCTGTCTCTCTCTCTCTCTCTCTCTAACTAGCTAGCTCTAAGAATTAAGACAGAAGTAGTTGGAGATGGTCACAGTAAGAAAGCAGGTAAAAATGATAGGGAGTGACCTATGGAGCTTACATTCCTAGAAGGATAGATAATAATGATCATACCGAAAAAGTAAATTAGATGGACTGATGGAAGGTGAGGTGCATTGGATATGATGAGACACTGGGATGAGTTACACCAGTAAATAGGGTAGTCAGTGGAGGCTTCATTGAGATGATAACGTCTGAGGAGAGATTTAAATGAGATGATGGAGTTGATCAGCTAACTATCGGGGGGAAGAGCATTCCGAGGGAACAGCCAGTGCAAAGCCCCTGTGGTGGCAGTGTGCCTGGCATATTTGAGGAGGAGCACGGAGGCCAGTGTGAGTAGAATGGAAAGAATGGTGTGAGCATTACTACCCATAGTAGTAGTGCTACCTCTGTGGTGGAAATGAAAATGCAAGGGTGGATTACATAAAAATTTAGATTTCACTTTGAGTGATATGATAACCATTGGAAATTTAGAGCAAAGAAGTGACCTAATCTGACTTATGACTGCTGCATTGAGAATAGACTATGTGGCAGGTGGCAACAAGAATGGAAGATTAAAGCATCTAAAAGGACTGGGAGAATGGAAATTGGGAGAGGAATTGTAAGAGCTTCAGGTTCTGAAGAGAGCTGTTAGTGCATTGTACATCTCTGTTACCTACAACCTACTCCCTAGAAAAGGAAGAGAAGGGGGATGTTTTTACCTTCAGCCCAAGTCAAAAGAGGACCTTAAGGAGACCACTCAGATCTTAATAGGTAGCTCCTGTAATGTGGTGTTGCGTATACAGTAGACTGGGGCTTGGCTCTCACCTGAACCATCTAAGGGCTGGAAGCAGTGACTGGCTGGAGTCTTGTGGAAAAGTGAAGGAGAGATGCTGAACTGGGAATCAGCCTGCACTTCTAGGGTTTGCTGGTGTTAAGGATACATGGGTGTTTATCATGTACCAAATGGACCATGCTTGCAAGAGAGCTGGAGTAGAGTTGTCTTAGGCTCTGCCTCAAGGACTGCCAAGAAGGACAGAAGCTAGGAAGTGAGCCATTGGATTGCTAAGGGATATGAAAGGGACTCTAAGTTGTAACTTGAACCAGAAATGTATTCTCCCCATCAAGGAAACTGTAGATAAGAGATTTACAGTGATTTTGATAAGGGATTCTGTAAGAATTCCACAACATCGTGCATGTACGTATGCGAGAGGTTTTACAACAGTAGCAGTCAGTTAAGAGCTGCATGGATCCTCTCAACCACTTCTCTCTATGCCTTAATCAGTATCTGGAAAGGACAGAGACCATAGTTAGCAAGCTGGAGAGGATGGTCAAACAACAACAACAACAACAACAAACCTTAAAAGGGGAAAGAGTAAAAAAAAAAAAGCCAACAATATGTCTTCTATGACTGCAGACATATGGCTTGCAACATAAAGTTGAGGGAGATGCCCAACTTGAAAGCAAATTTGGAGTATTGACTTCTACAAGTAATTGGACATTGCTAGTCCTACACAGAGACTACTTATATTTTCTGAGAGCAACTTGAAAATTCATGGAGTTGTTTTCATACAAAGGTGGGGGAAGAACTAGTCCTGCTAAGCAAATTTAAAGGTCATATAAAGTGTTTCTCAACTTCAGCACTACTGACATTTTGACCAGAGTATTCTTTTGTTGCGGGAGCTGTCTGTGCATTGTAGGATATGTGGCAGCATCCCTGGTTTCTATGTACTAGATGCTGGTAGCTCTCGCCTCCAGTTATAACAACCAAACCCGTCTCCATACACTGCCAAGTGTCCTTTGTGGGGCAAAATGGACTCTGTTGAGAATTGTTGAATGAATGGGAGACAAAAATAATACTGCCTCAGGATTATATGCTTGTTGTTACACCAGCTAAAATTGCCTGGAAAAGCCCTCTTTTCTCCTCGGTTTCCTTGGGCTCCTGCTAAGATGCTTGACCCCTCTCTTTTTAGATGCTCTTTTCACCTCTTCTCCGATCTGTTCTCCCCTCTCCCAGCTCCCCCAACCCCTGCCACTTCCTTTGAGGGGTATCCCCAGAAACTCAGATTTTTCTCTTATTTTATTATGCAAAGCAATTCCGTTCTCACTTTGTCTCTTAGGAGCCCAGGAGGTTGGGGTAGTGCTTGTGTGCATGTGTGTGTGCATGAGCACGTGTGCGCATTTGTGTGTGTGATGTGGAGATGTGTGATGGTCATGTTATTGTCTTTAATTCAAAATACTTCATCAAGTTATTTTCTTAAACAAAGAGCCATATTTACGGGAAAGCAATCCTCCAGCAGAAGCCACTGCAAATATTAGAAATTTTAAATAGCAAATCCCCCTCTGGCAACCCCATCCCCTAGGCACACACAGAAATTTTGGAAAATGAGAGGGTAAATTCCAGAAAAGGGGCCCGATGCTCGGCTTTTAGAGGCATTGTCCAGAAATGTTTTACATAGCCAATTAAAACTTTTACCTCTTATTGATAAAACATGTATATCAACCAGACACAAAGGGATGCGAGCTTTCCAAAGTACAAATCAGTGGATTAAAAGTAGCCAGTCAAATAAAATCCTGTTAGATATATTACTATCTTATGCTGATGAACAGCACAGTTTTTACAATCCCACCTCATTTTGATTTCTGCCAATTAGAAAACAAAGGAAAATATTTAACAAATATGTGGCATTAAAAATAACAGGCATTTTGGGGGCAGGGTTTTGTGGGTTTTTCTAAAACCACTTTTTGAGTACTTATTGAGAGACATTTGTTTCAGCTGCCCTCTTTGTTTCATTAGAAATTTGTCTATGGATAACATGAAGAAATATCTTAGGCAAACTCTCATCTAAAGACCAGGAAAACCCCCTGTTTCTTAGGCTTTCACTGAAATAATATTAATAATTTCATTTTACATGCTGATATTATGAGTCATACTTGCTTTAAAATGTACAAACTATCCTTTTTATATTTTTCATCCTCTGATTCTTCCTTTCATCCTCTGAGACAAAAAAATAAATAAAAACCTCAAAGAAATGTCGTTCAAACTCCAGGCTAGTACATTATGCTGACGTTTATTTTGAATGTCTTCAATCAAAAGTATTTTTATTTTAATCATACAATCCATTCTTTTTCTTATAACAGTAGGTTTTAACCATCATAAAAAATGTTGTCTACTTGATTACTGTCTACTCATTTTTAAGGATTTTTTTTTGTGGCTGAATTGAATGGTCAGCCATGTGGCGAAAACACATTGGTATGTGTGTATGTGAGTATATATCTCTATCTATCTATCTATATATATAGATCTATATATATAGATAGATAGATATATTGGGGGGAGATGTGGATGTGTACACCCATACATGTGCATGTTGTTGTTTTATAACTTGTTCACTCCTTTTTGACTTCACTAGTCTAAAATGCAAATAATTATATTCTAGAATCTTGTCCCAAAGTATAGCAATGCATAGTTAAGATGTAAACTGGGCTCATACCTCCCAGGAAGTCTCATTTGCCCCCCTTTCCCCATCCCTAAATTCTTTGCAAATAAAATTTAAAAATTTCTACTTATCAAAATATACTTTAAATAAAATATAAAAGACAAAATTAAAACTGGTTAAGATAATTGCCACACATATCGTGGATAAAGGATTGATATCCAGTACATGTGAAGAACTTCTATAAATCAATATGAAAAAGACAAATAACTTGGTGAAAAAATTGGTTAAGAACACAAATGGGCATTTTACAGAAAAGGAAACATATGGTGAATAAACATACAAAAAGATGTTCAACCTCATGAACAATCAGATTGATACAAATCAAGGCTAGCTTTCATTATTTTTGAACTTTATATATTTTACAAGTGTGTGATATAATTAAACACATATTTACAGCAAGGGATGGATAAATACAATATTCTAAATTATGTTTATTCAGAGAGGAGGCAGAGTTATAAAATTTGGGAGGAATGCACAGTTAGATGTAAATTATTTGTGACATTCTAGCTTTTAGGTCTGTTAGTGGGCTCATTTGTGCTCATTACACCACTTCAAAAAATAGACGATAGCTAGATAGACAGTAAGCTATGTTTGGACCAAAGATTTTGGTGAATTATAAGCCAAGGATAATGATGATTCTAATTCTATGCAACTGGGGTACTTAAAAGGGACTGTGTGGTGGGGGCGAGTTGTGGAGGAAAACGTTTTTAAAGACAGTTTCAAAAATTTAAACTGTTAGAGGGCTTGTGAACTAAAGGAGCTTATATTGGTCAGGATGGGAAAGGTTATGCTGCAATAACAAATCAACCTCAAATCCCAGTGATCTACTGCAACAAAGGATTATTCCTTACGTTCACAGTTGCCCATTGTGAATCTAGACTCATAGGGACCCAGGTTAGTGGAGACTCTACTGTCTCATAGCTGCTCTGTCTAAAACACTCTGACTCCTTGATTATCACAACAGGGAGAGAAAGCCCTGGAAGGTTTCAAACATGAAATTAAATGCTTCAGTTTGAAAGTGATCCATGTTATTTATGCTCACAGTCCATGATTACAACTAGTCTTATAACCACAATGTAACTGCAAGTATAATTCTCTAGTATGCCCAGAAGGAAAGAAGAGCTAAATTTATGTAAGCACTAGAAGTCTTTACCACAGAGCTGTTTTCAACAGAGACACAATGACAATGCTTTCATGTCTAGATGACAAAGTATAACAGACTGGGGTGGGGAACATATTCTGTACTTCTGCATAGGATAGCTTCTATGCATTGAGGGGCCCCAGAGAACCTAGCTTAGCTGTGCACCCTAGAGAGTTTTAAACTTCAGATATCTATAAAACATACCTACAGGAATTTCCAGGAATACTTGGGCTAGGAATTGAACTAAAGAGGATGAAGGTTTTGCATTCACCTCTGCAAACAAGAATCAGAGACAATTGAGGATTATTACTTTAAAAAAACTTTTATTTTAAGTTCAGGGGTACATGTGCAGGGTGTGCAGATTTGTTATATAGATAAACATATATCATAGGGGTTTAGATTATATCATCACCCAGGTATTAAGCCTAGTATCCATTAGTTATTTTTCCTGATCCTCTCCCTCCTCCCACCCTCCACCCTCTGGTAGGCCCCAGTGTGTGTTGTTCCCCTCTACGTGTCCATGTGTTCTCATCATTTAGCTCCCACTTATAAGTGAGAACATGCAGTATTTGGTTTTCTGTTCCTTCATTAGTTTGCAGAGGATAATGGCCTCCAGCTCCATCCATGTCCCTGCAAAGGACATGATCTCATTCCTTTTTATGACTGCATAGTATTCCATCATATATTTGTACCACATTTTCTTTATCCAGCCTACTGTTGATGGGCATTTAGATTGATTCCATGTCTTTGCTATTGTGAATAATGCTGCAATGAACATATGCATACATGTGCCTTTGTAATAGAATGGTTTATATTCCTTTAGGCATATACTTGGTAATGGGATTGCTGAGTTGAATGGCATTTCTGTCTCTAGGTCTTTGAGGAATTGCCACACTGTCTTCCACAATGGTTGAACTCCCACCAACAGTGTAAAAATGTTTCTTTTTCTCCACAACTTCGCCAGCATCTGGTATTTTTAACAATTGCCTTTTAATAGGCTTTTTAGTAATAGCCATTCTGACTGATGTGAGATGGTATCTCGTTGTTTTGATTTGCATTTCTCTAATGACCAGTGATGATGAGCTTTTTTCATATGTTTGTTGGGCACATGAATGTCTTCTTTTGAGAAGTGTCTGTTCATATCTTTTGCACACTTTTTAATGGAGTTGTTTTTTTTTTCTTGTAAATTTGTTTAAGTTCCTTTTAGATACTGGATATTAGATCTTTGCAGATGCATAGTTTGCAAAAATTTTCTCCCATTCTGTAGGTTGTCTGTTTACTCTGTTGATAGTTTCTTTTGCTGTGCAGAAGCTCTTTAGTTTAAGTAGATCCCATTTGTCAATTTTTGCTTTGGTTGCAGTTGCTTTTAACATCTTCATCATGAAATCTTTGCCCGGGCCTATGTCCTGAATGGTATTGCCTAGGGTTTTTTTTTTTTTTTCAGTTTGGGTTTCACATTTAAGTCTTTAATCCATCTTGAGCTGATTTTTGTAGGTGGTGTAAGGAAGGAGTCCACTTTCAACTTTTTGCATATGGCTAACCAGTTAGAGGATTATTATTACTAATGTGAGCACATTTGCATCACAGACAAGTAAAACTCGGGTAAACACCTGTTAAATTCAGAACATTGCAAGTTATCTGGGTGCTAGTGTTTGCTTTGGCTCACATTTCCCTTATCTTGCCCCAGGAACAAATGTTAGACCTACCTTTAATGTCACCAGGGTGTCTGTGCAATCCCTGAAACTTTTAGGGGGCTAAGTTGAAGCGGTACCAGGAATTCATTGTGAAATCAGGACTCCTTTATCTTGCTCATTTTCTTTTTTTCAGAGATCCTCTGACATTTTAGTAATTGCCATACTACCTTCTTTAAGCATGCTTAGACTTGGACATGAGTTATAAAGTATATTCTGGCAGGAGTCTCTCGCCATCAAAATATCCTATGTGAGATACTTATTTGGCTTCTCTCTGGGTGTACTGATGTGAAAATCTTATTCGTCAGTTCTCTCCCTGCCTCTTTGGCAACTGGCTCCTGGGCAGAGCATAAGCTATGCTCACATGTGAGCCAACTCGGAACGTAAATAGTAAGAGATTCCTCAGTGAGTCTTCTGCAACTTAACCCCTAGAGTCACCCAATACAGGCCAGTCATTTTTTCTCTCCCCCTTTCTACAGACTCTGGGATTCCTGTTTTTTTGTTTGTTTGTTTTCTTGCAGCCACAGCATATTCTGCATTGAGAGGAGTTCTGCAGAGTGGGATGCTGTCCTCCAGATCTTTTCAAGGAAAACACAAGAATAAAACTCCCACCTAAGGGATATACAGCAAATTCCTTCAGGAAAAGAGACCAGAGATAGGAAAAATAGCAAATATTGGGAAGTTACAAAAATGGATGATTTATCAGTCAGTTTTTATTTAGAGAAATAGAACCACTAGCAGATTATACACATATTATATATAAAATTTACATGTAAAATATGTATATATGTATAGATACATACAAAATGTACTTATACATTTATAAATTTCTCTCTCTTTCTCTCTCTCTCTCTCTCTCACACACACAGCCGTGTATATATTTAAGGGATTTATTGCAGAGATCTGACGACACAATCATGAGAGTTGGTTCAGTTTTTTTTTAAGGCTGCTGTTTTTACCTCTGATGTTGGAGCCTGACGCCTGCAGGTAGTTGGGAAGGAAAGATGGATACAACTGTGGGGAGATCACTAGCAGGCTGGAACCAACAGGCATGAGCTGGAACCTCAAAAGGACAGAGGGAGACGCATGTCAGTTCTTGTCGCTGACCTTGATGGTGTGGGTGTCCTGAAAATGCTGGAGTTCTTCCTCACAGAGCTAAACACACACATTTGGCCCAAGTCAGAGAAGCTGGACAAGGACCCAGGGGAAAGTGGAGAAGTCACAGTTAATGCAATGAATTAGCTGCTCAGAGACAATGTGTGTAAACTATGAAATGGCTACTGCTTCTCTTCTGCTTCCCACCTCTCCTGAGACTCTCATGGCCCACCTTAAACAGAAACATGCAGGGAAGGGAAGTCTAGAAACATAGTTCAGTCTAGCCAAGTTGACATATTATAACACCACAGATGCATTCCTTGATATGAAATCTCTGGCATTATTGATGGAAAGTGCCAGAAGCAACCATGCCCTCAGGATCTCTTTTATTTCCCCTGGAAAACCTCAGAAAACATCCTTGAGCTTCAAGATCACCTAGGCTTTTTCTTTTGTAGGACTGTACTCTCAAGCTTGAAAGCATGGTTGGAATTGCACAATAGGGTATTCCTGTAGCTTAGAACTGGTGATGCCCTTCTAGTTGGCCCTCTGCCACATATAAGAAAGATCACCTTTAGTTCAGATTAGCTCAGCTAACAATCTATTGAGCTTGTCTGTGTGCCAGGCACTGTGCTGGATGCTATGGGAGATGATGACAAACTAAGCCCTTTAAGAACGTCCTGTCTAGTGGGAGAGATAGACACATAAACAGAAATAGCCATGCAATATGGACAATGGCAAGGTAAAAGAATACAGGGTGTGCTATGGGAATGTGGAGAAGGGGCAATCCAGGGCTTGAGGTGGTCTTAAAGAATGAGTAGGAGTTAGCTAGGCAAAGAAAAGTGCAAAGTGCCTAGCAGGCCAAGCGATGTCATAAGCAAAGGCCTTGAGGTTTGAATCAATATGTATATGGTGGAAATTCTTAGAAATTAAAGTACTACAGGCCGGGCGCGGTGGCTCACGCCTGTAATCCCAGCACTTTGGGAGGCCGAGGCGGGTGGATCATGAGGTCAGGAGATCGAGACCATCCTGGCTAACAAGGCGAAACCCCGTCTCTACTAAAAATACAAAAAATTAGCCGGGCGCGGTGGCGGGCGCCTGTAGTCCCAGCTACTCGGGAGGCTGAGGCAGGAGAATGGCGTGAACCCGGGAAGCGGAGCTTGCAGTGAGCCGAGATTGCGCCACTGCAGTCCGCAGTCCGGCCTGGGCGACAGAGCGAGACTCCGTCTCCAAAAAAAAAAAAAAAAAAAAAAAAAAAAAAAAAAAAAAAAGAAATTAAAGTACTACAAAAGCAAAAAGTGGGTAATGAGGAGTGGCAGAAGAGAAAGCCAAGTCATGGGAACTGCAGCTGCTACACTAAGGAGCTTGGACTTTATTATTAGGAGATGTTAAGGAATTATACCTGTATCAGTGAATGGTATGTTTAACAGGAAATCTTACTGCGATAGTTGAAACAGAAAAGTTAATTGGTTTTCTGCAACAAAAAGCCTGGGAGTAGGAAACCTGGATTTGCTAAGACAGCAAAACCATATTATTAATTATGTGGGCTCTTTCATTTCCCTGCTTTGAAATCCTTAGTATCATCCTCATTGCCCCAGGATGGCTGTGGCTGCACTTCTGTGGTTCATATTCACATTCTGGAAGGTCTAAAAAGGGAAAGGAGACAGGGCACGACCCTTTGGAGAGACTCTACCTTTGTATGAGGGAGGAGAATCCCTCCCCATGGTTTCTGGCTACAGCTCATTGGCCAGAACTTTGTCAGATGGCCTCACCTAGCTACTGGGAAGCTTGCACATGGGAGATTTCTAGAGTCCTAATTCTTGCCTTCACTCTTTCTCTTGCTGCATCATATGCTTTACCTTGAAGTAAAAGCCTTACGTGACTATGCTCTGTTAACTCTGGTGAATCCTTTCAAATATCTGAAGTCGGGGGATATTTGCAAAATCTGAAGTCCACACACACACAGCCCCCCTCGCCAAAGATAACTCTTATGACCAGGGTGATTTTATTTCTGAACTTTGCCTTTTTCACTGAAAAATTTACTTTCGAGATAATTCCATGTCAGGACATATTCTTGTGTCTCTTTTTTAAGGATCTGGCCTGCCATCACCTCTCTGACTTCGTCTCCTTCTACCTCATCTCCCTTTCTCATTCTACGCCAGTCACCTTGAGACCATTATCATACTGAAAAACCCAGCATGCTCCAGCCTCGTGTTTTGGCATTTTCTGTCTCCTCTATTTAGAGCTCTCTCTTTTAGTTATCTACAGGGCTCCATTCTGCCCTTCTAGAAAGTCAGAAAGACCTTTCCAGACTGCACCTTCTAAAATGCAAACTTGCCCGTTACTTTTATTTCCCTTACCTTTTTTTTTCTGTCTCCCCAGACTAGAATATAAGCTGTATAAAAGGACATTTCGTCCACACCTAGAATAGTGCCTGGCACATAATAGATGCGTAATAAATGATAGTTGAAGGGATAAACAGATAGAGAAGTGCAACTTCAGCTGAGGTAGGAGGAGCAAACAACTCTTTTGTTTCCTGGGAAAGACTTCAAGAAAAAAAGCAGAATATTAAGAGAGATTAGAGTTAGGTGAAAAAGAAATGTGGCAAGCCAGGAAGGAGAGGAGATGGTTCAAGGTATGAGGTATTGAATCCCCCCAGGAGAGGGCTTAGAGCAGTAAACAGAGCTTTGTGTTGAATGTAAGCTGACAGGTTGAATCAACTCCTAATTGGGGTTTCCTTGGGTTTACTGAACATCTCAGTATATTTCTAATTAGTCAGAAATGTTGTTAATGATGTGTGTGTACGTTGCATTGGCTTTTCTTAGATTGAACATTAGATTTGATTATGAATTTGATCTTTCCTTTAAAATAACCCCTATGCATGTAGCCTGAAAATTGATTTTGTAATGGGAGTCCGTGCTGAAAAGGAGGATGGAGAAACTTAGGTCAATACAGACCATTGTGATACCTGTTATTCACAAAGGGACTCTTTCTCATCTTATGCTAGGAGGGGAGTGTGTGTGTGTGTGTGTGTGTGTGTGTGTGTGTGTGTGTGTGTGTGTTTATTGAGGAGAAATGTGTTGAGAATGAAGAAAGTAAAACATACATAAAATATGTAAAAGCATATAACAATTAGCACACCGTCTTATAGGTAAAAAGCTACAATTTTACAGAAAGGCAATCTTGCACTTTAAAATGTCAGATACATTTCAACAGGACATTGTAAAATAGTTGTAAAATAGTTTATCTCCAGGTTCTCAGAGTTCTTAAGGTGACCTGATAAGGTCAGACAGGGAATGAAAGAAGTTATTAAAATAATTTCCACCAAATATCAGACACCTCTTTGGAAGTGTTGTTCTCTTTTGCTTGGGCAGAAATATTTTTGTTTTGCTTCTTTGCTCATTTATTTAAACTTACTTGTCTTTGAATTGGTAGTAAATGCACTGAAACATACCCAGCATGCTCTAGCCTTGTCTTTTGGCATTTTCTGTCTCCTCTATTTAGAGCTCCAAATATGATGGAAAATTCAAAATGTACAAAATAATAGAGCAAAAAGGCAAACTCCTTAGCACAATCCCTCCAACCACACACACACAGCCCCCCTTACCAAAGCTAACCCTTATGACCAGGGTGAATATATTTCTGAACTTTGCCTTTTTCACTGAATAATTTACTTTCGAGATAATTCCATGTCAGAACATATTATTGTGTCTCTATTTTAAGGATTGCATAGAAGATTATGAATTTTAGAAAGTTTTTCTTTCCTCACCTCTGGAAGAGGTCAATGAAGATGGAACCATCAATAGGAAGAATTAAGATCTCACAGGGAGAGATGTTTAAGTGTGTGACCTTCTTGGAAGCCTTCCAAACTCCTTCCAGAAATAGGATTGCCAGATAAAATATAGACACTCCATTAAATTGCAATTTCAGATAAACAATGAATATTTTTTATTATAAGTATGTGTCATGCAATATTTGGGAAATACTTATACAAAAAATTACTTGTCGTTCATCTGAAATTCGATGAGACATACTTATACTAAACAATGATTTGTTTATCTGAAATTCAAATTTGACTGGGTATCCTGTATTTTAATTTGCTCAATTTGGCAACCCTATCTGGAAATCACTCATCTATTCATTTGTGAATAGAACTGATCTTAACCTCAAACTCCACAATGAAGAGTTGGTGTCTGTTAAAGCAGGAAAATATTGCTCCTTAAATAACATGAGGATGAAAACAACCTCAAACTTTACACTGCTTCTCATAATCCACAAGAAAATAATGCCTTCTGTAAGTATTTTAGATAATGCTTTGGACTAAGACTGTTTAGCCTATTGTCCTCAGCAATAAAAATTGTAATGTATTTTAGATGTATCTAAAATATTATAATCATACATTTGAACTTTGAGATGAATTAAATTTCAGGGCAACTTTACTGGTATTGCTTATGTAACTTTTTCAAAATGAAGCATTGCTGTTAAATAAATTAAGTCAGCTTGTAATTAAGCCAAGCTAAACGTCTAATTCAAAAGTTAAATATCAACTGTGTAAAATTCATATTTTGTTTTCTTATGAAGCTCTTGGGGAATTTAAAATCAGTGCAATGTGATGCATAATGGACTATCTTTAGCTTGTTTTCCCCAGACTCAAACAGATGCACAGTCTTCTCTAATGTCACCAGCTCTGGTTTCTCACTTTATTCCTACTCATGGGTGTCTTCCCAAGACATCCTCCTTACTAGCCTAGTGTTCTTTCTCATCTAAATCCAATAACACCCCAGTGGCTCCATCTGATTTGGAAGCAGTAACTCTTCTGTGGCCCAACAATGCCTTCTGGAATGAGTGTGGAGCTTACAGGTTTGCTCTTGGTTTGTGAGTCTACTTTTCTCTTCATCTTAATAAAATAAGATCCCAAGGATCTTGGCAGGTGTTGTCTGATTTTGGAAGGTACCACATATTAACGAAAAGTAGCCTTAAAAATGTTTTATGTACTGTTTTAAACAAAAGGCATCTGTACCACTCAGTCAATCCTAGTTCACAGAGAGAGAAGAGCATGGTTGTTCATTCCACATCAATGTCTCCTTTTAACATTAAATTTTGAGGAGCAAGTTAATGACATGCATGCGTAAGTATTGGAGGGTGGGAATGTAGTGTTCACAGTTTCCTGCAAAATGTATAAAAAATCAAAATAAGATGAATCAGTGGATGGATAGACATGTAATAAATGAAATAAAGCACAATATTAATAGGAGAATATAGGTAGTGGGTATACAGTATACAGGTGTTTGCTGTAATAGTCTTTTTAATTTTTTCATATTTGAATGTTTTCACAATAAAATATTGAGAAAAAATTTTGTATGTTGATTTTATATCCTGCAACTTTACTGAATTTGTTTATCAGTTCTAATCATTTTCTGGTGGAGTTTTTAGGTTTTTCCAAATATAAGAAAAAATTTTTTGAGATGTGCACCAAAGCACTAGAGATACTGGTACACTTGAGAGACATTTCTACAGAGCCATTTTGGGAAGTTGCTTCACTTTTCTATGCCTTGGTTTCTTCATCTGTAAAATTCTACTGCGTAGGATATGTATTCCATTAGCTAATCTCTATACAAAGTACTTTTCACAGTGCCTAGTTCATGATGCTCAGTATATGTTAGCTATTAGCAGTAGTAGTATGGACAGGTTGATGTCTTAGTCTGTTCAGGGTGCTATAACAAAATACCTTAGACTGGGTAATTTATAATCAGCAAAAATTTATTGTTCACAGCTTTGGAAGCCAGTAAGTCCAAGATCAAGTGTCTAGTAAGGTCTTGCTCTCTTCTTCATAGATGGTATCTTGTTGCTGTGTCCTCACATGATGGAAGGGGCAAGCAAACTCCTTCGCACCTCCTTCTTTTGTAAGGGCATTAATCTCATTCATGGGCTCTGCCTTTATGACCTAATCACCTCCTCAAGGCCCCACATCTTAATACCACTTGCATTGGAGATTTGGTTTCAACAAATGAATTTTGGGGAGACACAAATGTTTAGACCATGGAAGTTGATCTATGAGCTGCATCATGGCTCAAAAGGAAGATGAAAATGCATCAGGGAAGGCTTCCAAATAAGATGACTTGAACTTGGCATCGAACGATGTGATGGAAATAAATTAATGGAAAGAGGTTCAGCATAAGTAGTAAATGACAAAAAAAGAAAAGAAATGGAAATAAGAGGATGAGAGAACAGAACATAGAAGCAAGATATGCATGGGAGTCATGGAGGAGGTTGGCCTGGCTGGCGTTTTGGAGATAGGACTAGACTCTACAAATTCATTTGTATCTAAAATAGTTATGTCATATTCCTCGTAATATTAGACTCAAAGTTTCAAACTGAGTAAGAAGCTCTAAGTGTAATTGGAAACTACTCTCGTTTTGGAAGACAGGGTACAAGATTTGAATGAGTTCTTCCTCCATCTCTCATCCAAGATTAAAAAAAATGAAAGAGTACACATAAGAATAAACATATGCTGAATTGAAATCAGTTTCATGATTTTTCCAAAAATTTTAAAAAGTTCCCTTAAAAAAATTGTTGTCCTTTTTTTCTCTGTGCCCAGAACACCATTGTCCTTCTCTGTCTCTGTCTTTTTTCTAGTTTGACTTCTTATAGTTACTAGGTACAAAAACAAGGCTTCCCTTCTTCTCTGGAGCAGAGTACCCTTTCTCCCCACAGAGAGAAGCTAATTTTTAAAAATTTCTATGATGCCTTGAAATCACTGGAGATGGAAAGGGCTGACAGAGACGCACTTCAGTGCCTGATGTATAGGCAGAGAAGTCTGGCGAGGCCTTGACGCCTTGTCCTCCCTCCTCCCAAGAATAGCTTCATATTCGCAGTGGTGGCAGGAGATGGCAATGATGAGAGTTTTGCACCAACCCTTGGTTGCCCAAGTCAGACTCCATTCACTAAGCCACAGTGAATCTGGAAATCTAGTTTCCATCTGGGGCAAATCCTCTAGAATACAAATATTGTAATAGATCCTGAAAATAAGATGACTTTGCTACTGAAAATATACCTGTCTGCTTTCTTGAAACCTTTTGCAGCTCAGCATACCTAGCCATATTTCTGTACCCAAATAAAATGACTTGAACCTGGCATCAAAGGATGTTTGCAGCCGAGCACGGTGGCTCACGCCTGTAATGCCAGCACTTTGGGTGGATCATGTGAGGTCAGGAGTTCGACACCAGCCTGGCCAACATGGTGAAACCCCGTCTCTACTAAAAATACAAAAATTAGCTGGGCATGGAGGCACGCACCTGTAGTCCCAGCTACTCAAGAGGCTGAGGCAGGAGAATTGCTTGAACCCAGGAGGCGGAGGTTACAGTGAGCCGAGATCGCGCCACTGCACTCCAGCCTGGGCGACTGAGCAAGACTCTGTCTAAAAAAAAAAAAAAAAAAAAAAAAAAAAGGATGTTTGCTGGCCTGTTATTACAATGAGAGATTCATCAACATTTCTTCTGTTGCACTCTAAGCAAAGTGTTTGTTTACCTTGTGAATATAAAGAACATGATGCTCCTGGGACTATGAATACTGTTTTATAATGAAGTGCAAGGCTGTATCCTTTTGTATTCCTTTGAAGGCTGGCAAATATAACCTTGAGTGTCTTACACAATAGGCCTAAGCAAATTTTTAAAAAATCTAAATAAAGCATAAATAAAGAAATGCTTTCTTCTACCTTACTGAGAGGGCCATTCTGTATACACACGCATATTATTTTTGGCCTGAATTGACAGTGAGCTCTAGATGCATCCAGAGAAGAAACAAAGACTATCATTGTTCCAAAGAACTAAAAAAAGGGCTTGACACTATAACCAAATTCATTTCTAGTAATTGTATCTTCCAGAAAGTCTATATTGCATTATTAAATAGAAAATAAACAGTGGGAATTTACTATGCTTTCCTATGAATCATTCCTTAACTCAGCTAGACTGAATGATCCATTGGAATTTGACTCACTAAGGGCAGTCTTAGATTCTTATATAGGAGAAGTCTCATTCTTCTATTTCCAGCAATTTCTGTTGGGACAAATGAAACATAAATTGTCCAAGTGCAGAAGACAGAGCCTAAAGACAGTTCTCGCAAGTTCCAGTACCCAAAATGAAACTCTAGAGGAGCTTCCATCTTACATAAGGTCTGAGATAGGCTTGAGATCCCCAGTCGTGCAGGGAATCTATGTGGATCACCACAAATTGCAGCAGGAGAGAGCAAGTAAGTCTTGTTCTTTTGTCTTGGTCCATTCCATTCTAAGATAATGCTGGTTAAGTGGTGCAGAAGTAGAGATCTTTTGAGTCAGGTGGCAGAGGATCTTTTGCAGGGGAACTTTTGAACCTCTTTCCCCTGATTCAAGCTTTCTGCCAAACATTACATATTTTGTTTTGGTGTGACAGTTTAGGGGACACTATTTCTAATCCTCCTTCTGTGGATAGTGAGTAAATTTGTTGGATTCTGTCTGAAGAATTGACTCAGACTCTGTCTGCATAATCATGAGGCAGGTCTAGTCCTGCTTAGTCTTTAGTCAATGTCGGGAAGTCCATGACCAAATTGTCAAGTCAAAGGAACAACTACCTGGATCTGGAGTCATGTTTCAAGACTGGATTGGAAACAATGAGATTAAGATTTAGTGTAAAGATGAGGAACTGAGGTTATAGGCATAAAAGATACAGAAGTAGATAGGAAGGTATCAAGGATCGTGGCTCATGGATTTATGTGAAGACAGTTACAAGGAAACCCACTTGGTAGGAGGAAAGTATTAGAGTCAGGCATTGCCATAGTAATCAGAACTGGGTTGAGTTATGTGTCCTCTTTGGAGAATTGACTCTAATAACACCTCTATAGTAATCACGATGATGACAACGATGATACCAAAGTCCATGGCAGCTTCTTATGCTTAATGGGAAAATAGTAAGCACTCCATAAATTGAATCAGTAAACCAATTAATGGTATCCATTATATGAATAATTTTTAAAGTATTTTATCAATCAAAATAATACAGAGCAACTGTGATTTTTTATCTTGATGAGACTGTCCTAAGACAATAACTGGTAGGACATTCGTAGTGTGCCCACAAAGCACAAAAGACCCCATTTAGTTCCAGGTCTACTGAGAACTTTGCAATGTTTAACTGTAGTTATTGGGCTTGTAACACTGCAAAAGTAGGTGTTTGATATATAGGTTGATGATCAGACATCTCTTATGTGCCTTTTCAGATATTTTCTGTCTCAACTGGCTCCAGGGCCTCTGGCCAGTTGTTCCTGCCAACCATTTACTTCATGCCCATAGTGCCTCTCTAGTGACTCCTATCTGGGACTTTCTGATTGATACAGAGGTGGGAGATACCACAAGACAAGGAACCAACATGATACAATATTCACATATGTGCAGCATATTACTTGAAAGTCTGGGAAAATTAATGCTTCATAGGTCAAATTTGACCAGTGGGAATCAGAAGCAGGTGAATAAATTCTTCTCCTTTCCTCTTCCCAAATGACCTCTCTGAAGATCACCCTGAGGGATGGAGCATTCCTTAGCCCTTGATACAGAGGAGCAGCCTGCATGACAAAGCACTCGTATATTGGTTCTCCCTCATTCCTGGTGTTTCTCTCCCATTACCTTACTCCTGCTTTTCCTGAATTAAACTCCCTAATAAATAATAGTACATAAGCTTTTTCTATACGCTTGCTTTATGTTTATGTGGAATCCAGGTCAAAACACTTGGCAGGGACCCCTGATGAGTGAAACATCCGAATTCCTCCTTTGGGCAGTTCTTTTTAAAATATTACATTCTTATCATACTCTTTTTTATTATTAATTTTAAGTTCCAGGGTACATGTGCAGGATGTGCAGGTTTGTTACATAGGTAAACATGTGTCATGGTGGTTTGCTGCACCTATCAACCCATCACCCAGGTATTAAGCCCAGCATGCATTAGCTATTTTTCCCAATGCTCTCCCTCCCCCCACCCCACCCACCGACAGGCCCCAGTATGTCTTGTTCCCCTCCCTGTGTCCATGTGTTCTCATTGTTCATCTCCCCCTTATAAGTGAGAACATGTGGTGTTTGGTTTTCTGTTCCTGTATTAGTTTGCTGAGGATAATGGCTTCCAGCTGCATCCATGTCCCTGCAAAGAACACGATCTTGTTCCTTTTTATGGCTGCATAGTATTCCATGGTGTATATGTACCACATTTTCTTTATCTAGTCTATCGTTGATGGGCATTTGGGTTGATTCCATGTTTTTGCTATTGTGAATAGTGCTGCAATGAACATACATGTGCATGTATCTTTGTAACAGAATAATTTATATTCCTTTGGGTATATACCTGGTAATGGGATTGCTGGGTCAAATGGTATTTCTGGTTCTAGGTTTTTGAGGAATCGCCACACCATCTTCTACAATGGTTGAACTAATTTTCCTTCCCACCAACAGTATAAAAGCATTCCTATTTCTCTGTAACCTCGCCAGCATTTGTTGTTTCTTGACCTTTTAATAACTGCCATTCTAACTGACATGAGATGGTATCTCATTGTGGTTTTGATTTGCATTTCTCTAGTGATCAGTGATGTGGAGCTTTTTTTCATATGTTTGTTGGCCACATGAATGTCTTCTTTTGAGAAGTGTCTGTTCATGTCCTTTGCCCACTGTTTAATGGGGTTGTTTGTTTTTTTTTTCTTGTAAATTTGTTTAAGTTCCTTGTAGATTCTGGATATTAGACCTTTGTCAGATGGATAGATTGCAAGAATTTTCTCCCATTCTGTAGGTTGCCTGTTCTCTCTGATGATAGTTTCTTTTGCGGTGCAGAAGCTCTTTAGTTTAATTTGATCCCATTTGTCAATTTTTGCTTTTGGGTTTTACATTTAAGTCTTTGATCCATCTTGAGTTAATTTTTGTATAAGGTGTAAAGAAGGGGTC
Source organism: Homo sapiens (assembly GCF_000001405.40). NCBI lineage: Eukaryota > Metazoa > Chordata > Mammalia > Primates > Hominidae > Homo > Homo sapiens. The sequence continues at coordinate 16,270,804 of NC_000023.11, forward strand.
CAGTTTCAATTTTCTGCATATGGCTAGCTAGTTTTCCCAGCACCATTTATTAAATAGGGAATCCTTTCCCCATTGCTTGTTTTTGTCAGGTTTGTCGAAGATCAGACAGTTGTAGATGTACAGTCTTTTTTCAGAGTTCTGTGTTCTGTTCCATTGATCTACATATCTGTTTTTGTACCAGTACCATGCTGTTTTGGTTATTGTAGCCTTGTAGCATAGTTTGAAGTCTGGTAGTGTGATGCCTCCAGCTTTGTTCTTTTTGCATAGGATTGTCCTGGCTATATGACCTCTTTTTTCGTTCCATATGAATTTTAAAATAGTTTCTTCTAAATCTGTGAAGAATGTCAATGGTAGTTTAATGGCAATATCATTGAATCTATAAACTACTTTGGGCAGTATGGCCATTTTCACAATATTGATTCTTTCTATTCATGAGCGTGGAATGTTTTTTTCATTTATGTTCTCTCTGATTTCCTTGAGCAGTGGTTTGTAGTTCTCCTTGAAGAGGTCCTTCACTTCCCTTGTTAGCTGTATTCCTAGGTATTTTATACTCTCTGTAGTAATTGTGAATGGGAGTTCATTCATGATTTGGCTCTCTGCTTGCCTATTGTTTGTGTATAGGAATGCTTGTGACTTTTGCATCTTGATTTTGTATCCTGAGACTTTGCTGAAGTTGCTTATCAGCTTGAGAAGATTTTGGGCTGAGACGATGGGGTTTTCTAGATATAGGATCATGTCATCTGCATACAAAGATAATTTGACTTCCTTTCTTCCTATTCAAATACCATCTATTTCTTTCTGTTGCCTGATTGCCCTGGCCAAAACTTCCAATACTATGTTGAACAGGAGTGGTGAGAGTGAGCATTCTTGTCTTATGCCAGTTTTCAAGGGGAATGCTTCCAGCTTTTGCCCATTCAGTATGATATTGGCTCTGGGTTTGTCATAAATAGCTCTTATTATTTTTAGGTATGTTCCTTCAATACTTAATTTATTGACAGTTTTTAACATGAAGGCTTCTATTAGTTCTATTAGCAAATCTCTATTATCAAAGAGATTTACAAAAATTTACAACAATGCAACTCTCCTCACTAATTTTTTAAAAATATAATTTGTTTTCATTAAATGTGTTATTTAGGTTAGCATGCAATCAGTTCATTATATCTATTTTTCAAAAGTATCAAATACTTTAAAGATTTCTTAATTTTCATTTCTAATATCACAAAGGCTGATAAATACAACCTGCTTAAACAAAAGCTCTTTAGTAGTCCTTAAAAGTTTTAAAAATGTAAAGGGATCCTGAGACCAAAGGGTTTGAGAATACATCCATTAGGATAAAAGTACTCTCTTTTGCTCTGAGAAACAAAGCACGTAAATAATTATATTTCTCTGTCACGAATGTTCACAGTATAGTCTCAACCAGCCATATTAATTATAATTTTATTTTAAGACAAGGCCTCATTCTATCACCTGAGCTAGAGTGCACTAGCACAATCATAGGTCATTGCAGCCTTGAACTCCTGGGCTCAAGCAATCCTCCCTTCTCAGCCTCCTGAGCAGCTAGGACTACAGGCACGCAGCACCACACTCAGCTAATTTTTTATTTTTTGTAAAGATGGGGTCTTATTGTGTTGCCCGAGCTGTAGTTATAACTTTTAACCAAAGTAGTTAACCTCTATTTCATACAGAAAAATGGATGAAGGTAGATAATTGAAAACTGTTTTTTTTTTTTTTTGAGATGGAGTCTCGCTCTGTCGTGCAGGCTTTTAATATAAAGGAGTATTTTAGTAGACTAGCAAAGTTCACGAACACACATAACACAACTTTCTACAACCACACACATCCCTTTTACATTACAGAATGGCTAACATGAACACATTCATTAAATGACCCAAAGATTTAGATTTTTTTTACATCATATAAAAGGGTAAGCAAAAGCATAGAAACAACACAATATTTAGTAATCAAAATCTCAGAATTGCATCTTAGAAATTATGGCCAGGTGCAATGGCTCACACCTGTAATCCCAGCACTTTGGGATGCTGAGGTGGGCAGATCACCTGAGGTAAGGAGTTTGAGACCAGCCTGGACAACATGGTGAAACCCCGTCTCTACTAAAAATACAAAAATTAGCCAGGCATAGTGGCAGGCGCCTGTAATACCAGCTACTCGGAAGGCTGAGGTGGGAGAATCACTTGAACCTGGGAAGCGGAGGTTGCAGTGAGCCGAGATTGCACCATTGCATTCCAGCCTGGGGGACAAGAGCAAGACTTCGTCTCAAAAAAAAAAAAATTATTTAGGTATTCAATAATTACTCACAAATTAGCTTAACTTGATATTAAACGAAGATTTTGAGTTATCCAAAAATCTAAAAAATTATTTAAACTGGCAGACTTCAAAAACTTAATTATTCTTTACATAAAAAGTTGTCAAAATTATTTGATTTTATTGCACACAAATTTATATTTTTTATAATCTTTTAAAAATTTTCAATAGGTTTTTGGGGAACAGGTCATGTTTGGTTACATGAATAAGTCCTTTAGTGGTGATTTCTGAGATTTTGGTGCATCCATCACCTGAGCAATGTACACTGTACCCAGTGTGTAGTCTTTTTTCCCTTACCTCCATCCCACCCTTTCCCTCAAGTCCCCAAAGTTCATTGTGTCATTCTTATACCTTTGCGTCCTAATAGCTTAGCTCCCACTTATGAGTGAGAACATACGATGTTTGGTTTTCCATCACTGAGTTACTTCACTTAGAATAATGGTCTTCAATTCCGTCCAGGTTGCTGAAAATGCCATTATTTTGTTCCTTTTTATGGCTGAGTAGTATTCCATGGCATCTATATACCACATTTTCTTTACCCACTCGTTGATTGATGGGCATTTGAGCTGGCTCCACATTTTTGCAATTGCGAATTGTGCTGCTATAAACATGTATGTGCAAGTATCTTTTTCGTATAATGACTTCTTTTCCTCTGGTAGATACCCAGGAATGGGATTGCTGGATCAAATGGTAGATCTACTTTTAGTTCTTTAAGGGATCTCCACACTGTTTTTCATAGGGGTCGTACTAGTTTACATTCCCACCAACAGTGTAAAAGTGTTCCCTTTTCACCACATCCACACCAACATCTCTTATTTTTTAAATTTTTTAATTGTGGCCATTCTTGCAGGAGTAACGTGGCATATCACTTTGTGGCTTTGATTTGCATTTCCCTGATCATTAGTGATGTTGAGCATTTTTTCATATGTTTGTTGGCCATTTGTATATCTTCGTTTGAGAATTGTCTATTCATGTCCTTAGCCCACTTTTTGATGGGACTGTTTGAATTCCTTATAGATTCTGAATATTAGTCCTTTGTCAGATGTATGGATTGTGAAGATTTTCTCCCACTCTGTGGGTTGTTTGTTTAGTCTGCTGATTATTTCTTTTGCTGTACAGAAGCTTTTTAGTTTAATTAAGTCCCATCTATTTTTCTTTGTTTTTGTTGCATTTGATTTTGGGTTCTTGGACATGAATTCTTTGCCTAAACCCATGTCTATAAGGGTTTTTCCAATGTTATCTTCTAGAATTTTTACAGTTTCAGGTCTTAGATTTAAGTCTTTGATCCATGTTGAGTTGATTTTTGTATAAGGTGAGAGATGAGGACCCAGTTTCATTCTTCTACATGTGACTTGCCAATTATCCCAGCAACGTTTGTTGAATAGGGTGTCCTTTCCCCACTTTATATTTTTGTTTGCTTTGTTGAAGATCAGTTGACTGTAAGTATTTGGCTTTATTTCTGGGGTCTCTATTCTGTTTCATTGGTCTATATGCCAATTTTAATACTAGTACCATGCTGTTTTGGTGACTATGGCCTTACAGTATAGTTTGAAGTCAGGTAATGTGATGCCTCCAGATTTGTTCTATTTGCTTAGTCTTTCTTTGATTATGTGGGCTCTTTTTGGTTCCATATGAATTTCAGGATTTTTTTCTTTTTTTTTGTAATTCTTTGAAGAATGATGATGGTATGGTGGTATTTTTATGGGAATTACATTGAATTTGTAGATTGCTTTTGGCATTATAGTCATTTTCACAATATTGATTCCACCCTTTTCACAATATTGATTCTACCCATCCATGAGCATGGGATGGGTTTCCATTTGTTTGTGCCATCTATTATTTCCTTCAGCAATGTTTTGTAGTTTTCCTTGTAGAGGTTTTTCACCTCCTTGGTTAAGTATATTCTGTTTTTATTTATTTATTTATTTATTTTTTGCAGCTATTGTGAAAGAGGTTGAGTTCTTGCTTTGATTCTTGGCTTGGTTGCTGTTGGTGTATAGCAGGGCCACTGTGTACATTAATTTTGTATCCTGAAACTTTGCTGAACCTCATTTACCAGTTATAGGAGCTTTTTGGGTGAGTCTTTAGGGTTTTCTAGGTATACAATCATGTCATCAGCAAACAGCAACAGTTTGAATTCCTCTTTACCGATTTGGATGCCCTTTCTTTCTCTTTTCTGATGGCTCTGACTAGGGCTTCCAGTACTATGTTGAATAGAAGTGGTGAAAGCATCCTTGTCTTGTCCCAGTGCTCAGGGGAAATGCTTTCAACTTTCCCCCATTCAGTATAATGTTGGCTGTGGGTTTGTTGTAGATGGCTTTTATTACCTTAAAATATGTCCCTTCTATGCCGATTTTACTGAGTATGCTGAATTTTGTCAAATGCTTTTTCTGCATCTATTGAAATGATCATGTAATTTTTGTTTTTAATTCTGTTTATATGGGGTGTATCACATTTATTGACTTGCAGATATTAAACCATCCCTGCATCCCTGGCATGAAACCCACTTGGTCACAGTGGATTATCTTTTTGGTATGCTGTTGGATTTGGTTAGCTAGTATTTTGTTAAGGATTTTTGCATCTATGTTCATCAGGGATATTGGTCTGTAGTTTTCTTTTTTTGTTATGACTTTTCCTGGTCTTGGTATTAGGGTGATATTGGCTTTATAGAATGATTTAAGGAGGATTCCCTCTTTCTCTGTCTTTCGGAATAATGTCAATAGGATTGGTACCAATTCTTCTTTGAATGTCTGATAGAATTCAGCTGTGAATCTGTCTGGTCCTGGACTTTTTTTGTTGGTAACTTTTTAATTACCATTTCAATCTTGCTGCGTGTTATAGGTCTGTTCAGAGTTTCTATTTCTTCCTGGTTTAATCTAGGAGGGCTGTATATATCCAGGAATTTGTCCATCTCCTCTAGGTTTTCTAGTTTAGGTGTGTAAAGCTGTTCATAGTAGCCTTGAATGATCTTTTGTATTTCTGTGGTATTGGTTTTAGTATCTCCTGTTCCGTTTCTAATTGAGCTTATTAGGATCTTCTCTCTTTTTTTCTTGGTTAATCTCACTAATGGTCTATGAATTTTATTTATCTTTTCAAAGAACCATCTCTTTGTTTCGTTTATCTTTTGTATTTTTTTTTTTTTTTTGCTTCAATTTTATTTAGTTCTGCTCTGATCTTCGTTATTTGTTTCTTTCTGCTGGGTTTGGGTTTGGTTTGTTCTTGTTTCTCTAGCTCCTTGAGGTGTGACCTTAGATTGTCTATTTGTGCTCTTTCAGATTTTTTGATATAGGCATTTAATGCTATAAACTTTCTTCTTAGCACTGCCTTTGCTGTATCCCGGAGGTTTTGATAGGTTGTGTCACTATTATTGTTCAGTTCAAATAATTTTTAAATTTTCATTTTTATTTCATTGTTGACCCAATGATCATTCAAAAGCAGGTTATTTAATTTCCATGTATTTGCATGGTTTTGAAAGTTCCTTTTGAAGTTGATTTTTAATTTTATTCCACTGTGGTTTGAGAGAGTACTTGCTATAATTTCAATTTTCTTAAATTTGTTGAGACTTGTTTTTTGGCCTATCATATGGTCTATCTTGGAGAATGTTCCTGGTGCTGATGAATAGAATGTATATTCTGCAGTTGTTGGGTAGAATATTCTATAAATATTTGTTAAGTCCATTTGTTCTAGGGTATAGTTTAAGTCCATTGTTTCTTTGTTGACTTTTTGTTTTGATGACCTGTCTAGTGCTGTCAGTGGACTATTGAAGTCCTCCACTATTATTGTGTTGCTGTCTATCTCATTTCTTAGGTCTAGCAGTCATTGTTTTACAAATTTGGGAGCTCCAGTGTTAGGTGCATATATATTTAGGATTGTGATTTTTCCTGTTGGACTAGTCTTTTTATCATTATATAGTGTCTTTTTCTTTTTTTTGTGAGACAGGGTCTCACTCTGGTTGCCCAGGTTTAGAGTGCAGTGACACAATCTTGGCTCACGGTAGCCTTGACCTCCCAGCCTCAAGTTATTTTTCCACTTCAGCCTCCTGAGTAGCTGGGACTGCAGGTGCACGCCACCACACCCAGCTAATTTTTTTTTTTTTTTTTGTATTTTTAGGAGAGGTGGGGTTTTGCTCTGTTGTCCAAGCTGGTCTCGAAATCCTGGACTCAAGCAATCCACCCACCGTGGCCTCCCAGAGTGCTGGGATTATAGGCATGAGCCACTGCACCTAGCCTTCTTTGTCTTTTTTTTGACTGCTGTTGCTTTAAAGTTTGTTTTGTCTGATATAAGAATAGCTACTCCTGGTCGCTTTTGGTGTTCATTTGCATGGAATATCTTTTTCCATCCCTTTACCCTAAGTTTATGTGAGTCCTTATGTGTCAGGTGAGCCTCTTGAAGACAGCAGATACTTGGTTGGTGAATTCTTATCCATTCTGCCATTTTGTATCTTTTAAGTGGAGCATTTAGGCCATTTACATTCAATGTAAGTATTGAGATGTGAAGTCCTATTCTAGTCATCATGCTATTTGTTGCCTGAATACCTTGGTTTTGTTTTGTTTTGTTTTTTTGTTTTTTTATTGTGTTGTTATTTTATAAGTCCTGTGAGATTAATGCTTTAAGGAGATTCTATTTTGGTGTATTTTGGGGATTTGTTTCAAGATTTAGAGCTCTTTTTAGCAGTTCTTGTAGTGCTGGCTTGGTAGTGGTGAATTCTCAGCATTTGTTTGTCTGAAAAAGACTGTATCTTTCCTCCATTTATGAAGCTTAGTTTCACTGGACCCAAAATTCTTGGCTGATAATTGTTTTGTTTAAGGAGGCTAAAGATGGGACCCAACCCCTTCTAGCTTGCAGGGTTTCTGCTGAGAAATCTGCTGTTAATCTAATACTTTTTCCTTTATAGGTTTACCTGATGCTTTTGCCTCACAGCTCTTAAGATTTTTTTCTTCATCTTGACTTTAGATAACCTGATGACTATGTGCTTAAGTGATGATCTTTTTGCGAAGAATTTCCCAGGTGTCCTTTGAGCTTCTTGTATTTGGATGTTTAGATTTCTAGCAAGGCTGGAAAAGTTTTCCTCAATTATTCCTTCAAATATATTTCCAAACTTTTAGATTTCTCTTCTTCCTTAGGAACACCAATTATTCTTAGGTTTGGTTGTTTAATAGAATCCCACACTTCTTGGAGGCTTTGTTCATTTTTATTATTATTATTCTTTTGTCTTTGTCTTTGTCAGATTGGGTTAATTTGAAAGCCTTGTCTTCAAGCTCTGAGGTTCTTTCTTCTACTTGTTGGATTCTATTGCTGACTTTCCAGTGCATTTTGCAATTTTCTAGGTGTGTCCTTCATTTCCAGAAGTTGTGATTGTTTTTTATTTCTGCTATCTATTTCACTGGGGATTTTTCCATTCATATCCTGTGTCATTTTTTTTTTCTTTAAGTTGTATTTCTCCTTTCTCCAGTGCCTCCTTGATTGGCTTAATATTTGACCTTCTTAATTCCTTTTCTGGCAATTCAGAGATTTCATCTTGTTTTGGATCCACTGTTGGTGAGCTACAGTGATCTTTTGGGGGTACTAAAGAACTTTGTTTTGTCATATTACCAGAATTGCTTTTCTGGTTCCTTCTCATTTGGGTAGACTATGTCAGAGGGAAGATCTGGAACTCAAGGGCTGCTGTTCAGATTTTTTTGTCTCACAGGGGTGTTCCCTTGATGTGGTGCTCTCCCCTTTCCCCTAAGGATGGGACTTCCTGAGATCTAAACTGCAGTGATTTTTATTTCTCTTCTGAGTCTAGCCACCCAGCGGAGCTCTGGTCTCTGGGCTGGTACTGGGAAGTGTCTGCAGAGAGTCCTGTGATGTGATCTGTCTTCAGGTCTCTCAGCCGTGGATATAAGTACCTGCTCTGGTGGAGGTAGCAGGGGAGTAAAGTGGACTCTGTGAAAGCCCTTGGTTGTATTTGCGTTGTGTGTTGGTTTTGTGTTGGTTGGCCTCTAGCCAGGAGGTGGCGCTTTCAAGAGTGCATCAGCTGCAGTTGTATAGGGAGGATACAAGCTTGTCCTAGGGTGGCCTTTGGATAAGTATTCAGGTATCTCAGGTGGTGGGCAGAGCCATAGAGCTCTCAAAGGATTATGTCCTTTGTCTTCAGAGTTCCTTGGCTGTCCCACAGAGCCTGCAATGGCAATCCACCTCCTTAAAAGGGTCTGTGGTATTCTCTCGGCTTTCCTGGTATGCTCCTGCAGTAGTTCTTGGAGCAAAAGTTCATGATGTGGGTCTCCACACACTGCTCTGCCCATCTGAGAGGAAGCTGCAAATTAGTCTTGCCTCCTAGCCACCATTTTCCACCTACCCAGCCCGTATCTTTTAATCTCATTGTAGTTTTGATTTGCATTTCTCGGATGATCAATGATGTTGAACAACTGTTCATATGCCTGTTTGCCATTTACATGTCTTCTTTTGAGAAATGTCTTTTCAAATCTTTTGCCCATTTTTAAAATTGGATTATTAGACTTTTTCCTATAGAGTTGTTTGAGCTCCTTATATATTCTGGTTATCAATCCCTTGTCAGATGGGTAGTTTGTAGTGATCTACTTTTGAATGTTATATCTTCTTACATGGATTGGTAAATAAGGGTAACACTTTATTTTTTTAATAGCAAGAGAAAAAATCATGACTAAATACTAACTGAAGATCCTTTCATGAGCCACTAGTCCCCAATACTCATGGTTGTTGAAAAGTTTTTCCTGATTTGAAATCCTATAGTGGTCCTGATCGCATTCAGGATAAAATGTGAATATTTTGTATGGCATATAATGTCCTGGATTATCAAGTCCCTGCCTGTCCTTCCCCATTTCCTCCTTACACTCCTTACGTTCCAGTACTTGTTCCTGTTGTCTGGTATCTTTTGTTCTGCTGCTTTTCTTCATGAACTCTTTCATCTTTCAAGACTAATCTCACCTGTAAATTTTGATGATCTTGGTTTTGAGTTGTCTACTGAATTGTTTGTTTCTCTTTTCATTCATCTTTTAAATAAATTATTTTTCAATTTTCAAGAGGCAAGATGCTTTTGATTTGTTTGAACTTCACTACTGCTTTCTAGTTGCTAAACTTATATTCTAATAAAGATGACATTCCTGTGATCAATCTCATTGTTTTTAATTTTGATACTTCCTACATAATGAGAATCATTTTAAAAGCATTATTATAAATTATGCATTTATTAAAATTATAATTTAGAGTAATAATTTCAGGCCAAAAAACCCAAAAGTCATTCTTGACTCTTTTTTTTCCTCTCACACTTTGCATACTGGATACTCAGAATTCTGCTGTTCTCGCTTTCAAAATATATCCAGAATCTAACCGCTTATGTTACCTCCACCTGAGTCCAATCCTACATCAGGCCAGACCCTTGTGGTAGCATCCCAATAGGGCTCTCTGCTTTTGGTTTTGATAGTCAGGCTCTTCTTCATAAAACATCCATGAATTAGTTGGATGGCAAGTCATCCCTGGACTCCAAATCTTCAGTAGTCTCTCTTCTCATTCTCCATCAAAGCTCAAGCCCCTAAAATGCCACCAAGGCCACAATCACCCACTGTTCTGCCCCCAACTCCCTATAGTGGCGTCAACCCCCACAGGAGGTGAGCTCCTGCCTGATTCTCCCAGTCTGTAATGATTTCTCTGATATTCCTAAGGATCTCTCCTTCACCTCCTTCAGGTCTTTACTCAGTGCCTACCTTCTCACTGAAGACTTTTCTGAGCATTCTTCTTAAAATTGCAAACTCAGCCCCCAAACAAATATGGAACTGCTCTCAGCCCCTTTCCTGGCTTATTTTTCCTCATTTAGCTTATTGCTGTCTTTCATGCTTAACATTGTACTCAATCATTTTCTTATCGCTGGGTGCCCCACTTTGGAACATATGCCTCGCAAGGGCAAGGTTTGTTTTTTTTTTTATTTTCTCTTCTGTTCACCACTGTATCTCCTGAGATGAAATAGTGCCTGGTAATGTTATAGGCACTCAAAATATTTGTTCAATAAAGGAGTAAAAAAATAAATGAAAGAAATGAATTCAGTGATATGAAGACATTCTCATAATACAATAAGTCAAAAATTTGGATTTAAAATTTTTTTTATTTTTTTGGTTATTGAAGTACTTTTGATTTTTATTGAAGTGTGTATAGTTTTTTGCAAATCAACTAAGGAACCTTTAGTTAAGAAAGATTACTTCATGCACTAAGAAGAGGCATCACTGCGTTAAACATTTTATTAGCGTGACTGTCTTTGGATAACCTACATTAAAGGTTTGATGATAAAATATTATTTCTAGTACAAGCCTAATTCTGCTTACTGGTAAAAGACGTAAATCTGGGAAGAGGTTAGAAGGAATAAAGTTAATAATTATTATCTTGATATGGTACATTCTTTTGTATTTTGTGTATTTTCAGAATTTTCTATAATGAGCATTGTAACTCCACAATCAAGAAAAAAATCAATTTTTTTTAAAGAAAATGATGATAGTATAAACATAATTCCAAACAAATTCTTCTTATCTTCATGACACCAGATAGTGGACTGGGCTCTCTTAACATCTCTTTCTTTCTTCCATCCCTCACTCCTTCCTTCTATCCCTTTTTCTTCCCTCGTCTGCTCTAACACTGTGAGTAATTTGGCCAAAAAACACAAATCACTGGTTCTGTTGATGCTACAGGGTCCATGCACTAAGGGAGTCATTTTTTAGGTTTTCAGGGAATTGCGAATTCCCTTGTAAAAGTCATTTGAATGCTTTTTTTTGGAAGATCAGTTTTATTCCCACTGTATATTATGAATTAATTTTAGTTATGTGCTAAAATAGTATTAAATGGCTGCTTGCTCATTCTTGAAAAAATTAGTTTGAATTTTGATATTAGTTCTTAGAATTATCTGATTTTAACAAGTATTTTATTCATATTGTATTCTCCAAATGCCCTGTAAGATGTGACTATGTAAGGTGCTCAACATAGCTTATAATCTTTTCCTCTCTCTACTGGTTCTGTTCCTAGAGTCACAGAAAAACCAACCAAACAAACAAAAAAAACCAGTAACCTAGCATTTGGCCTTTTTATATTTAAAAAACTCACAAATAATTTTGATTGAAAGGGTTTTAAAAATGGGTGTGTACTGTTATTGTTGATGTAGCATTAGCTGTCAGATATGGAGACAGGTTTAATTTTAGATCGTTGATTCACAACTGCAGGTTATCTTGCCCCGAAGGGACATTTGGCAATGTCCAGAGAAATTTCTGTTGTCACAACCAGGGAACAAGATTGCTACTGGCATCTAGTGGGTAGAGGCCAGGGATGCTGCTGAACAGCCTGCAGTGCACAGAATATCCCACAACACAGAATTCTTGGGCCCAAAATGTCAGTGGTGCTGAGGTGGGGAAACCTTGTAATCCACATGGAAAGTAGGTGAATGCAAGCATGGAAAAGGCTGGCCACTCAAAAAATGCCAACCAGAGAGGTCCTAGTCTTAGACCATTTTCTGAGCCAATGATCTCTTCCTTGCTTTAGTTTGTTTGCTTTTTTGTTTAAAGGTAGGAGAAAGTTTGTAGTCACATCCCAGTTGGGCGCTATAGCTGAATAAATACTTTGTCATCTGAGAGTTCAGTTTGGCTAGCTGAGTTATCCATCACGTTACAATATCACCTCACACGTGGATTGCTCTAGAGTGCCTGAGCAATGCTGGAGGTTAGGAAAAGCTGCTGGTGACCTGAGCAAATACCTAGAGAAAGAAAACTCAATCAAGCCAGCTGTTTAGGCCTGAGGAAGGTTTTGCTCCGCACAGTTTCTTTCTGAGACAAATGAAGATAGGTGTTGAAGGCATTTTAAGGAAGGAAAGTGGGGAAGAGTAACATGGGCATGCAGTGCAGCCCCAAAAGGCAGAGGCTGGACCTCTCTCTGCCTCATTGTTCCCATCCTTCCAGGCTTTCTCCATCTCTTTCTGTTTCCACTCCTCTTATCCCCACCAGCCCCATCATGGTGTTTAAAAAGTTGTGATTATAAGGATACAATAAGTTTTAAAGATCAGTTAAAATAGTTATTAAATGACAAACATTCTTTGTTTTTGCCTTTTCATTCATTTTTCAAACACTGTGTTTATTTTCATGGTTTATTGGAAAACAACAAGGTTTTACAAATTTGCAAGCTTACTTTCCAAATCAAAGTTACCTTTTAGAAGTCTAAATATCCCAGGCTGCCCCAGCCTGTGGAGAAGCATGTGGTCACATTTACAGTAATATCCAAATGTGCTCACATTTACAGTAATATCCAAATCTTTTCTGCTGTTCCTAGATCTTACACCTTCTTCAAAAGCTCTCCTAGTTATATGCCCTAGTTCCTGGGGCAGTGTTTTACACATGTCAAGGGACAAAGCTGACCCTATTGGCTCTGGCTTCATCATGGCTATCTGTTCCCATCATGGCCACTCTGGACTTTATGTGTTCTGTGGCTTCTCAGCTGGGCTGCTGCTGCTGGGTTCCAGTGTTGAAGTAAAATGAATGCCTTTTCCACCTCTCTCCATCGAACTTGGCTCAGAGACAGCCCAGTCTTTCATCAACACAACTCTTTTGTCTTTTGTGCCCAATGCCCCTCTCTAGTGAGGCTCGAAAGCAGCCCATTTGGCCAGGTATGTGTTTGGATAGGAGAGTACAGAAAGAAAGGAACAGGAGAAAAACATCTCTTTATCTTTCCACTGACATTTTTCACCTCTTCCAGGGGTCACTCTATCATACATAGATTACCACCTTAGGAAAAAAAAATGAAGAAGAAGAAGAAAAATCAAGCACTGCTCCCAAAGCATATGAACCCATGAAAAGAGATACTTGGCAGACGGACATCAGTCATCTAAATATTCTTACTAATAGGATGGCCACACTAAAAAACTCCTGGGGGCTACAATTTACATTGTAGTTTATGCAAATGGAATCCCTGGAATTTTGGAGCGCACAGCCCCAGTGATCGTAAGCTGTGGACTTGTTTACTAAATCATCTAAATTCCAGTATGGATCCAGTTGATAAACCAGTAAAATATCATTCCTAGATACAGACCTCAAATGGTGAAGAATTTGTTATACCAAAATTCAAGACAAAATCATACACAAATATTGGCCAGAGCTTTATTGCAAGTTTTTGTTGTTGTTGTTGTTTGTTTTTTTGTTTGTTTGTTTGTTTTTTTGAGACAGAGTTTCACTCTTGTTGCCCAGGCTAGAGTGCAATGGCGTGATCTCGGCTCACCGCAACCTCCGCCTCCCAGATTCAAGCAATTCTCCTGCCTCAGCCTCCCGAGTAGCTGGGATTACAGGCATGCACCACCACACCCGGCTAATTTTGTATTTTTAGTAGAGATGGGGTTTCTCCATGTCGAGGCTGTTCTTGAACTCTTGACCTCAGGTGATCCACCTGACTTGGCCTCCCAAAGTAATGGGATTACAGGCGTGAGCCACTGCGCCCGGCCATGCAAGTTCTTACTTTAATATCTGTTGAATATTATCCTAAGATTGACTTCTAGGAATATATATCCTGATTGGATTTTGTGACACCTTGACTATAACTTAACTATAATCCTAACAGGTTTGTTGAATAGCTCCAGTATATCTCTAGTTTTTATGCTTTATCTTCTGAAGAATTATTCTTCTCAGAGTTAATACTTTGAAGCACAGAATATGTGGTTCTGATATCATCTTTCTGGACAACTGCATAATCTGTTGACAAGCATTAGCTTGGTTCCCCCTTCTTAAGCCCCAAGATTAAACTGAGTCTGGGGCTTGGCAGTGTAACATTTGCTTTGCCTACATTTCAGTTGAAGTTGACAAATTGAAATTGAAATAACATGCCAGGAGACTGTTGATAAGTGTCATATTTCTGGCTCAGTCTTCAATTTAAGGCCTATACCATGATAGAAGTGCAAATTTAAGAGTGGGAAAAGAATAAATTTAGACTCACCACAAGAATGTCAATCAGCTAGATATCTTGACAGATTGACTGTTATCTTGAATGAAAGCATAGTTGATGGATATTCTAACATTGGATTGAGTTCCCTAACCACAGTCTAATCTCATTTTAGGCCCTAAATGTCTTCCTGAAATTTGTTGTGTCAAAAAATATATTTGTAGTCTGGATTATATTTTATTACTGACTTAAGCATACATACACAAAACAATTTATCCCCAAAATGTAAGAAGAAAAATCCACAGAGACAGCTCGGTATTCCAATGAAGAATATTTTTCCTTTAGCTGGTAGAGGGGTATGTCCATCTCTCAAACTGATAATCCAGTGTATAGCAGCTCACACAGTACATGTGTTGGCCTTTAAAAGTATTCATGTATTGCAAGTTTGCCACAGTTTTCACTTCTTTATTACTGGCTGTCATTACTCACTTTAAAAAAAAATTTAGATTCAGTAGGTACATGTGCATATCCATTGCCCAAATATTGAACATTGTACCCCATAGGCAGTTTTTCAATCCTCACTCTCCCAACCCTCTCCCATTTTGTAGTCTCCATTGTTTATTACTTCCATTTTTATAAACTTGTGTACCCATTGATTAGCTGTCACTTATAAGTGAGAACATGTGATATTTGACTTTCTCTTTCTAAGTTATCTCACTTAGGATTATGGCCTTCAGCTCCATCCATGTTGCTGCAAAGGACATGATTTCATTCTTTTTTATGGATGGATAGTATTCCATGGCGTATAACATATATATCACATTTTCTTTATCACTCACTTTAAAGTCTGTGGAACATGTAAAATATCACACTGAAAAAGTGACTATGCCGCTTTTTCTAATAAGGGTGACCACACAAACTAACAAAAGCCTTCTAGAGATTTTATTTTTTATTTCACTTAATAGTAATAGGCTAAACCTTTACTTTCAGGTCCTTAATCCCACCTATGATCTGTCTCATGAGGATCTTCATATATTTTCTTCTCTCTGCTTGAAACATTCCTTACCTCATCCCCACCCCATCACCCCATTAGTTGCTGGCCTAACTTTCCCTGAGAAGTCTTTTTTGATTCTTCATCACTGGATTAGAAACCCCTCTTATGATTCCAAAACATCCTGGATTAATCCCTTTTGTAGTGCCTTTGATGCTAATTTGTAAGAGTTTATTTCCTTTCTGTCTCCCCAATATATTTCAAGTTTCTTGAGGGTGGGGGCATTAAATCTCCCTCATTCACTGTTGTCTGCCCAACCCTAGCCTCATGTTGGGTGCATACAAGTCCCTCAATAAATATTTATTGAATGAAGACTTAAATAATGCATTGGCCAGCTATCCATACCTATTTCTTATACCTAATGCTGAACTGCCAATTGAAAACACACCTCTTACTTCCATTTTTCTCATCAAGTGACTATTTGAGACATTTATCAGAGACGCAGGAAGATGTCTTTCAGTTTGCCTTATGTTAGTATGGCAATGGTCCTCCAAAAGCATGCTTTATTCAAAACAACACATACTCATATTGGATGACTCTCTTGATCCTGAACCTACAAGTGGAAACTGTACTCAGGTTATGTGCAGACCAATATAAGCATCTACTTGAATTTTGTGAAAACCGTAGATCTGATAATAGAGACACTTGAAGCCTTTTATAAATAGAAAACATGTTAATAAGTGTATACTTACTAAAATTTTCTCTTTCCATTTTATTGAATATATGGCTGAAGTATGACTAATTTAATCTCTGGTAGTAAGCAAATGAATCATTTTGGCCGTGACAGAGCACTAATAGTCTTACCATCTTGGCTAATTTTTGGTATTCTGAGTTCTTAATTGTATAATAAAATCATTACACTGTGACTCAACCATTTAAACTGAAAAAAATTAAACCAACATTCTTAGAGTAATTCTATTAAAGAATGAAAAATGGCTTGCTATTAGTTAGAAAAGATCTGGCTTTAAGGAATGAATAGAGAAAAAGAAATCCTTTTAGGATCCTATTCAATATTTTCAGAAACAAGATACATTTCCTTTCAACATGTTGGAATAAAAATGGAGTTCTTTCTAAAATCATGACAAGTTTTATCTACGGGTATGAAATTTTAAATAGGAAGAGTAATAGCAAGGGATGCGCCTTTATCCAGTAACACAGAGATAAATGATTTTGCTAAGCGTATGGAGATGTAGAAAATGAATCATTGTTGAAAATGCTTAGGTTTGCAACTCAGGAAGACTAAGGACAGTAGTTCTCAGACTTTTTGTCATAGAGGGCATATTTTTATAGTAAAAAATCCATGGACTCTTCCCTAATGATGGTTAATAGTATTTCTAATGTCTGTTAATTAATCACAATAAAAAGGTGAATATGATGTCAAACACTACTTGAAAATAATGTGTTTAATTAATAACAAAGTGTCTTTAACACATTTGAAAAATAATGGTTCAAAATTGTTTGAGATCTTATTTAGATGTTCAACATAAAATGTTTCATGTGCAGGTGGATGTATGGACCCTTTGCAATAATTTCTAACTTTTGGAGTCTGTGATTGTAGGCTGGAAACCACAGTTGGGACTTATAAAAAGTTATCTCATTTTTATGAAAGTTACTTCTAATATACATGATAGGACACATTAGTCATTCCTTAAGTCTTCCTTTCTATTGCACAAATATATGAGATTGTTTATAATCATCTTTAACTCTTTTTCCCTAATGTTTCAGAAGTTTAGTTGTTCACCTTTATTAGACATTTAACGAGCTTTTTTCTTAATGGGACAATTCACTGAAGACATGTCTTGGCTAGACTGCAGACTCTCAGGCATAGTTGGATATGCCGTAAACAGGGATAACTTACCTCTGTTTTTGCATTCATCATCTTCATTGTAATCATTTCCTAATTCATTGAATTTAAGAGGCTTTTGATTGTAGGAGATTATTTTGTGGAACACTTACAAAGAAAAACGTTTCCAATTAAACTCTGACACAATGCTTTTGATATCATTTGATTTTTAAATTTTATGCTTATTAAAAGAGATGTTTTAGATTTATTTAGACATAGATTTTCATTATATATCACCATTGTGCATTCATAAAACGAAAAATATACATTAACTCAATTGGTTTAGGTATTGCTAAAACCTTTTTCCATTCAAGGTCCAGCTTTTCTACATTAGTTGCTTTTCAAAAGCATCTATGTCCATCTTCCCTGACATGGTATTGTCCCATCACTGGCGTTGGTGCTGAAGCATTGCTTTAAAGTATGCTATACTAGT
Source organism: Homo sapiens (assembly GCF_000001405.40). Classification (NCBI taxonomy): domain Eukaryota; kingdom Metazoa; phylum Chordata; class Mammalia; order Primates; family Hominidae; genus Homo; species Homo sapiens. The sequence continues at coordinate 16,288,363 of NC_000023.11, forward strand.
GTCTGGATTTTATCCCAAGCCCCTGGCATCCATTCTGCCACCTGAAGGTACTGAAAAAACATTTTCAGACAACTGTGATTCATCTTCCTTCCTCAGATTGTTCTTAAATGATTTGTTGACTGACATGACAAAAAGTTGCTGTGGCCCAGTCATGCCCCTAGGAATAAACTGTGTTCCGTAATTTATAGGCAACCATTTTTAGACAGCTTTTAAAATGGCTCCCAAGGATCTTTACCTCCTGGTATTCACACCCTTGTATAATCCTCTTCCCTTGAGTATGGGTTGAACCTAGTGACTTGCTTCTAATGAATAGAATTTTGCAAAAGTGATGCGTGACACTAATGAGATTAAGTTACAAAATACTGTGACTTCTTTTTGTCTATCTGACTTTCTCTGTCTCTCTTTCTCTCTCTCTCCCATCCCTCTTCCTCCCTCTTTCCCTCTCTCCCCCTCTTGTTTCTTCACTCTAATAAACCCAGCTGTCATGTCATAAGCTACCCTACAGAGAGATCACTAGGCAAGGAACTAAGGGAGATCTCTGGCAACCAAGGCCTCACTCTAATAGGCCATGAGAAATTGAATTCAGCCAACAACCACTTGACCCACTTGACTGAGCTTGGAAGCAGATCCATCCCCAGTTGAACTTTAAGATAATCACAACCTCAGAAAACACCTTGATTGCAGCCTGTGAGAGTTCTTGAGCCAGAGGACCCAGCTAATCCATGCTTGAACTCCTGAGCTACAAAAACTTTCATGTGATAAATGTCTTCAGCCACCAAGTCGTGGGGTAATTTGTTATGCAGCTATAGATAACGAATGCAGGCAATAGCAACTACATCATGAATGTCATCTGGCTGATAGCAGTTATAAATTGTCATTGATTGCAAGATGCATCTCAATTTTAGTGATGATAAATGTGGATAATCTGTATTTTAGAATAAATGGAGAAGTTGAGTAGTTTACTTGTCTGTTGTCCCCATTAGCATGATAACTCCTTAAATGAAAGAACTGTGTTTTATTCAGCTCTGAGTGTCCATGGTGCTCAACGCATAAGAAATGCTTTATAGATGTTTTCTATTTACCACTGGACAAAGACCGAGCTAGAGGCAAATCTTGAGAATAAGAATTTGCTCGTTGTCACGGTTTAGCTGGGTATGACTCATACCTTAAATGTTCCTTTTAAAAGTTCCAGTCTATGCTCTTTTTAATATAACAATGCCACTCATTTCATTTGTTCTTCTGGTACTGAGTGTATTAGTCCATTTTCATGCTGCTGATAAAGACATGACCAAGACTGGGCAATTTACAAAAGAAAAGGTTTAATGGACTCACAGTTCCACGTGGCTGGGGAGGCCTCACAATCATGGCAGAAGGTGAATGGCACCTCTCACATGGCGACAGACAAGAGAAGAGAGCCTGTGCAGGGAAGCTCCCCTTTATAAAACCGTCAGATATTGTGAGACTTATTCACTATCATGAGAATAGCATGGGAAAGACCCGCCCCCATGATTCAATTACCTTCCACCAGTTTCTTCCCACAACACATGGGAATTGTTAGAACTACAATTCAAGATGAGATTTGAGTGGGGACATAGCCAAACCATATCACTGAGGTTTAGAAATACCCTCGTGGATGTTGAGGACATCAATTGAATTTGGACTTTATGAATAATATTTCTAATTTAAGAATTACATGATATCCTTTCATAATTTTGATTAAAATCCTATAAGAACATGTAGAAGATTGCTAGCAAAGGAGTATTCTATACCTTAGTTTTTTTGGAAGGTGGAAGAATAATATTTTAATTTATAAGTGGAGAAAATTAATTCCATACTTAGAAATTCAGATTGTTCAGACTAATCTAAGACAACAAACTGATTTCTGTGTGCAGAGAAAGCCAACATTTTAGTGTGTGGCAAAAGGCACCTAGTAACTTAAAAAGTAGGTGTTAAACTTGGAGCTTGTGTTGATTCATCTATGGACAAATATAGGTAGCATGCTTTTTGCCCCGTTATTTAATAATTGCATGGATGTTTATTTCCCTCATTAAATTCTAGGCTCTTGAAGACAAGGACTATGTGATACCACTTATTACAATGGCAACAAGAAACCTTTTTGAGCATTTATGATGTGTTAGGCACCGTGCTAATCTCTTTACATGTCTGACCTTATTTATTCTTTAAAACCAAACCATGAGGCAAATAATACTTTCAGTTTTATAGATTAAATAAGTGAAGCTTAGAGAGGTTAGATAACTTGTTAATATCCTTCAGCTATCAAGTGGTAAAGTCAGGATTTGAACCTAGTGCCATATTTGCAAAGTCCATCGTCTCAGCTACTGAGCTTTATTCGTTCCCTCTTAGTTGCAAGGCAACTAGCATGTGCTTAATAGATATTTGCTGAGTCAAAGTCATTAATATATATCCGTTAGATTCCCACTATCTACATATTAGGTGTTGAGTTAGCTAATTGCTTAAGTGAAGGAACTTTTTAAAATTTTAAGATGGGAGTATTAGTACTGAACTTACATCCTTTATATAGCAAGTTCTACAGGGAAATAAGCAATCCCATTCTAAAGAAATGCGATAAATTCGTGTGAAAAATAAAATATATATTTTTTGCTATTATAGTACCTTGAAATTACCACATTAATTATAAATTTCTTTATTAAATATGTTTCCCCTTTTCTCTTTGTTTTTCAAATTAACTTATTGAGGCTATATCACTATGTCTGGTTTTAGTTTTGAGATACAGATATGCTTTTGAGGAATGATAACAATGAAATTCATCTGAGAATGCTGTCAACAAACTGATAACCTATTTCTCTGGTGGATGTTATAATGATGCAATAGTTTCAGATCTTGAATATAGGACTTTGTAACAAATGATCCTTTAGGGGCCTTATTATCCTACTTAATTAGAGATGAGCAAGATAATTTATCTATTTCTATTTAAAATTTTTCATCAAAGTAGACGAAAAATGTCATGAGTGATATTTTTCTTTGTAAAATAAATGGCTTTGTTGAATTACTTAGAAACATTGTTGCAAATAATTAGCAACTGAAACTATGTTGTACTCTTTCTTTTTTTTTTTTTTTTTTTTTTTTTTTGAGATGGAGTCTTGCTCTGTCGCCCAGGCTGGAGTGCAGTGGCGCAATCTCCGCTCACTGCAAGCTCCGGCTCCCGGGTTCACGCCATTCTCCTGCCTCAGCCTTATGTTGTACTATTTCTATGTTCTCAAAAAATATATACTTACTAGAGAAGACCCTCAGCTTCCCAGCAGGGCAAGTTCTAGAGGTTCTGCTGATAGATCCCAAGAGGCCCTTTTAAGATGCAGAGGAAGGAGACAAGGGCAAGTGATTCTGTGACAGAGTAAAAGGCCGACTGTTCCTCCAAGGAGGATGATAATACTAATTCATCCACCTTGTTCTTTTCCCTCATTGTTCCCTTCCTCCTTCTCCCAAGGTTGGAGGGATGGGAGAAGGGTCGAAGGAAGGGACACTGGGCTGAAATGTAGGAGCCTAGACTTTCTTGGGCCAGACATCTGAGGACTGAAGGCTGTTTTCTTCCTTCCAGTCTTTCCATCCTTTCATTTTTCCATCATTTCAGTAATTTATTCATTGAAAAAATATTCACTGAATGCCCAACTTATGCTAGAAACTATGATAGGTATATTGGCTACAGTGAGCAATATAAAACATGTTCCACCATGAACAAATTATTTCTTGAAATACTTCAATGGGGGAAATTCAGTTTGCAAAGTGTTACTTACTTTATGCAGTATGTACCTCACATTTTGTGAAGAACCCAGAAAACAAAAAGTAAAACAAATAAAGGTGGTTCCACATTTTGCTTGTTATATGTATAAAACAGAGTAATGCATCAAGAATAACCATGAGGTGTGGCAAGAGCTGCAATTACAGGGTGAACAAGATCAGGGAAACGTCTTTGTGGTGATGTTTGAACTAAGACTGAAGAATGAGAATGAGTTAACCATGCAAAGAACTAGGAAAAAAGCATTCTAGGAAGAGAGAGCAGGCAATGAAGGGCCTTAAAAGGGGGAACAGATTGGTGTGTGTGAGGTCAGTGTAGTTGGAATCTGTTTACAGAGCAATTGTGGAACGAAATGGGATTGGAGATTGAGGCAGGAGTAAGACGAAGGAGGCCATGTTAGGAAAGAAGTTCACACTTCTAAGTGCATTAGTGAGTCACTGAAGAAAGTGAGCAAAGGAGGTGATTTGACCTGATGTACATTTTTTAGAACCCTGTCACTATTGTGTGAATAAAGGGTTGGAAAGGGAAAAGGAAGGAAGACGTCAAGCCACTCAGGAGACTATTGCAGTAATCCAGGGGGCAGACAATGGTATAGACTAAGGCTTAGTCAATGAGATGGCCTTGAGACATATTTGGAGACAGAACCAATAGGAAATACCAGTGAATTGGATGTTTGTGTCTTGAGTACCTGAGTGGATGGTGGGGCCATTAACTAAGATGAGGAAGACTAGGAGAGAGGTAGAATTGAGGAAGAAAATCAATGGGTTCCATTTTGGACATGTTAAGTTTGAGGTACTTTTCAGATATGCATGTAAGGATATCAGGTGGGCATTTAGAACAGGAGTTAGGATTTATGATGAGAATCTGGAACTAAACACAAACTTTTGAGGGGCATTGGCATACAGATGGCATTTAAAACCAGGGTCTTGGATGAGCATAACTAAGGAAAGAGTAGAAGGAGAAGGAAAGAAGCCCCAGGAGTGAACCATGAGATATCCCAATATTTGGGCTAGAGAAGGAGCTAGCAAAGGAGACTGAGAAGGGGAAGCTACTAACATAGAAGGAAAACCAGGACAGTAAGCATGATGGAAACCAAGATAAAAGTATGCATCAATAACTTAAAAATGGCATACTAAAAATGTCTAAAGATACTGCAGAGAGAGTTTTCCATCACCTGTTGACTACTGCTAGGGCTCTGGGCAAAATGATTGATCTGTTTCTTAGTCTCCATTTCCTCTCATCTTTCTCTGACATTCTGGCCTCAAATTCAAAGTAGTTTCTCTGGGTTGTGAAGCAGGTTGTAAAATTTCTTCTATTTCCTTCTACCCCAACCCAAGTTCCAGTTCGTTGGAGACTATTTTAGCTGGATGTGGGTCCAGTGAAAACATCATAGTGTGAGTGGCCAGTAGGTCCAAACTTCTTAAACTGTGTTTGCCATCCTGCTGAATGGGGCCTGAATAAGCAAAGACCATTGCTGAGGGAGGCAATGTAAGCTACCACTGCAGCGTCTTCAAGACAAAAATACTGAATATTTTTGCATGTGTATTTATTTTACCAAAATAAAAATTTTATTAATTGTATTCTTCTTCAAATATTTATTTTGCAAGAAGTAAATATGAATCTTCATTTTATTTATATGTTCCAAAAATAGGTTCTGTTTAATTAAATATTAATTAAATATTCTCACTGAGGATTATTTAATTATCATTTGTATTTTTGTAAGAAAAAGTAGAGATGTATTTTCCCCTTACAATTGTGATAATCAAATGAGTAAGCTTTGTGTTTTAACAGTAATAATATTTAAACTCTAATATTAGAACTTTTTTTCATTGTGATGGAAGTATGAGGCCAGGGTACCAATGGTTATATAGATATGTTAAAGATCTCTCCTTTCTTGATAGTTCTACCTGATCTGAAAGCTAGAATTTCAGAGGGGTGGCTTGAGGCTTACTGCTTGCAGATTAAGTACTTTTTTCCTGGTTAATTTAATTCAGTATTTAACGGCATTTTTTCCACCTAACGTTACTTTCTCTTGAGGCATTTCATTCAAAAAGCTCTGATCTTTTTAATAGTCTAAGTGTATTTGTTAGTTTTGGAAGCTGCCTTGCATTTTTAGAACATAATTATAAAAACACTTTTTTGACAACCAAGAGCCGAATTATCTTGCAAATACAGGTATTTGCAAGATATTATATTTTTTACTATTATCTTTTTTTGTTTAAAATGTTTTTTAAAATTTTGTGGGTAAATAGTAGGTGTATATATTTATGGGGTACATGAGATACTTTGATACAGGCATGCAGTGAGCAACAATCCCATCATGGAAAACGGGGTATCCATCTCCTCAAGCATTTGTTTTTTGTGTTGCAAACAATCCAATTATACTCTTTTAGTTATTTTTAAATATACAATTAAATTATTATTGACTATAATCATCCTGTTGTGCTATCAAATACTATTATCTTTATCTTGCCCCAGTAAAATGCATGGCATATTTCAAAATTTATTAAAGTAGAATGGTTTATATAATATTCAGTTATACTCACTTAAAACTGTTTTATTGATTATTTGTTACTATGGTTTGAATACGATTTGTCCTCTCCATGTCAATTCATGTTGAAATTTGATTGCTACTGTAGCACTGTTGGGAGATGAGGCCTAATGGGAGGTATTTGGGTCATAGGGGCACTGCCACCATGAATAGATTAATGCCATCGTGTGAGAGTGAATTCTTCCTCTCATGGGACTGGATTAGTTACCACAAGAGCAGATTGTTATAAAGAGAGGTTGCCTCTCATGGTTTGTCTTTTTTGCACACGCGCACTTCCTTTTCCACCACTTCTCCACCATGTTATGATGCACCACGAGGCTCTCATCATAAGCAGGCTAGATGCAGCTGCCTGACCTTCCAAGTCTCCAGAATTGTGAGACAAAATAAACCCCTTTTCTTTATAAATTACCCTGTCTCAGGTATTCTGTTATAGCAACAGAAAACTGGCTAAGACATTTGTCATATGCAAGAAAAACTGTGTGAGGCACCATGGGGAATGACAAAGATGCATGATAAACATCTATTTCCCTTACAAAGAGTTTAACCTAATCAATAGAAATGAGGCTCCAGTCCAGTTCTGCAAACTGTCATGCAGAGAAGTCACCTTGCACCTGGCTGTTAAACCTTTATCCCATCCTGAAATGTTTAGAGGATACTAGTCAAGTTCCTCACAGTGCACCATCCATCAGGGAAATGTGAGCATGTCCTTAGGGCCCCAGAAGCATATTTTATTCCCTAGTGCCTAGCATATAGTATGCATTCAATGAATATTGTTGAGTAAGTGAATAAATGAATGAATGCTGCAGAAACTAAATGGTTTAAAGTGGCTTCTAACTAATCCCAGGCAGTAATATATACTGGGAGAAATAGGCTCTTTATATACCTGTCTTCAGTGGTAGAAAATGCTTTCCATATGAGTCCTAGAGACATCTTGTTATACCTAATTGACTAGGTAGTTTTCATTATTTTAGGATTTTCTTTGGAAAGTGCTATGGTTTGAATGTGTCCCCTTCAAAATTCATGTGTTGGAAATTTAATCCCCAATGTAACACTGTTGGGAGGTGGGGCTTTTCAGGAACTATTTAGGTCATGAGGGCTCTGCCCTCAGGAATAGATTAATGCTGCTATAGAAAAGGCTTGCAGGAGTGGGTTTGTTCTCTCTTGTCCTTCTGCCTTCTGCTATGTGAGGACATCAAGAAAGCTGGCACAAGATTCCAGCACCTTGATCTTCCCAGCCTCCAGAACTGTGAGGAAATTAATTTCTATTTTTTACAAATTACTCAGTTTCAGGTATTCTGTTACAGCAGCACCAAATGGACTAAGACAGACAATGATGCTTTTCTGATATTTTAAAGTTGGTATCCGTAAGAATCATTCATGCAGATTCTCAGATCTCCATCTCCCCAGATTCACTTTCAGGGGTTTGAATTGTACAGAAGCATTCCAGGTGATTCTGATGCAGGTTCCTGTAGACCACATTTTTAGAAATACTATTATTGAGTACAGATAGGCATATTGATCTTTAGGATTTCACCAGACTTTATAACTAAAACTGTCTAAAAATACACACTATTGGCTTGAGAGTAATTTTAAAAATAGAAATTAAGATTTCAAAAGCACAAGTCATATATGCAAAGTGGCTTTGCAGTTATCAGAAAGTGTGATTAGCAGGGCTACTCTAATATGTGAGATCACCCAAGGTTACCATTGATTAATAAAGATTTAGGCAAGGCTGGAATCAATAGGTCAGTTGTAACGGCTATTCCAGTGTTGTTACTGAGTTACCATATGATTTATGGTTCCTAGATCAATAAAGATGAAGTGAGTCTTTAAATTTTTAGGCAAGTGTGTATGTGAAAAGAAGCTAAAACAGGACCAGCTTTGAAAAAAATCAAGAGAAGTGTTTATTCAAGGACAGTTTTTTTCCTAGAGTGATTTTATTGGATCAATGTGATACCACTGATCTCGACAGCAACAAATTATAACTCAAAAGTGAACTTGAAGCTTTTCAAGTTGTTCATGCAGGCATACCTGAGAAATATTGGAGATTCATTTGCAGACTACCACAATAAAGTGAATATCACAATAAAAGCCAATCACATGAATTTTTTTGGTTTCTCAGTGCATACAAAAGTCATTTTTACATAATACTGTAGTCTATTAAGTGTGCAGTAGCATTGTGTCTTAAAAAACAATGCAATACCTTAATTAAAATATTTTATTGCTAAAAAATGCTAGCAATCATCTTAGCCTTCAGCGAGTCATAATCTTTTTGACCAGCAAAAAGGAGAGTCTTCCCTTGATGTTGATGGCTATTGACTGATCAGGGTGGTGGTTGCTGAAAGTTGGGGTGACTGGCAATTTCTTAAAAAATAAGACAACGATGACTTTTGCCACATGAATTGAGTTTTCCTTTCACAAAAGATTTGTATGTTTCATTCAATGCTGTTTCACAGCATTTTACCCACAGTAGAACATCTTTCAAAATTGGAATCAATCCTTTCAAACCCTGCTGCTGCTTTATCAACTAAGTTTATGTAATATTCTAAGCCCTTTGTTGTCATTTCCACAGTCTTCACAGCATCTTCACCAGGAGTAGATTCCATCCCAAAAAAGTCACTTTCTTTGCTCATCCATAAGAAGCAACTCCTCATCTGTTCAAGTTTTAACATGAAATTGATAAAACAATCAATTACAATCCAATAACATCTTCAGGCTTCACTTCTAGTTCTTTTGCTATTTCCACCACATCTGCAGTGACTTCTCCCATCGAAGTCTTAAACCCCTCAATGTCATCCATGAGAACTGAAATCAGTTTCTTCCAAACTTCTGTTAATGTTGATATTTTGACCTCCTCCCATGAATCATGAATGTTCTTAATGGCATCAAGAATGGCGAATCCTCTCCAGTAGGTTTTCAATTTATTTTGCCCAGATCCATCAGAGGAATCCCTATTTATGGCAGTTATAGCCTTACAAAATGTATTTTTTAAATAATAAGACTTGAAAGTCAAAGTTATTCCTTGATCCATGGGATACAGAATGGATGTTGTGTTAGCAGGCATGAAAACAGCATTAATTTCCCTGTACATCTCCCTCAGGTCTCTTGGGGGACCAGGTGCATTATCAATGAGCAGTAATATTTTGAAAGGAATCTTCTTTTCTGAGCAGTAGGTCTCAAGAGTGGGCTTAAGATATTCAGTAAACCACGCTGTAAACAGATGTGCTGTCATCCAGACTTTGTTTTTCCATTTCTAGAGGATGGGCAGAGTTAATTTAGCATAATTCTTAAGGGCCTTAACAGTTTTGGAATGGTAAATGAGCATTGGCTTCAACTTAAAGTCACCAGCTGCATTAGCCCCTAACAAGAAAGTCAGCCTGTCCTTTGAAGTTTTGAGGCCAGGCATCACCTTCTCTTTATATATGAAAGTCCTTGATGGCATCTTCTTCCTGTAGAAGGCTGTTCCATCTCCACTGAAAATCTGTTTAGTGTAGCCACCTTCATCAATGATCTTAGCTAGATCTTCTGGATAACTTGCTGCAGCCTCTACATCAGCGCTTGCTGCTCTACCTCGCACTTTTATGTTATGGAGACGGCTTCTTTCCTTAAACCTCTGAACCGATCTCTGCAAACTTCCAACTTTTCTTCTGTAGCTTCCTTACTTCTCTCAGCCTTCATAGAGTGGAAGAGAGTTAGAGTCTTTCTCTGGATTAGGCTTTGGCTTAAGGGAATGTTGTGGCTGGTTTGATCTTCTATCCAGACCACTCAGACTTTCTCCATATCAGCAATAATGCTGTTTCACTTTATTATCATTTGTGTGTTCACTGGAGTATCACTTTTAATTTCCTTCAAGAACTTTTACTTGTTTTAAAGCTCTCCTTCTTATTCTCCTGTGGCTCTCATCTTGTGGAGCAGCCAGAACACACACAACATTGATTGATTAAGTTTACCGATCTTATATAGGTGCAGTTCTGAGTACTCCAAAACAGCTACAATAGTAACATCAAATATCACTGGTCACACATCACTACAACAGACAATAATAATGAAAAAGTTTAAAATATTGTGAGAATTACCAAAATGTGAAACAGAGACATGAACTGAGCACGTACTGTTGGGAAAATGGTGCCAATAGACTTGCTCCATACATTATTGCCACAAACCTTCAATTTGTAAAGAATACAATATCTGTGAATCTCACTAAAGCAAAGTGCAATAAAATGAAGTATGCCCATATATTGCATATCTGTACTTGTAAATGCATTTTACAAGTAGGACTAACATGCGGTAAATCATAAATCTGTTAAAAACTCAGAAAACAACATCAACTGGTGATTTGCCTCTGTGCCCACTGTCTTAGATTTTTGCATTGAAAAGGATCTGTTCTATTTGACACAGCATAGATTCAGTGAAAGTAACAGATTAGAACACCTTGAAAGAATGGGCAATGTTGGCATGAGAAGCTATTTGTAATCTCTGTTCTAGAATCTTTAATAGTTTAAAATAGTTTTTGTATTGAGTGTTTTAGAAGGTAAGTGGTAAGAAATAAAATGACTACTTTGAGGCAAATTATGTAAAAGAAGGATTTAAGGAGGTTGTTCAGGAATAGTTGTTTTAAAAAGATGACAGTAGCAAGCTAAGTTGCAAGCTTAGAACCTCAAGAAGCAAAAGGGGGAAATACCTTTTGTTCATCTTACCTCCACGACACTGTAGATGATTAACTATTTATAGCAAATAGGAGGGGAGGATTTTTGAAGATATCTCACATTTTGGTGCTTGCGTTATATATAAATCCTCTTATTTGAAGTGATCTGAAAAGACCAGTAAACTGAAAAAGTCAGTTAGGGATCATAAAACCATGTATCATAAATGTGACACTCACCAATGCTTTGCTGTAGTGGACAAGCCTTCTTCTTTTAGTGTAGAATTATTGGAGTTCCAAGTTGTCTTACTTATGAAAACGGATGATGTTAGGTATTGAATGGGATTTTCTCTGTTTTTGCTTGTTTGTTTTGTTTTTCAGGCCTTGAAAATTAAGTCTCATAGCTGAAAACAAAAAAGACTTAGTAAACTGCCCCTTAAATTTACAAAAGCAGCTATGACTGGGGCCAGCGCTCTGCCTCCAGGACTGTAGAGAAGAGGCAGGCAAAACCAGCTTTTGTTCACTTATCCCTCTGCCCTACCCTATGCAAGTGGAAGGCTGGAAAGAAGAGAGAGCCAAACATTTTGGGAAAAGTAGTGTTCAATAAGAGAAATGATCCCCTTTCTCCCAGTGAGGGGAGGCTACATCCTGAATAACTGGGGAGCATCTGCAGGAAATAAGGTTGACATTGCATTCCTGAGCTGAATGTTCAGCTTACTGATCTGCCCTTCTGATACCCGGGTGGGGGAAAGAGCATCAGGGAGTCACCCTCTTGAGTTCCCTATGCATGATGGAAGACAATTTTTGCCTGTTCCCATAGGAGCTCTTTTGGATTGAGATCCTATTCAGTAATGTCTGTTGAGACCCTCACCTGTCCACATCTATCCATGCTCAGGCTTTAAATATTCAGTTACATCATTAATTATAACAATCAATTACTTGCAAAGAGACAATGCCCGTTTTTCCTCTCCCTTCTCCCCATCCTCATACCAGAGGGATAACTAGGGAGAAAGGCAGGAGAATATGAGAGTCACGGGAGAATAAGGAGAGCTTTAAAACAAGAAAAAGATTAAAGCCATAAGAAGATTGCCTGAAAAACTGGAATGAGATGGTTCTAATGACTAAAAGGATCACACGGTTTTGCGATAAAAATAAGATTCCTGAGGGGGTTGCTAGAGCACAGTTAGTAGCAGTTACTCCAAAATGAAAACTATTTGATATGTATACTGCAAAAGTTGAAATTTTCACATAAAAACCATACTTTAATAATCCACTCCCATCAAGTAGTCTATGGTAGCCTGTGTGTGTGTGTGTGTGTGTGTTTTGTGTGTTTGTGTGTGTGTGTGTGTTTCTTAAATGAGAACTTATACTCCAGGGAAGCAATCTCAGTAGAGCACTCTTTAAGATTGTTTTGCTCTACCCATCCCATCTTTTATGTTTCTTCCACCCGTGTCTAATTTGGCAGCAATTTTTAAAACAATTTGCATTTATCTAGTCTTTCCAAAGAGATTCAGCATTTTCATAACAACAGTGTTCTTCTTTTTGCACAAACTCCATTGGCTTATGCAATATTTAGTTAAATCACAAAATTAGAAACACAAGTACAAGTGGCATCAGTAAGTTTGGAAGCTAACACAAGTAACTCTTGGGAGGTATTCAACCTGAACGGTGCATGCAGAAGTGGGGAACACAGTAGAAACGCTCCTTACCTGACTGCTCTCTGGTGTGTTTGCTTGCTTCACCCAACATGTCAGACTGACTGGCCCACAGCACACAGAAGGCTCACAGCTAATGGGCATCTCATGCACTTTTTAAAGCTATGTGAGAAAACATGTCTAACCTAATTGGGTCATCTAGGATCACCATGTGTGAATGTAAACTATTTTCTTTAAATCATAAGTATCTGCACAATTGGTGCTTGAGAAGATGCTTATTAGATGCTGATTTGATGTAAAGTTACTCACTTCTGATGATCATCAAGGTAAAATGAACAAAATCTCCTTGAATGCAAGCAATAGGAAATAACACCATTCATCTCCAAGCAGTAGAAAAAAATTATCCCTCTCTAAAGATCCTTAAACATCATCTACCTCTGTTTTTAACTGCATTTTCTACAGATTTCTAACCCCAATTTAATCAACCGTATGCAGTATGCAATAGTATGTTAATATCTAAATTTTGTCTGCATTGATCCCTCTAGTAAAGAAAGCTGATATTAAGAGACTACATTCAGATGCATGCGTATTATTTCCAGTCCCCATCCAAGAGTCTCCTCATTGAGCTGTTATCTTAATTTCACCTAAAATATTATAGCTGTCTCTAGGAATCTGTTTTTGTTTTCCAGCTCATATTCTGTGAAAGTAACAGAAATCTAATCTCAGTCAATTTAAGTGTTTCCTCCAAAGCACATTTTTTTCTAAAACCAAAGTTTCTTACATATTACCAAGGAATTGGAAATGGGAAAAATCTGATCCTGAAGTTTCTATGTCCTGGCTTTTTCTCACCTGGCAGATCTGTTATTTGTGGCTCAGTGTTGAGGACATGGGAATTATTTTGCTCTATTCTCACCCCACTAGGGCATGGAGATGGCACCTCCCTGCAAGGCTGCTGGGGCACCACCTACCTGGACTCACCATGCATCCACCTCCTGTCAGCACCAGGAGCACACTGGTTGGCAAGGCTGATCTGCTGCAGCCTATACTCTCATCAACTTCTCTTCTGCCTCCTTTCCCATAATGCAGAGAATATTCTAAAGTCTCTGCTGGAAGCTCCTCTCAAATCCCCAGTTCTCACTCATGCTATTCTCAAACACTTTCATTCCTAGGTCTTCAGAGTATATGCTTTTGAAATACAAAATCTAAGAATAAATTTGCCGGCTTTTGGATTTCTCCCTTGCCACACTTCTTCCCTGAGAATGAGCAGAGATCAACTATGAATGAAGTTGGGGGTGGAAAGGCAGGCAGAAAAGAATGAAATTGCTGGGGGAAAGTAACATAGGAATAGTATCTCAATAGCAGCATCACAATCACTTTCCCACTCTTCTCATCTGCAAACTTAACGTAATTATTCTGTCCCCTTCCCAATGGGGTCCCAGACTAGCCTGAAATTTCTGGTCTTGTATTGGCAAGTACTTTCAAGGATTTAGTTCCACTAACCCCCTGATACACTGCTCAACTGGTGCAGTGAAACTTTAACATCAAGGTTATTCAAGGATGACTTATCTGTCCCCAAGTTGTTTCCTAAACCACCGCTCAATTATTTTCTCCATGTTGTTTCCGTTTTGACAATGGGACTTACCCAAATGTCCAAACTCCAGGCTTCTCACTATGTGTTCCATTTTAATCAAACTGGACTTCTGGCCTTTGTCTTAATTACAAATTTTATTCCACAAATTTGTCTTTGCCTCTGTGATAGGTAGAATAATCCCCCCTGCCCAAGATGTATATATTCTAATCCTCAGAAACCATGAATATATTATGTTAATGGAATTAAGGTTTCCTCAAAATAGGGAGAGTATCCTGAATTATCTAGATGAGCCCAATGTTACCATAACCGTTCTTAAAAGTATAAGGGGAGGGAGGAGTAGAAGAGCAGGTCAGAGTGATGTGATATGAGAAGGAACCTACCCACTGTTGCAGGCTTTGAAGATGGAAGAAGGGGCCATGAGCCAAGGAATGTGGGCAGTCTTTTGAAGGTGGCAAGGCAAGAGAACAGGATATTCCCTAGTTTCCAGAAAGGAATGTAGCCCTGTGGACACCTTGCTTTTAGCCCTGTGAGATGCACATCAGACTTCTGACTTCCAAAACTGCAAGATGATAAATCGTGTCATTTTAATCCACTAAATTAATGGTAATTTATTATAGCAGCCATAGAAAATTAATATAATGTTCATCGTGAGACCCAGACTTGGTCTTGAAAATCCTTGAAGTGAGAGTTTGGATCCTGCCAGGGCTCTAACCTAAAGATGATTTTTCTCAGGCACCTCCCTTCTGACTTCCTTTGTGATGTGTCCTCATGCTCTGTACCTGATGGGATACCTTACTGCCCTAGACTCTCTTTTGCTGTCCTCTTGTCTGCTAGAAATTTCCAGAAGTTACAGACAGCTTTCCCTGAAAGTTTATCCTCAACAACAATTCTGAGATGTGGCATAGTCCAGTTGTTGTCTTGGCATCCAACATATCTGGTCTGTATTTACTTGACATTGTAAATTGTCTATGTAATATCAGTCAATTCATATCACAGCCTTGACTATCCTTTTAGAATATGATTTCCTATCACCTCTGTCTCCCTTAACTCCATGAGTTGCTAATATCTTGATTTCATCTGTAATAATTCCCTGGAGTTCTGCATCAAACATCATGGTAGGGAAGCACATGGAAACCAAACAGTTCCCTTCTTCTGGACATGTAAACTGCTCATCCAAGAATGACACTTTTATTTTTTACTTTTCACAAACAACCCTTTCTTTTATTAATTATATTCTACCTTAATTACATCTCTGTTATTAACTTTGCCCCAAGTGGATGTAACTGTTGACTTTCATTTTTTACACAACTTGGACAGAATCTCAGATGTGTTGTTAGTTTGTACTTTCACATAGTTCTAGTGTCATTTCCAATTTTCTGTAATTTTTCTTACAACTCTAGAATTTTGTGTTATCCAGATCTGTATGATATTTAATGAATTCTGTAAAGTTAGTAGCAGAAAATGAGGCTGCCTGTGCTTCTTCAACAATTGTTAACAATTTTCTATTCTAGCATTCTAAAAAAGGCTTCCGTCACTTAAAAACTTTTGGAGCAATTTTTGGGGCTTCAATAATATTAAAAACACTTGGACTTTTAAATAGCATTATTTGCATCATTTAATTATTGTTTATGGTCACAAACAAGTAGATAACTGGTAGTTTTGATACTTAAATCACTCAAAGAATCCACCATTATATTGATGGCATTATTTTAGTCCATTTAATACACAGTGCATGGCTTCTATTGCTATTTGCATTTCTAACTTAGTGGAAGAACTATTTGATGTGATGCATTCTTGAAAAATGGATTCAGAAGCCTGTTTCTTTCAGACATCACTACCTCCTTTCTCACTCTTAGCTGGTTGTCTTGCCTTGTAACCATGGAATATCAAAAGAGCTGAGCGTTCTAGCAAGATAAAAGGTAGAATGTGTCCTTTGTATTTGGCAATTAGGAGATCCCTGGTCACTTTATATAATGTGATTTGATAGAGACAGAAGCCAAATTGCTGTGGGTTGAGATATGAATGGAAAGTGAGACAGTGGAAATAGCCAGTGGGAAAGATGAGAAGCAGAGGTGAGAGAGACTGGATGGTAAGGAAAAGGGACAGATGTGCAAAGAGGTGTTTTAGGAAGGGAGAGACTTTAGGATATTTATTGGCTAAGAGAAGGAGTCAGCAGAAAGGCAAAGCCTTTCAAGAGAGGTTATGACTAGGGGAGCAGGATCCTGAGGAAAAGGAGGGGATGGAGGGCAACCAGAGGGCTAAAACGGAAGGCCTGGTCAGTTGTCAACAAGACGAGGGAACTAGCACTTTTGAAGCCTGGAGGACGGAAGTTAAGGATGGGCATGAATAAAGATGTATTCACAGGGAGGCGGGGCTGAAAGTTGAAGAATCATCCTCCACATAGAAAGAGGCTTTGTCATCTGCTGAGAGTGTGGAGGTCATGGAGTAAATGATGGCTTGAGGAGAATAGTGAAGATTTACAACATTCATGGAGAAGAATGTGAGAGAAATCTGAGAAAGGACAAGTGAAATAATCAAGGGGTGGTACTGTGCGTCCAACCAAGATTGACTTTGTGAGTAGGTAGTTGTGCCTAGCTGTGTGGTTGTGTGATTTCTGCCAGCAGTGCTCAGTCTCTAGATGTAAAAGCAGAGAATGTAAGTGACGACAATAATCCAGAGATTGGTTTTTTGGGGGGGAAGGTGGGGGATGGAAATAATTATAGGATGGGTCTATGAGGGCATTCACAGTAGAGGTCCAGATTGTATAGGGAAGTAAGGGAGGCCAGGAGAGAGATGACAGATGAAGAAAATAGGACAAAGAGCGCCCTCAGCTGATGCTCACAACAACCCTCCAGACAGATAGTTTAATCAGCCAAACTTTGAAGATGAGGAAATTGTGGCTTTGAGATATTAGGTGACTTGTATGGTGAGGTACCTAGAGAAGTAACCAAGATGAGCTACACCTTTTCTACTGTACTGTGTCTAACCTTTCAGGGCCCCACAGACTTAGCTCCATTCCTTTCTCTGCACCCAAGAGTATATAAGGGAATATTTTTGCATATTTTGCAAATTTAACTCAAGTAACCTTAAGCTTCACCAATCCGTACCCACACAAATGAAGTCACAGCAACCCAAATTTTGTTTGCTTATTGCTTCTACCTTTGTAATACAGGACTTCACCTCCAGACAAAACTTTCTGTCCCAAGCATTGTTTGGACTCTGAGGGTGTGTCACATTTACTCATGAACATGTCCACTCCCAGTGGATACTTTCTGCATTGTTGGGTGACAGTCCAGGCCAGTGCTCTGTTAGAACCTCCATGGTACCATGCAGTCACCTGTGACTTAGAAAGTTCCTTATAAATAAAGACACTGAGGCACAGAGACATTAGTCACTTATCCATAATAACAAATCTAGTAAGTAGCAGAGCTGAAATTCAAACTCAAGTAGTCTGTTTATATTGTGATCTTTTTTAGGCTTTCAGTACTGATGTTATACTTTCTTCATAAAATACTTTTGGGAATGTTCTTCTTTTCCTAAGCTTTGGAAAAATATAAACATCAGTGGAATTGTCTGCTCTTCTAAGGTTTTGTAGAATTCCCCTGTGAAGCTCACTGGACTTTGAAACTCATCACCAATTTTAGTTCCACTATGAAAGTCAGACTATTTAAGTTTTCTATCTCTTCTGGAGTTTGTTCTTGATTGTTAATATTATACAAAAATTATATTAACATACAAAAATAAAATTATGCATAAATATACAAAATTAAATTTTTGTATAATATTAATCTTTTTTGGTTTCTAAATTTATTTTCAGGGTGTTTTGCAAGGTAATCTCTTAACTTATTTATTTTCCCTAATCTGTGGTTTCTGTGGCTATTTCTAATTGTCATCTGTTATTTTATGCATTCATAATTTCCTACTTAAAAAATTACATTAGCTTATTGCTTACTCATTTTGTTCTTTTTTAACAAAAGCATTTTTGGTTATTTATTTATTAATAATACTTTTTTTGGTTCTGATTTTATTTTTAGATTTTTCTTTATTAAGTCCTCTTTTCTCCTTTTGTTTAGTTGGATGCTTTATTACATTTCTTTTTTTTATGTATTTTCAGCAATAAATTTTACTCTGATCACTGATTTAGCTCTAGCCTGTATGTGCTGGTATCTAGTATTTTCTTTATCTCTTTTTTGGCTAGAAATTCTTTAAAATTTACTCAAGAATATTTAAGGGAAAGGTATTTTTTTTTTTTAATTTCCAGGTGAAAAGACCTTTTTTAAAAAAATTGTTATTAACTTCAAGTTATAGCACTGTGATCAGAAAATTCTGTCTTTTGAAAGTTATTATATTTTTTGGCAAAATAAACTTTCTAAATTGAAAAAAAAAGAAAAGAGAGTTATTACATTTTTTCTGGTGGACTAATATGTAGCCAATTTCCCCAACAATTTTGTGGATACTCAAAGAAAGGTGTATTTTCTATTTTCATTGCACACTGTTCAATATATTTCCATATTGTATAGTTTGGGTCTCCTGTAGCTTTAATTTTGATTTTGGTCATCTTGCTCTATCTTGGATTATCTTGAACAGAACCTCGAGTTGTCACCCAATCTGAGGAGTTTTTTTTTTCTTTAAAGAGTAAGTTAAGCCTATTAACATGTTTTTATATGACAGCTACATCTGTTCTTGATTTCCTCATTTCAGTGTTACTTTCTGGTTTTGTACTGATAGAATTACCATTCTTATATCCTTTTCTTTGCTTTATATCATAATTCTTTCTGTTGACATCACTGGGCATTTAGATTCCTTCAAGAAGGAAGTTTCAAGTAACCTCACCAGATAAGGAACCTCCATCAGCTGAAGTGCTGGCTGAGGACACAAGGAACATGGAATAGGTAGTAAAAAAAGGAATTTATAAAGATCAACCATAAATTTGTGACCAATTATAGAAATAGGGACTTAGAAGTCAAGCATATTCTTTCTTGTTTCTTATGCACATATACATGTAGTATTGTAGAAGGCAGAGTTCTAAGATGGCCTCTTAAGATTTCTGACTCCCAGTGTATTTACACCTTCTCCCAGTTATTCAATCAAACAGGAATCTAAATACTGCTATGAAGAGATTTTTTTTTTTTTCAGATTTAATCAAGGCCCCAAGTCAGTTGCTAAGATTATCTGGGTGGGCCTGACCTAATTACATGAGAGCTTTAAAAGCAGAGATTTTTATCCAGCTAGTCACAGTGGGGAAGTCAGCAATTCAAAGCATGAGAAGGATGCAGCGTGCCCTTCCTGGCTTGAAGATGGAGGGGTTATGTGGCAAGAAATTCAGGTAGCCTCTAGGAGTTGAGAACAGCTTCTGGTTGACATCCAGCAAAGAAAGTGCAACCTCAGTCCTATTACAACAAGGAACTGAATTCTACCAACAACAATGAGCTTGGAGGCATAATTTTCCTCAGAGCCTCTAGATGAGAACTCAGTCTAGCTGAACTCTTGATTTCAGCCTTGTGATATCTTGAGCAGATAATCCAGCCATGCTGTATTGGACTTTCGACCTACAGAATTGAGAGCTAATAAATGATCTTTTAAGCCACTAAGTTTGTGCTAACTTATTGTGCAATAACAAGAACTAACACAAGTGTTCACTTATTCCTTTTTAAATCCTTTCTCCTTCCCTCTCATTGTTTTATATAAGGACTGTTCTTAATGGCTAACTTTACAATTTAAACTTTAGGTGTAATCGTGACTGAAAGGGAGATGTAATTAACATAATCTAGAGATAGAAACCATGACTGGTTTCCAGAGATGGATATAGTGACTGATAAGATATCTTCATTTTGTGGGGAGAGGATAAGAGCAGAAAGGTGTTATTAGTGTCGTATAAAAGGTGAAATATATAAAGAAGAGTGTGCGTGGATGCTATGTAGCCATAAGGGTGGAGTGGACTATTGTCTCTCACCTCCAAGCCTATACTTCTATACTCTTTGCAATGATGCTGAGACTCTGCAAAATTCTCCTTTGTCATTTGGCTTCCTCTTAGGTTCTGCTGATAGGAAGCACTAGAGAAAGATTAGATGGCAGTGTTGCCAGAAAGGGGTCCTGATCCAGACCCCAAGAGAGAGTTCTTGGACTTTGTGCAAGAAAGAATTTGAGGTGAGTCCGTAGAGTAAAGTGAAAGCAAGTTTATTAAGAAAGCAAAGGAATAAAAGAATGGCTACTCCATAGGCAAAGCAGCAGCATGGGCTGCTCAACTGAGAATACTTATAGTTACTTCTTGATTATATGCTAAACAAGGGGTGGATTATTCATGAGTTTTCTGGGAAAGAGGTGAGTAATTCCCAGAACTGAGGATTCCTCCCTACTTTAGACCATATATGGTAACTTCCCCACATCGCCATGGCATTTGTAAACTGCCATGGTGCTGGTGGGAGTGTCTTTTAGCATGCATTATAATTAGTGTACGATACGCAGTGAGGATGACCAGAAGTCACTTTCATTGCAGTCTTGGTTTTAGTGGGTTTTGGCTGGCTTCTTTACTGCATCCTATTTTATCAACACGGTCTTTGTGACCTGTATCTTGTGCTGACTTCCTATGTCATCTTGTGACAAAGAATGCTTTAACTTCCTGAAAATGCAACCCATTAAGTCTCAGCCTCATTTTACTCAGCCCCTATTCGAGATGAAGTCTCTCTGGTTTAAATGCCTCTGACAGCAGGAAAAGAAGAGAGGAGACTTCTTTTCTTATTATTTTGCATATTATTCCTCCTAGCAATGACCCTTCATTCTGGTAGCAGCAGTTGGTTCCAATCTTCAGCTTCTATTGGAACTTTTGGAAGGGACCTCATCACACCCCTTCAGAGGGTCATGTCTACACCTCAGAGCCCAAAGCTCTAGCTCCTCAGAGACTGTGGTTTCAGCTGTGAGTCCCAGTAGCCCAAGATATTCTTTTTGTTTCCCTATTATTTTTATGTCATCTCAGTCTTTCCTTTTTGCTTTTCAGCACTCTGATACCTATAACCTATGTCCTAAATGAAATGATCTCTGTTGAAACAACTAGTGTGGTTTCTGTTTTCCTGACTTGACCTTGAATGATGTAATCTTATATAATTCTATTACATGGGCTCATCTCAGAGCCTAATGAAGGACCTCACACATTGTGTATATTTTATAGGTGTTGGTTGAATTAAATAATGAATTGTTGGATGACTAAAGTGTATTTTTATCAGGAAGGATCATGGTATACAAGATCACAAGTAGTTTGAGTGCCGACAACAGTGTGCTAAGAAGGACAAGATGTGATTTCTACCTTAAAAGCAGGATGTGGAAAGTTCTATAATAGAGGCACAAAGTGATAAGGAATAGAGAAAGGTGATAATTCTACTGCAGGAGGTGGAAGAGCATGGATAAACCATAAAAGACTTTATGAAGGAAGTAAACACTAAAGAATGGGTAAATTCTTGACAGATGAATGGGTTAAGGGAATTTCAGGTGAAGGGAATTGATCGAACAAATTTCAGAGGCTGGAAATAGAAATATGTGTTCAAGTAATGGTGAATAGTATAGCAGATTTTAAGAAGGCCAACGTAGTAGAGTGCAAAGGAAACCATAGTGGGTCATTAGGTTGGAAATGTAGAGCCATGCTAGAATTAGCTGTGGCTCTCCAGAGCCTATGGTAACTATGAAAGACATCATATCTAGAAACTCCATGAGGATCATGTGTATGTTGTTTATTGTTGAGCCCTAGCTTAGCATAGGTGTATCTCTATTGCAGAGAATAGGTATAATTAGCATAGCACTTGCCACATAATAGGAATACAATAGCATATAATTGAATAAATATTCACTGGAATTAGCAACGAGGATGCCAATGGTAACCTTGAGGAAATGACTTCAGTGAAATATTGAGAGGGTGTGACAGACCAGGTCTCCATTAGCAACCAGAGCAGTCAGCCTTCACCAATATCTTAGTGTAACTCTAATGAATGTACAAGTTAAACATTAAAGAACTGGAGAAACTGGTGCCTTACTACAAAGCCTAGAATGTACAAACAGGTCCATTAAGACCATGTCTGGGCTTTCTCAGACCTTAGAGTTTAATTAAAATAATGGAGACATTCTTGCATACCTTGTACCAGGACCCACTTTAGATTAAGTAATTTTTGCAAGGCTCTGAAGTAGTTGTCTAGACCGTGGACCCTAGTTAAGATTAGGTAGAGTGAAACACTTTGGCTTTCGGCTTGTAGGTGCACTGAATGTATATAAGCACTAGAAAAAACTTGTAACTTTGAGTTGGTATGATGAGTTGGTCTGATGAGTTACTCCAACCTTCTCCCTGTAACTGGTTGCAGAAATAAATTCTTTTATGAATATATATAAGCACTAGAAAAAACTTGTAACTTTGAGTTGGTATGATGAGTTGGTCTGATGAGTTACTCCAACCTTCTCCCTGTAACTGGTTGCAGAAATAAATTCTTTTATGAATATATATAAGCACTAGGAAAAACTTGTAACTTTGAGTTGGTATGATGAGTTGGTTTGATGAGTTACTCTGACCTTCTCCCTGTAACTGGCTGTAGAAATAAACTCCCTTGTTTCCCAGTCTGTCTGCATCTTGTTATTGGACCACAAGAACAAGCAGCCTGACCTTGTTCTGTCTGGGAACAAGGGGAAGATTCATAATCCTAAAAGCTAGATGAATTCATATTTTGGATGAGTTTGCAGTTGTTCTACTCCTAGTAATTAAATAGTTTTAAAAGTTGCAGTTCAGGATTTTAATATTTAACCCTACCTAGCTACAAACGTATGTGTACCAGCAAAACAGAGGAGCAAACTAAGATGAGGCAGATATGTATTCCAGTCCGCAAAGACTCCAACTCAGGACACAGGCAAAGGGAATTCCTAGGGTGAGAGGGAAGAACATTCCAGAAAGGCAAGTAGCTCATGAAGGAAATTAAAATATTTTACCCCAAGATATATTACTTTGACATATTTTGAGATGGCTGTCAGAGAGTCAGTAAACAAAAGTGGCCCTGTAAAGCTGTCTTTTGTGGCGGAAATTCACATCTGTAGACAATCTACATTGATACAGTCAGGTATCCCTTGTTGGGATCTAGGAAAGATTGAGAGTCTGACACCTAAAGATCTAAAAAAAAAAAAAAAAAAAAAAAAAACTCACTTACCACTTATTCTGTCCGAGGGCTGCTATCTGTAAGATTTCATCTGCATTACAAGATCACATTCATAAGCCAAGCCTCCTCTTATCTCCCTTCCATAATCTGTCCTGACACTATAACCTGACTTACCACTATAACTTGTGTTTGGCCATGCTCTGAGACCACATTCTTTCTATAATCTCAAGATGGTATCTAAGGTTTGTACCTTATTGCGGGGTTGGATCTTCATTCTGAAGGCTCTCGGGTATACATGTTAAATAAAATGTGCATGCCTTTTCTCCTATTAACCAGTGTGCCTCATGTCAGTGATTTTTCAGCGAACCTTTCCCTTGGCCACCACAGGGAAAAGCTAGCAATAAGTGATACTTATAGAGAAATCCAAGCAAATTAAAAAACAAAGGCAATTATTAGCATTAGGTAAAACAAAAGTAGGAAAGGAATAATAATATTAGTATGCTACATTTACCAGCTGTGAATTGTGTTTGCATAGGCAAATTCATGTAAATGCTGAATACTGATTTAGCCAAAAATTGTAATATAACAATGTTGGGAGATGGGAGAGGGGAGCAGAAAGAATGGTATAAAAGAACTAACTCCTGATCCATCATTATAGGAAGTAAATAATGCCTAAAACAGATGAAATATAATATCATACACATGTTATTTGGAGAAGTGAATTATATATAAGTGCCAGAAGAGGCCAGGTGCGGGGGCTCACACCTCTAATCCCAACACTTTGGGAGGCCAGGGTGGGTGGATTACTTGAACCTAGGAGTTCAAGACCAGCCTGGTAACATGGTGAAACCCCATCTCTACAGAAAATACAAAAACTAGCTAGGCATTACGGTATAACTGCCCAAGAGGTTCTTCCTGCCCACTGCATAAAGAAAGACTACCACATTGTAGTAGAGAAAGACTTTAGTAGACATGAGGCCGGCAATGACCTCCATGGGAGAAGGAGTTGGTGCTCAAATCATCTCATCCAAAGCTCGTATGTTAGGGGTTTTTCAAAGGCAGTTTGAGGGAAGAGGTAGGGGTGGCCAGGTAACAGTTGCTTGCTGCTGATTTGTTGGGGTGGAAATGAAATGATAGGGGGTCAAAGCTGTCCTTCTGGGGGCTGAATCGCTTCTGGGTGGGGCCACAGGAGCCCCAGCAGGTGGGGGTCCAGGTGGAGCCATGAGTGTCAGACATGCAAAAAGCCTGAAAAGACATCTCAAAAGGCCAATATTAGGTTCTACAACAGTGATGTTATTTGCAAGAGTAATTAGGGAAGTTGCATATCTTATAACCTCTGGAATAATTATTCATGTCTGCGCCTTAGCAGGAATCAGGGTCCTTTCCTCCCTGCAGCCTGCTGGCCTGCCATTAGTGTTACAAAAGCGACTGAGTTTTGGGGCAAGGCCTATTATCATTTAAACTATAGCCTGACTCTACTGCCCAGGAATAATTAAGGGAAAGGCAAAACGGCGGGGCTGGGCGGGTGGGGGGGCGCGGGTAAGGCACAGTTAGCTCTGGTAACTGCTATATAATTTTTCTCACTAAAAATAATAATACTGTTATAATTTTTGTCCCTAATAATAATTTTTGCAAAGGTGATTTCAGTGGCACGCGTCTGTAGTCCCAGCTACTCGGGGAGCCTGAGGCAGGAGGATGGATTGAGTCCATGAAGGAAGTCTGGGCTGCAGTGAGCTGTGATCGCACCACTGCACTCCAGCCTGGGTGACAGAGTGAGACCCTGTCTCGGGAAAAAAAAATAGTGCCAGAAGAAACAACTAAAAGAGTCTAACTAAAGTGGTTGCTTCTGGGAAGGTGAATAAAGGAGAATGGAGATTGGTAGAGCAAGACAGGGGGCCATTGTTAATACTATGTGGCTTTTAAAAAAACTATATGCATGTATTACATTGATAATTAATTTTAAGTGAAAATTTCTGGAAGCATACTCAAACTATTAACAATAGATACCTCTGAGAAGTGGGCTTGCCAGGGAAGCGGGCTTCTTTTATTTCTCAGTTTAAATCTCTGCTATTTGAATTTTTCACAATGGACATGCATTACTTTTATAATTAAAATAATAGTAACAACAATATTAATAAAAATATAACTATTGGTTGACATTGGAAATAGGCACTTCAGTAAAAGTGAGCAATAACTTCTCCAAGATCAAGGTAAATTTGGAGAGCAGAGGTGAGACAGAGCAGGGGCCCCTCTTAGGGGATTGTAGGTCCCCCCAAGCATGTAAATAAAGGAAAATCTTTGTAACCACCCAATGGGTTCACCTTGCCAATGGGTTCACCTTGCCCGCTGCCTAGACACAGCCAATTTATCAAGACAGGGGAAATGCAATGGAGAAAGAGTAATTCACTCAGAGCCGGCTGTGTGGGAGACTGGAGTTTTTTTATTACTTGAATCAGTCTCCCCAAGCATTTGGGGATAGGAATTTTTAAAGATAATTTGGCAGGTAGGGGGTTGGGAAGTGGAGAGTGCTGATTGGTCAGGTTGGAGACGGAATCACGGGGGGTCAAAGTGAGGTTTTCTTGCTGTCTTCTGTTCCCGAGTAGGATTGCAGAACAGATTGAGCCAGATTACCGGTCTGGATGGTGTCAGCTGATCCATCTAGTGCAGGGTCTGAAAATATCTCAAGCACTGATTTTAGGCTTTACGATAGTTACGTTATCCCCAGGAGCAATTTGGGGAGATTCAGACTCTTGGAGCCAGAGGCTGCATGACTCCTAAACTGTAATTTCTAATCTTGTAGCTAATTTGTTAGTCCTGCAAAGGCGGACTGGTTCCCGAGCAAGAAGAGGGTCTTTTTGGGAAAGGCCTATTACCAATTTTGTTTCAGAGTGAAACCATGAAATGAATTCCTTCCCAGTTAGTTCGGCCTACACTCAGGAATTAACGAGGACAGCTTAAAGGTTAGAAGCAACATGGAGTCAATTAGGTCTGATCTCTTTCACTGTCATCATTTCCTCAGTTATAATTTTTGCAAAGGCTGTTTCATCTTGAGTTCTGTCAAGGGAAATTCCAGGTAGCTAGCTCTGAGAAGTAAATGAGCAACTAGATAAGCAAAAAGGGAATAGTAGCTTAAAACAATAGGCAAGGATGTTACAGTCATGGGCTGTTTGGTTCCCTATAGAAACTAAAGATAACATCTTAATATACATCCCTGAGTTGTTTTTCAGAAACCTGGACCCCCACCAAATAGATCTGCTGGCACATAAACCTCAGATAAGGGGGAATGGAGGACTGAACTCTGACTACCATTCTTTTTTTTTTTTTTTTTTTTAATTATACATTAAGTTTTAGGGTACATGTACACAATGTGCAGGTTAGTTACATATGTATACATGTGCCATGCTGGTGCGCTGCACCGACTAACTTGTCATCTAGCATTAGGTATATCTCCCACTGCTATCCCTCCCCCTCCCCCCACCCCACAACAGTCCCCAGAGTGTGATGTTCCCCTTACCATTCTTTGTTCTAAAGTTCTTTTGGGGGCTCCTGGAGGAAGTCAGACCCACAAGCCAGGGTTAACATTCTTTTCTGCCGACCCAAAATTTTTAAACAAAGATTATCTTTCTTAACCAATTGCAAATCAGAAAATCTTTGAATCTGCCTATGATCTGTAAGTCCCTGCTTGGAATTAGCCCACCTCTTGAGATCAAACCAATGTATAATCTTCATGTATTGATTTAAGATTTTGCCTATAACTTCTGCACTCCTGAAATTTTCCTCTGCCTTTAAAAACCCTTGCTTGTAAGCCATCAGGGAGGTCGGGTCTTAAGCATGAGCTGCCTTGTTTGATGCCCTGCAAATAAACATCCTTCTTTTTCCTTCTGTAAACCTTGGTGTGGATATTTGCCCTTACTGTGCCAGGTGAGCAGACCCTAGTTTGGTTCCGTAACACAAATGGTTGAAATTCACAGTTAGCGTGGAGGTATCTTATATAGTGCCTCCAACCCTTTTGCCACAGTGCCACAGTGTCAAAGTACCAGGTGGAAATTTGTTCTTACCTTAAGACTGTAACTGTTTTAAGAAAGTGTTTCTGAACAATGAAATAGCTATCTGGTAGAAGGAACAGAAAAAAACCCCTGAAATCTTAGGTAACTCATAATCCAGGCAGGCAGTGAGATATTTTAAGTCTCATTCCCTCTGTTGGTTGTCATTTTTACCTAGTATTTGTTAAGGCCCCCAATGGATTGGATGATGTTTGACATCAAACGCAATTGCCTGAATCAATTTTAAAATCTCATCAGTATGTCAGTCCCATTTATGCAGCAGACATAGAATACGAAGGCCTCTTACAGCCATTATAAATAGATGATAAGGAAGTTTATCAGCTACTGGAGGTGAAGAGGACATGATCTCTCTCTTCTCCCTCTTTCCCTCTCTCTCTCTCTGTTTCTCTAACAAGCACACACACACACACACACACACACACACACCCCTGGAAAACATGAGCTTCCTTGCCTAAATCTCCATGGAATGACTCCTACCTTGAAGCAGCACCAACCTGACAATAATGCAATCAGTGATGTTATTTGAGGGGGTCTGAGAAAGACTTCCTCTCCCCCATTCAAAAACAACTCCTTCCCTAGACACAAAATCTCCATAAACTTCTTAAGCATAAATGCAGCAATCGTAAGGAAATGTCTTTAAAATGAACACAAAATGCTCTTGTAAGTGACAGGGTATTATGTTTTAACTATGCAGTTTCCCCTAAGTGCCTGGTACAACAAAGTAAAGTGTTATGAGTCACGCAAGTTTTAAGTTTGGTCCTGGGTCTCCTTTTTTCTATCCACACTTATCTCCCTAGGGACTCAGGGGAGAAAGAATGCCTTGAGTAATAAATTTGGCCCTCATTGCCATTTAGTGGTATTCAAAGCCATGGTAATGAATGGGCTTAATGCAATGTCCCCCAGGAGACGTGGAGCAAAGTCCAGAGACATTTGTGATTGTCGTAATTGGGAGATTTGCTATTGGAATCTAGTAGGTAGAGACCAGGGATGCTGCTCAACATCCTACAATGCACAGACAACCTCCTCTCAACAAAGAAATTATCTGGCCCAAAAGGTCAATAGTACTGATTTTGAGAAACCCTGACTTAAGTATATCTATTGTATCAGTTAATAATTATTTTTCTGCTGGCATATAACAGAAACTTCTGAAAGGGTGGCTTAGACATAGAAGGCAATTATGGGATTTTTTTTTCTAGTAACAAAAAGAAGGAGTCCAGAGGTAACCAGTTCAGGACTGGTATTGCTTTAAAGGCAGTCACGAAATATCAAGACATCTTTGAGCTTCCTGCTCTCCATCTGTAATATTTGGCTATTATGTCTGTGTGGGCCAAGGCCCTTGGCGCCCTAAAGGTTGGCTGAAAAATCACTGACATAAGACAGATTGATTAATAAGAAAAAAGGCATACAAATATATTTAATGTACACAAGGGCACCTTCAGAATGAAGACCCAAACTCCCACTGAGATACAAAAGCTAATATACCATCTTGAGGTTATGGAAAGAATGGAGGCATGGATCCTGGTAAAACAGGTTATGAGAGGGGGAGAAGAGGAATTCCATTGAGGGGATTACTACTGAAAATGAATGGATCCAGGAACAGAGATTAATTTGTAAATATTTCTCCTTGGAATTTAAATTATCTTTGGAGATAGTCATTATACTTGTAAACTATTCTGCTCAGGTGTGGTCACATCTTGGTCTTCTTTTCTGCAGTAGACTATGACATAACAGAGAAGGGAAGAAAAAAACTTCAACTTCTTGGGAGACATGGTGATGGAGACAGGGAGGTCAGAGAGACCTTGAGGCCTCTTCACTTAAGCATGTCAAAATGCCATACTTTGGGGTATTGGTTTCTGAGTCCTAACATCCTCATGGACACAAGGAGGCTGCTGAACCTTCAACCATCATATACAAGAATAATTAGGGCGAGCAAAGGGCAAATGATGCAAACCAGCAATGTCTGCCCCTTTTTGTCAGAAAAACAATAGCTTTTCCAGAATCCCTGTTTGATAGCATTCCTCTTTTCTCTCTCTTTCTTATTAGACAGAATGGAGTTTCATAACCACCCTTAACAGAAAGGGAGTCTGTGAAAGTTGGACTGTTAGCTAGGTATATTGTCCCTTTAAACAATATCAAGGTGCTATTTATATGGATAAATGTGAGCATGCATATATTGGGTAGACAACTAGCAATATCTGCCTCACCTACACACTTTGAAATGAATTTTGGAAGGCTAAAGAGTGTTGAAACCACCTTTGTAAAGATGATGACAGTGAGAGAAATCTAACATGGCTGACTCCATCTTGCTTCTAGCCTCACAGGCTGGCAGTCTTCACTCATCCTGGGCATAGGCCAAGCTAACCATGGGAGGAATTTACTTTATAGTTTAACTTTAAAGCAAATACGATAATAATTCCTCTCTAAGACAGATCCCCTCCTTGTTGGGAGCTAAAACTGCCTTTGTAAGATTAATGAAAGGTCACAAGATTAGGACTATGAGAGGGGCCTGAAATGCGTTAAGATATAGGCATAGTTAAATGATACCCAGCCATTGTTCTGGAGGTCACAAGATTTGTAACTTCCCCAGTTACCCCTGTAGATAACATCAGTATTGTAGAACCTAAGATTAGCATTTAGAAATGTCTTTTCAAGGTTGGGCATGGTGGCTCACGCCTGTAATCCCAGCACCTTGGGAGGCCAAGGTAGGCAGATCACAAGGTCAAGAGATCAAGAGCATCCTGGCCAACATGGTGAAATCCCATCTCTACTAAAAGTACAAAAATTAGCTGGGCTTGGTGGCACACACCTGTAGTCCCAGCTACTTGGGAGGTTGAGGCAGGAGAATCGCTTAAGCCTGGGAGGCGGAGGTTGCAGTGAGCCAAGATCGTGCCACTGCACTCCAGCCTAGTGACAGAGTGAGACTCCATCTCAAAAAAAAAAAAAAAAAAAGAAATGTCTTTTAAGACTTGCATTTCTAATGACTGGCTGATTCCACCTGCACCCATGACTTGTGACTCAATCAGTTCTGTGGCCCCCACCTAGAGGCTGACTCAGTGCATGAGGACTGCATTCAACACTCCCATGATTTTGTGCCCAATCAATCAACATTCCACATTTCCTAGCCCCCTGCCCACCAAACTATTCTTGAAAAACCCTAACCTCTGAACCTTCAGGGAGACTAATTTGAGTAATAACTCCATCTGTCGAGTGGCTGGCCTTGTGTTAATAAAACTCTTTCTCTACCACAATAGCACAGTCTCAGTGAATTGGTTTTGCCTTTACAGTGGGCAGGAAGAACTCATCAGGTGGTTACAGTGCTCAGTTCTTTGATTAGAAGAATATATAAAAGTATCTTTACATAAAATTTAAGAGCATGTGCTATTTTAAGAAATGATTATATGAACTGGATTAACTATAATACTGTACTACAGATGTGCTGAGAAGCTGAATTTCAAGTATGTTAGTATGGTAGTCACGTTACATTATGTTATGTTGTGGTAGTAAGTGAACCCTCAAATTGCAGTGGCCTACATCAACAAAGATTAGCTCTCATGTCACCTGACTGTTATATATTATTGCTGGCTCTGTCTTCATTCTGGAACCCAGACAGATAGAAAAGCCATCAGTAGTGAAGGAAATAAAAATATTTCATACCAAAATATATTTCTTTGAGATGGCTGTTTAAAGGGCCTGCAAACAGAAGCAGCCCTGAGAAGCTGTCTTTTGTGAAGATTTGCATCTATAGAGAAAATCTGCATTGATGCAGGCAGGCTTTCTCTGAGGCTTTCCTTTGTCTGGATTTAGAAAATACGAACAGAGAGTCTGACATCTTTATAGGTCTGAAAGAATCATTTACTATCTATTATCTCTGAGGGTTGCTACCTGTGAGGTTTCATCTACATAACAAGACCACCTTTGCTAGCCAGGCCTCCTCTTCTCTCCCTCATAACTAGTCTTACTACCATAACCTGATTTGCCACCATAACCTGTTTTGGGCCATGCTCTGAGCCCCCATTCTTTCTGTAACCTGAAGAAGATATAGAATCTTCTATATCCCATTGAGGGGAGGGTTGAGTAATCACTGTGGTTCTCCCCATACATGTTAATAAATTTGTATGCCTTTTCTCCTGTTAATCTGCCTTTTTTCAATTGATTTCTCCATGAACCTTCGGAAGGCAAAGGGAAAGTTTTCCCTTGCCCCTTACAGTAGCAAAATGACCACTGGCCATTAGACATGGCCATTAAAACATTGCCATTAGACATGACAAAAAGAAAAGGCATGGTGCCTCACATGATTACCTTTAAAGCTTCTGTTTGGATGTGACTCATGTAATCTCCATCTGTATTTTGTTGGCGAATGGAAACCTTATGACCTCTCTGAAGTTCACTAGAGTGGGGATGTATAAATCCTCCCACTGGGCTCTCCCAGTGGGAGGGAAGAAAACCAGACAGACACATTTGGCCATAGTTAGATGTTCTCCTTGGTGTATAACACTTTATAATAGGGCTAACATGGCCCAATTCTATTTCATAGATTCTCCTCCCCATAACAAAAATAGAGTGTAGCAATTATTTAAAAGCCACATGTAGAAAAACCACAATGCACCATCTTCATCATTCATTCAATGGATACTTATTCATTTTGTAATTCACATTTGTGCAGAACCTGTTGGGTTCTTCTTGCCCACCACACAGATAAAGCCAATTCATTGAGACCAAAGTATGGCAGTAGAGAAAGAAAGAGTTTGATAATTGCAGGGCCAGCCAAGTGGAAGGATGGGAGACATTTCTCGAATCTGCCTCCCTAAAAGCATGGAGGCTAGGGTTTTTCAATAATATTTAGTGGTCAGAGGGCTAGGGAATGGAGAATGCTAATTGGTTGGGTCGAGGATGAAATCATAGGGTCTGGAAAGTAACTCAAACACCAATCTTAGGTTTTACAATAGTGATATTAGCTATAGGAGCAATTGGGGAGTTTTTAAATGTTGTAATCTCCAGCTATATGACTCCTAAACCACAATTCTAACCTTATGGTTAATTTGTTAGTTTTACAAAGGCAGTTGCAGTCACTGAGCAACGATGGGATTCGTTTTGGGAAGGAACTGTTATCATCTTTGTTTTAAAGTTAAACTGTATACTAAATTCCTCCCATAGTTAGCTTGGCCCATACCCGGGAATGAATAAGGGCAACTTGGAAGTTAGAAGCAAGATGGAGCCAGTTAGGTCAGATTTTTCTCACTGTTATAATTTTTGAAAAGGTAGTTTCAATTTTCTTCTATGGGCTAGGCACTTTGTTAGTCACAAGAAATTCTTTAGCTACAGGAAGAATCAAACAATCACTTAGAATACAGGGTGAGTAAGTACTGTGCTAGTGGGATGCACAGGCAGAGAAAGGGAATATAACTCAGACTGAATGACTCATGGAAATATTCCCAAATGAGGTGACATTTAAAAATGTTTTTGAAGGTTGGTTAAAGATTATCTAGGGAAAAAAGAAGGAAAACAGCAAGCAATACTTAATGGTGAAACATTAAAGCTTCTTCATTGTGATTGGGCAGAAAACCCAGTGTGCCAACTGTCACGATTCCTATTCAACATCGTGCAGTGCAATGAGGCAAAATAAAGAAATAAAAGGTATGAGGATTCTAAAGGGAGAAACAAAACTATTTTGTAATGATGCAGACATTTTTAAACATTATAGTTGTTTGCATAGATAATCCAAAAGCATCTATATTAGAATTTATAAGTGAACTTAGCAATATTTCTATATATAAAATCAGCATATAAAATACATTGAATTTCTACATACTAGTAACAAACGCTTAGAAAATAAAATGTTTTCAAAGCGATGCCATTTATGACAGGATAGAAACATCAAGTACTGAGGAGGGCAGCCAAGATGGCCGAATAGGAACAGCTCTGGTCTACAGCTCCCAGTGTGAGTGATGCAGAAGACAGGTGATTTCTGCATTTCCATCTGAGGTACCAGGTTCATCTCACCAGGGAGTGCCAGATACTGGGTGCAGGACAGTGGGTGCAGCGCACCGTGCGCGAGCCGAAGAAGGGTGAGGCATTGCCTCACTCGGGAAGCACAAGGTGTCAGGGAGTTCCCTTTCCTAGTCAAAGAAAGGGGTGACAGACGGCACCTGGAAAATCAGGTCACTCCCGCCCTAATACTGCGCTTTTCCGACGGGCTTAAAAAACGGCGCACCAGGAGATTATATCCCACACATGGCTCGGAGGGTCCTACGCACACGGAGTCTCGCTGATTGCTAGCACAGCAGTCTGAGATCAAACTGCAAGGCGGCAGCGAGGCTGGGGGAAGGGCACCCGCCATTGCCCAGGCTTGCTTAGGTAAACAAAGCAGCTGAGAAGCTCCAACTGGGTGGAGCCCACCACAGCTCAAGGAGGCCTGCCTGCCTCTGTAGGCTCCACCTCTGGGGGCAGGGCACAGACAAACAAAAAGACAGCAGTAACCTCTGCAGACTTAAATGTCCCTGTCTGACAGCTTTGAAGAGAGCAGTGGTTCTCCCAGCACGCAGCTGGAGATCTGGGAACAGGCAGACTGCCTCCTCAAGTGGGTCCCTGACCCCTGACCCCCGAGCAGCCTAACTGAGAGGCACCCCCCAGTAGGGGCAGACTGACACCTCACATGGCCAGGTACTCCTCTGAGACAAAACTTCCAGAGGAACGATCAGACAGCAGCATTCGCGGTTCACGAAAATCCGCTGATATGCAGCCACCGCTGCTGATACCCAGGCAAACAGGGTCTGGAGTGGACTTCTAGCAAACTCCAACAGACCTGCAGCTGAGGGTCCTGTTAGAAGGAAAACTAACAAACAGAAAGGACATCCACACCAAAAACCCATCTGTACATCACCATCATCAAAGACCAAAAGTAGATAAAACCACAAAGATGGGGAAAAGACAGAGCAGAAAAACTGGAAACTCTAAAAAGCAGAGCGCCTCTCCTCCTCCAAAGGAACACAGTTCCTCATTAGCAATGGAACAAAGCTGGACAGAGAATGACTTTGACAAGTTGAGAGAAGAAGGCTTCAGACGATCAAACTACTCCGAGCTACGGGAGGAAATTCAAACCAAAGGCAAAGAAGTTAAAAACTGTGAAAAACATTTAGACGAATGTATAACTAGAATAACCAATACAGAGAAGTGCTTAAAGGAGCTGATGGACCTGAAAGCCAAGGCTCGAGAACTACGTGAAGAATGCAGAAGCCTCAGGAGCGGATGCGATTAACTGGAAGAAAGGGTATCAGTGATGGAACATGAAATGAATGAAATGAAGCGACAAGGGAAGTTTAGAGAAAAAAGAATAAAAAGAAACAAACACAGCCTCCAAGAAATATGGGACTATGTGAAAAGACCAAATCTACATCTGATTGGTGTACCTGAAAGTGATGGGGAGAATGGAACCAAGTTGGAAAACACTCTGCAGGATATTATCCAGGAGAACTTCCCCAGTCTAGCAAGGCAGGCCAACATTCAGATTCAGGAAATACAGAGAATGCCACAAAGATACTCCTCGAGCAGAACAACTTGAAGACACATAATTATCAGATTCACCAAAGTTGAAATGAAGGAAAAAATGGTAAGGGTAGCCAGAGAGAAAGGTCGGGTTACCCACAAAGGCAAGCCCATCAGACTAACAGCAGATCTCTTGGCAGAAACTCTACAAGCCAGAAGAGAGTGGGGGCCAATATTCAACATTCTTAAAGAAAAGAATTTTCAACCCAGAATTTCATATCCAGCCACACTAAGCTTCATAAGTGAAGGAGAAATAAAATACTTTACAGACAAGCAAATGCTGAGAGATTTTGTCACCACCAGGCCTGCCCTAAAAGAGCTCCTGAAGGAAGCACTAAACATGGAAAGGAACAACTGGTACCAGCCACTGCAAAATCATGCCAAATTGTAAAGACCATCGAGGCTAGGAAGAAACTGCATCAACTAATGAGCAAAATAACCAGCTAACATCATAATGACAGGATCAAATTCGCACATAACAACATTAACTTTAAATGTAAATGGACTAAATGCTCCAATTAAAAGACACAGACTGGCAAAGTGGATAAAGAGTCAAATCCCATCAGTGTGCTGTATTCAGGAAACCCATCTCACATGCAGAGACACACATAGGCTCAAAATAAAAGGATGGAGGAAGATCTACCAAGCAAATGGAAAACAAAAAAAGGCAGGGGTTGCAATCCTAGTCTCTGATAAAACAGACTTTAAACCAACAAAGATCAAAAGAGACAAAGAAGGCCATTACATAATGGTAAAGGGATCAATTCAACAAGAAGAGCTAACTATCCTAAATATATATGCACCCAATACAGGAGCACCCAGATTCATAAAGCAAGTCCTGAGTGACCTACAAAGAGACTTAGACTCCCACACAATACTAATGGGAGACTTTAACACCCCACTGTCAACATTAGACAGATCAACGAGACAGAAAGTTCACAAGGATACCCAGGAATTGAACTCAGCTCTGCACCAAGCAGACCTAATAGACATGTACAGAACTCTCCACCCCAAATCAACAGAATATACATTTTTTTCAGCACCACACCACACCCATTCCAAAATGGACCACATACTTGGAAGTAAAGCTCTCCTCAGCAAATGTAAAAGAACAGAAATTAAAACAAACTGTCTCTCAGACCACAGTGCAATCAAACTAGAACTCAGGATTAAGAAACTCACTCAAAACCACTCAACTACATGGAAACTGAACAACCTGCTCCTGAATGACTACTGGGTACATAACGAAATGAAGGCAGAAATAAAGATATTCTTTGAAACCAACGAGAATAAAGACACAACATACCAGAATCTCTGGGACACATTCAAAGCAGTGTGTAGAGGGAAATTTAATAGCACTAAATGCCCACAAGAGAAAGCAGGAAAGATCCAAAATTGACACCCTAACATCACAATTAAAAGAACTAGAAAAGCAAGAGCAAACACATTCAAAAGCTAGCAGAAGGCAAGAAATAACTAAAATCAGAGCAGAACTGAAGGAAATAGAGACACAAAAAACCGTTCAAAAAATTAATGAATCCGGGAGCTGGTTTTTTGAAAGGATCAACAAAATTGATTGACCGCTAGCAAGAATAATAAAGAAGAAAAGAGAGAAGAATCAAATAGATGCAATAAAAAATGATAAAGGGGATATCACCACCGATCCCACAGAAATACAAACTACCATCAGAGAATCCTATAAACACCTCTATGCAAATAAACTAGAAAATCTAGAAGAAATGGATAAATTCCTCGACACATACACTCTCCCAAGACTAAACCAGGAAGAATTTGAATCTCTGAATAGACCAATAACAGGCTCTGAAATTGTGGCAATAATCAATAGCTTACCAACCAAAAAGAGTCCAGGACCAGATGGATTCACAGCCGAATTCAACCAGAGGTACAAGGAGGAGCTGGTACCATTCCTTCTGAAACTCTTGCAATCAATAGAAAAAGAGGGAATCTTCCCTAACTCATTTTATGAGGCCAGCATCATCCTGATACCAAAGCTGGGCAGAGACACAACAGAAAAAGAGAATTTTAGACCAATATCCTTGAAGAACATTGATGCAAAATCCTCAATAAAATACTGGCAAACCGAATCCAGCAGCACATCAAAAAGCTTATCCACCATGATCAAGTGGGCTTCATCCTTGGGATGCAAGGCTGGTTCAATATATGCAAATCAATAAATGTAATCCAGCATATAAACAGAACCAAAGACAAAAACCACATGATTATCTCAATAGATGCAGAAAAGGCCTTTGACAAAATTCAACAACGCTTCATGCTAAAAACTCTCAATAAATTAGGTATTGATGGGACGTATCTCAAAATAATAAGAGCTATCTATGACAAACCCACAGCCAATATCATACTGAATGGGCAAAAACTGGAAGCATTCCCTTTGAAAACGGGCACAAGACAGGGATGCCCTCTCTCACCACTCCTATTCAACATAGTGTTGGAAGTTCTGGCCAGGGCAATTAGTCAGGAGAAGGAAATAAAGGGTATTCAATTAGGAAAAGAGGAAGTCAAATTGTCCCTGTTTGCAGATGACATGATTGTAGATCTAGAAAACCCCATTGTCTCAGCCCAAAATCTCCTTAAGCTGATAAGCAACTTCAGCAAAGTCTCAGGATACAAAATCAATGTACAAAAATCACAAGCATTCTTATACACCAATAACAGACAGACAGAGAGCCAAATCATGAGTGAACTCCCATTGACAATTGCTTCAAAGAGAATAAAATACCTAGGAATCCAACTTACAAGGGATGTGAAGGACCTCTTCAAGGAGAACTACAAACCACTGCTCAATGAAATAAAAGAGGATACAAACAAATGGAAGAACATTCCATGCTCATGGGTAGGAAGAATCAATATCCTGAAAATGGCCATACTGCCCAAGGTAACTGATAGATTCAATGCCATCCCCATCAAGCTACCAATGACTTTCTTCACAGAATTGGAAAAAACTACTTTAAAGTTCATATGGAAGCAAAAAAGAGCCCGCATGGCCAAGTCAATCCTAAGCCAAAAGAACAAAGCTGGAGGCATCACGCTACCTGACTTCAAACTATACTACAAGGCTACAGTAACCAAAACAGCATGGTACTGGTACCAAAACAGAGATATAGATCAATGGAACAGAACAGAGCCCTCAGAAATAACGCCACATATCTACAACTATCTGATCTTTGACAAACCTGAGAAAACCAAGCAATGGGGAAAGGATTCCCTATTTAATAAATGGTGCTGGGAAAACTGGCTAGCCATATGTAGAAAGCTGAAACTGGATCCCTTCCTTACACCTTATACCAAAATCAATTCAAGATGGATTAAAGACTTACACGTTAGACCTAAAACCATAAAAACCCTAGAAGAAAACCTAGGCATTAGCATTCAGGACATAGGCATGGGCAAGGACTTCATGTCTAAAACACCAAAAGCAATGACAACAAAAGCCAAAATTGACAAATGGGATCTAATTCAACTAAAGAGCTTCTGCACAGCAAAAGAAACTACCATCAGAGTGAACAGGCAACCTACAAAATGGGAGAAAATTTTCACAACCTACTCATCTGACAAAGGGCTAATATCCAGAATCTACAATGAACTCAAACAAATTTACAAGAAAAAACAAACAACCCCATCAAAAAGTGGGCAAAGGACATGAACAGACACTTCTCAAAAGAAGACATTTATGCAGCCAAAAAACACATGAAAAAATGCTCACCATCACTGGCCATCAGAGAAATGCAAATCAAAACCACAGTGAGATACCATCTCACACCAGTTAGAATGGCAATCATTAAAAAGTCAGGAAACAACAGGTGCTGGAGAGGATGTGGAGAAATAGGAACACTTTTACACTGTTGGTGGGACTGTCAACTAGTTCAACCATTGTGGAAGTCAGTGTGGCGATTCCTCAGGGATCTAGAACTACAAATACCATTTGACCCAGCCATCCCATTACTGGGTATACACCCAAAGGACTATAAATCATGCTGCTATAAAGACACATGCACACGTATGTTTATTGCGGCACTATTCACAGTAGCAAAGACTTGGAACCAACCCAAATGTCCAACAATGATAGACTGGATTAAGAAAATGTGGCACATATACACCATGGAATACTATGCAGCCATAAAAAATGATGAGTTCATGTCCTTTGTAGGGACATGGATGAAATTGGAAATCATCATTCTCAGTAAACTATCTCAAGGACGAAAAACCAAACACCACATGTTCTCACTCATAGGTGGGAACTGAACAATGAGAACACATGGACACAGGAAGGGGAACATCACACTCTGGGGACTGTTGTGTGGTGGGGGGAGGGGGGAGGGATAGCATTAGGAGATATACCTAATGCTAAATGACGAGTTAATGGGTGCAGCACACCAGCATGGCACATGTATACATATGTAACTAACCTGCACATTGTGCACATGTACCCGAAAACTTAAAGTATAATAATAATAAAAACAAACAAACAAAATAATACACCAACCTTTCCTTTAACATTTATTGTAATGGAATAATAATGGTATTTGTGAAATGGTCTAAAATATAGTATAGAAGTTCTGGGTACATATTGACTTATTATTACAGATGAGAGAGCCATGATATTTTCATTTAGGTAACCTCAAAATTAAGCTTTGGTGCAGCCACGTCCTTTGGAAGAATTAGACCATTCTATAGCACTGCAAACCACCATTTTTATTTATTTATTTGTTGCTGTCACCAAAATTGAATTTATTTCAAAAGTCACATTATTGTACTTCCAGACAAGAGGACCATAGCTTTGTTTCTATCACTCCATAGCTAGTACTATTTAATAAAAACCTAAAAATATACTGAAGCCATTTTCATATCCTTTTGTTTCAGGCTTATTGTGGTGGATCCAAAGAGTAAATATGCCATTCCTTATTGAAGCAGAAAGCACAACTGCAATCCTCCATGTCATTCATGCAGCAAGCACATCCTGTATCTTTGGCAGGATCCTTAGGTTATATGAACACCATTTTGCTCATTTGCTGGGCACTACACACATTGATTCACTGTGATTTTGAGTTAGAAGGAAGCCTAGTGATCATTTACTGTAATCCTCTAATTTTAGCATGGCAGGAAGTGAGGCTTGGAAAAGCGATAAAACTTTCCCACAGCTACACAGACAGTGACGGAGCCACTAACTACCTGCAGAGTTACATTGAAATACAAGTTACTGTTCACTGGAGGCAAGTGGCAAAAAAATTTTTTGGACTAAACCCTTAGATAAGCTACCATTGGTGCAATTCAATGGGCACTAAACAAAAAAAGATCATTTGTGAAAGTTCTCATTGGTGAGATTAAGCCTTCTGAAGACTATCCATGAGTAAAAATAAGCACTTGCCTCCAGTGAACAGCAACTTGTATTTCAACGTAACGCTCCACCTTTCTCCCTCTTCTCAGCAGTCAATTTTTAAATCTTTCAGGAAAACTTTGGGGTAATTGTGAAGAGCAGACGTTCCAGGGTCAGAAAGTTATAAATTGAAATTCTGACTCTGCTCTTAACTCTGTGTTGGGATTATTCTTGGAGCTATTGACAAGGTTCCCTCTGCATTTCCTGGTACTTCTTGACCTTTCCCTGGTTAAATAGATAACTTTTAGTCAAAGGGAAGAGATGATATAGGAAAAGAGCAAAGAAAAGCATTTGAATTTTAAAAGTTCAGGCTTTGGGGCTGTAGAGTCCTAAACAGCTTTGAGGGGCCTTACGGAATAGATAAAGCATGGTGGCTTAATAATGAGATTAAAAATACTTCTGGGATCTCAAAAACCTGATGCTGAGTGAAAAAAGCCAGATACAAGAGTACATATTATGTGATTCCATTGATATGAAGTTACAAATCTAGACAAAACTAATATATACTGATAAAAATAAGAAAAGTAGTTGGGGATGGGGATCAACTGGAAAGGAGCATGAAAAAGCCTTGGAGAGTGATGGAAATGTTCTATATTGTAATATGGGTGTGAGTTACACAACTGTAAACATTGACCAAAGCTTATTGAATTGTATACTTAAAATCTGTGCATTTTAATGTCTGTAAATTATACCTCAACAAGTAATGTTTAAAAAATAAAAGATTCCTTATCAATCCCTTGGGACATTGATAAGGAAAGAATCAGTAAGGAAGCAAATACAGCTTATAGAGTGGGAATGGTGCTGTTCTCTGGAAAGCAGAATGTCTCTAAGACCTGTGCCTGCCCTTCCCTGAGGGACTATTGGAGAAAGAGGGAGGACAGAAAGCAGAAGACAACTGGGCAAGTCTGAGAGCAATGGGGTTCTTGCCCCACTTTCTCAGGCAAAAGCAGGTAAAGTGGCAAGACCCTAGAGTAAAAAAAGTTTGCATGGGATGTCCAGGCAGATGCTACAAGAATGTTTTCTTGGTAACCAAGAGCAGTTGAAATATGGCATTGAGAGCTAGGACCCCTGGAAAGACTAAGTGAAATGGGGCATCTTGCATGGACTAACAACTGAAAACCACAGAAACAAAAGCATATCTCTGCAGATCCAGCAGGAATAGATGATTACATGGAGGCTCATGCTTCCTTCCTCAACAGTGCCTTTACTGCCATGTAGCACCCTCTTCCACTAAAATCAGACACATGCTTGGGAAAAATGAGATTACATTTTTCACCACCCCATAGACTCTAAAGCTCATAATAGAAATAAAGCTGTCAATATAAAATAAAGCTGCATTTCATAGACATCTGTTGTTGGACTAGAATACGTCATCATGTCATCCCTACCAAGCCACGTGACCAAAGACAGGTAACAAAGTCACTTAGAATATGGCAACAGTACTATTTACTTTGCA
This sequence comes from Homo sapiens, assembly GCF_000001405.40. Classification (NCBI taxonomy): domain Eukaryota; kingdom Metazoa; phylum Chordata; class Mammalia; order Primates; family Hominidae; genus Homo; species Homo sapiens. The sequence continues at coordinate 16,330,174 of NC_000023.11, forward strand.
GAGCTGTTGCAAGGAGTTAAGATACAACATGCAAGTAGCTTATGCACAGCTATGTGTTAAGTTTCTAATAATATTACTCCAGAAAAAATTCCCCAGCATTATTTAGCATCATCAGAGACTCTCTTTGCTAAATTGTTTTCTATACATAGACATACCAGATGCTGCTAGTGGAGCAAGAGTAGAGTTTTCCTGCATGAAGATAAAAATAAGAGAGTAATTATAATTTATACATCCAATGTATATTTGTTGCACTTCAACCATACAGCCATGCAAACAACAGCACAGGAAAGCCATGGTAAGAATGGTGAAGCTAAATGGGATAAAAGTGGCAATTATGTGGATTGCCAAATATCAACTGCCACCACCACCCCCTAACGCAGCTATTTTTTCACTCAAAGAGGCAGAAAATATCAGAAGAAAAACTGAGCACTACAACTCTACCCTGAGGATGGTTGCTTTTGGTTTTAGCCAGTGGTTTGGTTCTGTTCTAGATTAAATTAGTCATAGAATCTAAAATCCATGAGAAAAATGGGCCCCTCTGAGGTTTGACACAGTTCTACCACTCACCCAGTTTCTAAATAGGGGGCCTCCAAGCAGGGGGGCCTCCAAACAGGGGGCTCCCAAGCATATCAGTGTCCTGAGCTGCCACCTGCCACACAGTCAGCTCATTAAGTTCCTTCTGGATTTTTGCAGACTAACAAGACATTCATAACTATGTAATGTAATGTCCACTCAACTGTCCATAAACTTAGAAATGTTACTGCAAGAGAAATGACCACCATTAATCAGTGAATCCAGTGCTGTTTTCCAACCTTTACTATCATGGTAGACACTAGAAGATGTATAACCCAGACTCTACTTCAAGGAAGGACTTATCCCAGTTTCTGGAGGCCAGCAGACAGTCTTCAGCTGTCATTCCCTTCAGGAATTTCCTTGGCTACAGACAATTCCATCGCCCAAGGTCATGCACTTCCCAGGACTACGCACAGACAATAATGGATTTATGCATCAGTATCAGGACCTGGCCACCTTGACCCAACAGGAAACAATCCTGAAGGGTCATTTTAGTTATAAAACTCCTGGTTAGGTAAGCCAAGGCTCTGTATGGTTCTGCATGCCAGGTCAACTTTCCCCTTGCCCAATTCTGTTTCCTCCTTTTCTCTTCCCTTTCCTTCCCTTTTTTTCCACAGGTGTTGATCCCAAGAGCATCCCTTTAAAAATATCCTGCACCCTAAATTTCATGTTAGAATCTGCTTCCCAGAAAACTAAACCTTTGACAGCTATAAGATAAATATCTTGGGTTGGAGACATCAAGGAGATCCAATGTGCCTCAAATTATATATATATTTTGAAAAGCTACCACAATAGTCAGTCTTACCTCCAGTTTTGCTTCACAGGGTTAAATTTAAATCCAGATAAACATAACCATCTGCAGATGTGTTGGGAGACAATTTCCCATGGGTCTCTCATATTTCTACACACTTTGCAAGTAGAGAAACTGACAGCCCTTTTCCTGGACTATCTTTTCAATGATGATTGTATAGTCAACAGCCTTGGAAAATGAAGATAGTGTCTCTCTGGAGGAAGAGTAGGTTTGTTTCCTAAGTAGTATAATAAAGAGACTGTCTCTCTCTGGGGCAAAGGTGAAGCAAGTTTGCTTGCAGTCCATCATAAAAAATAGGAGTTCCCCAACTTGATGTTTTTCAGCAGTGATATAAGCCTACTGTATGTGCAGGATTCACCTAGGCTGTTTCATGTTCCCCCAAAAAGACTTCTGGGGCAAGAGGAACCAAGACAAACATGAAGCCCATGCTGTTTGCCATGCTATGAATAATAAAGAAAAAACCATTAGAAGCCCAAATATCACTTTTATTAATGATAGAGATCAGCATGAAGCAGCCAAAAGGGCTTGTTAAATGAACCCGAGAAGTAGATAGATTTTTCCGCTCACTGTAGGCGTGATCAGGAAATTAATACCCTGTGGGAAAGAGAATTCCCACTCCCTGCACAAAACAAGCCCCCAAGAGAGAAACTGGGATGGAGCTGGGCCATGGGCAGGCCCCAGTCCTCTAGTTTACCATTAAAATAAGCACAGTCAATAAAGGGGGAATGAAATACCTGGGTATAATTCTTTTGTTTGTTTGTTTGTTTGTTTTTAGCAGTCTCACTCTGTTGCCCAGGCTGGAGTACAGTGGTACAATCTTGGTTCACTGCAACCTCCACCTCCTGGGCTCAAGTGATTCTGCCGCCTCAGCCTCCCGAGTAGCTGGGACTACAAGCTCACACCACCACTCCCAGCTAATTTTTGTATTTTTAGTAGAGATGGGGTTTCACCATGTTGGCCAAGCTGGTCTCAAACTCCTGGCCTCAAGCAATCTGCCCGCCTTGGCCTCCCAAAGTGTTGGGATTACAGCAGTGAGCCACCGCGCCTGGCCACCTGACTATAATTCTAATGGGGCTCTAGTCACTAAAGAGAAACATGAGAAATCAACGGAAACCTCTGTTTTAGCTTCTTGTCAAGAGCTGTTCAGGGTTGTACCTGGGAGAACTGAGGCTTTTGGGGTCTCTGGGGAAAAGGATGGAGCTAATGGGTATGACAAATGAATATTCATGAGGAGTATTTTGGACGGGTTGATGGGCAAAGCTAATTGAAGATAACTAATGGGAGGGGGAAGATGCTCAGGACTGCCAAGTCCTTGAGTATGAGCATCAACACTTAAACTAGAAAACCTAAGCAAAGTATAGGAATCCATGCCTAAAAAGTCAAGATCAATCCCAGTGCCACACACCAAAAATTCCTCCAAATGGATGAAAGATCTAAATTTTTTCAAAAAAGAAACAATAGAAGAAAACATGGGTGAATTCCTTTATAACTTATAAAAACCTTTCTAATTATTACTCAAAATTCCAGAAACCCCAAAAGCCTCAGTTCTCCCAGGTACAACTCTTATGTAGGAGGCTTGACATGACATGACTAGTATGACATGCGCAGAGCTCTGAAAGTTTTGCATTTCCAAGGATGAGGTTTGGGTTCTTGGTGTTATTCCTACTGCATATGGGTCTGCATTTGGATTGAAAAGTTTTTAGGGGTATCTAGTGGGGTGAAGAGTGGTGAGGAAAGGCAACAGTATAAAATAAGATGGGTAGGTCACATGATGGTGAGCTTCAATTTCCCTTGGATTTTCCTTCTGGTCCCCCTCCTGCTTTCTTCTTTGCCTCACTTTTGTCTTGGTGTCATTGAATGAGGGTGATTAATCTTCATCATTTGAGCATGTTTTTAAGACTTTTGCAATGCAAGTCTGACTCTTGAAGTTTGCATAGCATGCTTTTCTCTAGGGGAATGTTAATAAACTGTTTCACTAACAAAAAGTTTTCAAATGCGGGAAAATAGATGAGTGTTTGCACTCCGCGAAAATTCTTTTCATACTGAATAATGTAGCTGTCAGTCCACAAGTTGATTTCTCAGAAACTTACTGCCAAACTGCTACTTCCTGGTCCTTGCCTACAATGAAAGTTGTTTATTCATTAATCAGTTATGTGCCTCGTTTACATGCGCTTTCTGCTGAAGGCAAAATGCTCCACGTGCTACCTTTAAACGAACTAAAGCCAAATTTCCTTTACTATCTTCTAGGATTTTGACTATTCTGGCCATTTTATCTTCTCTTTTAAATGTGGGAAATCATCATAAAATGGACTAGCTTTTCCCTTGCACTGATCTTTATTTCACTTTTTTTTTTTTTTTTTTTTGAGATGGAGTCTCACTCTGTTGCCCAGGCTGGAGTGCAGTGGTGCAATCTCAGCTTACTGCAGCCTCTGCCTCCCAGGTTCAGGCAATTCTTTTGCCACAGCCTCCCGGGTAGTTGAGACTACAGGTGCATGCCGCCACACCTGGCTATTTTTTTTTTTTTTTTGTATTTTTAGTAGAGACAGGGTTTCACTATGTTGGCTAGGCTGGTCTCAAACTCCTGACCTCAAGTGATCCACCAGCCTTGGCCTCCCAAAGTGCTGGGATTACAGGTGTGAGCCACCATGCCCAGCCTGATCTTTATTTTGGTTAGTCAAAAATGGATTGATTTTTGAAACTGAGATCACGATTAACGGAGGTAGAATGAATTAGCCCATTCTTGCATCGCTATAAATGAATACCTGAGGTTGGGTAATTTATATATATTAAAAAAGAGGTTTAATTGGCTCATAGTTCTGCATCTGCTCAGCTTCTGGTGAGGGCCTCAAGAATCTTACAATCATGGCAGAAGGCCATGGGGAGCCAGCAGGTCACGTGGCGAGAGCAGGAGCAACAGAGTGAGGCAGGGAAGGTCCCAGACTTTTAAACAACCAGATCTCACATGAACTAACTGAGCAAGAACTCACTTATCACCAAGGGGATGGTGCTAAGCCATTCATGAGGGATCCACCCCCATGATCCAATACCTCCCACCAGGCCCCACCTCCCACGTTGGAAGTCACATTTCAATATGAGATTTGGAGAGGACACACATCCAAATCACATAATGGAGCATTTGCATTGTGCTGCCAAACAGGAAATTCTCAAATGGTGTACAATGAACGAATGTGGGACAGCATACCCCAGATATTCTCATTGATCATAAAACTGCTGTGCTATCCCAACAAATGACTCTTGATTAAAGACAATGCATTTATTGCCTTGAGAAGTCCAAACCTTGTTGGCCTGAAAGCCTCTTGAAAGGCAAGCACCATGTTTAATTTCGAGTGTGTCCTGAGACCATAGTATGAAAGAATTTATTACATGGACTAAAGATACAATTTTTAGATAATATTTTCATTTCTAATTTTTTAAAAGTAATAAATCAAAGGAAATTGATTATAAATAACCTGAACGCCATAATTTTAGATATATACGTAAAGTATGAAGGAAGAAATGAGCTAAATCCACACATAACATCTTATCTTTGTAAGACAGGGAAATTCATAGAAAATATTATCTTGGTTTGGGTTGTCCCCTGAAAGCAGATCCTTAATCAAGAATTCAGGAGTTTATTTGGGAGATGATCTCAGGAAAATGCCAGTAGTGGAGCGTATACATGAGAAAGAGAAAGGAAGGAAGTCAGTGAAGTGTGTTATCAAGTCAATATCACTGTGGGCAACTGGAACTAAATCCACTGAATGCTGGAAGACACTGAAGACTATGCCTCATAGTTGCCCCAACTAAGGGGTGAGGAAGTCTGTAGTTGGTTGAGGGCTGCTTCTAGGAACATTAAGTCTCTGGCACATCCATGACTCAACCAAGGATGAACTCAAGCATGAATGTCAAGGGTATATGGAAGGAGTAGCAACAATATTCCCTCCTAAGTGAAAGTGATGGAAAGTACAGGACAAAAAAAAATTTCATACTCTTTTAAAACACCATTTGGAGTCTAGAAACTAATTCCCATAGGAAAATAATTTAGAATAGCTAAAGCAAGAGAGAAAAAAAAAGAGATAAAGAGAGACAGAGAGACAGGAAGAGAGGAGATAGAGAAACAAAAACCAAAAGAAGTAACCAAAGGTTTCCATTAAAGCAATATATTGAGTCATTAAGTATTCATAACCTCCCATATCTCTTTGTAATGACTGTAGGGTTTCCTAACTAAAAAATACAACTTCTTTAATATAATCCCCAAAATTTCAAGTCACCATGCTGAAAAATCCAAGGATGGATTAGATATATTATCTTCCCTACTTGAAGTATCGATTTTTGCCTTCTCAAAATTTTGCTCATTTTTAGGAGGGTTTTTTTTAGAGTTAGGTGACTCAGATATGCAAATTTTAACTTTTGATCTCATTTGTAAGCTTCAGGTTTGGGGGTCGGATGTTGGAGAGAAACTAGAGTCATCCAGAAGACAATAAGGTCGATGATAATGTAGCTGCAAAACATGTAGTGGGAAAATTAATGACTGAAGATCTTTGGCTTGGAGAAGAAGGGGGAGTGGCAAAGCTGCTTCCAATCATGTCAAAATCTGAAATGGAAGTAAAATTCGTTATTCTATTTTGTTCTCCTGCATCCATCAAAATAGTTTTTATGTGTGGTGGGGAGTGGGAGACAGCAAATGAGGAGAGAGACAGGGAAAGAGAAGGGGTTAGGAAACGAAGAACTGAAATTAAAGATTAGTGGTTTCTACTGACTCAAGGCAGAAGCTGCTAATGAAGGCCAGAGGCATGAGCCAAGACTCTGGGGAAACAGCAGACCCTATGTTGTCAGAATTGCCAAGAACAAACAGAAAGTCCAAAAGACCAGAGGCAGAATTTAAGACAAGATTACAAAACTGAAGTCAGGTATTGTGATGCCTCCAGCTTTGTTCTTTTGGCTTAGGATTGACTTGGCGATGTGGGCTCTTTTTTGGTTCCATATGAACTTTAAAGTAGTTTTTTTCCAATTCTGTGAAGAAAGGCATTGGTAGCTTGATGGGGATGGCATTGAATCTGTAAATTACCTTGGGCAGTATGGCCATTTTCACGATATTGATTCTTCCTACCCATGAGCATGGAATGTTCTTCCATTTGTTTGTATACTCTTTTATTTCCTTGAGCAGTGGTTTGTAGTTCTCCTTGAAGAGGTCCTTCACATCCCTTGTAAGTTGGATTCCTAGGTATTTTATTCTCTTTGAAGCAATTGTCAATGGGAGTTCACTCATGATTTGGCTCTCTGTTTGTCTGTTGCTGGTGTATAAGAATGCTTGTGATTTTTGTACATTGATTTTGTATCCTGAGACTTTGCTGAAGTTGCTTATCAGCTTAAGGAGATTTTGGGCTGAGACAATGAGGTTTTCTAGATATACAATCATGTCGTCTGCAAACAGGGACAATTTGACTTCCTCTTTTCCTAATTGAATACCCTTTATTTCCTTCTCCTGCCTAATTGCCCTGGCCAGAACTTCCAACACTATGTTGAATAGGAGTGGTGAGAGAGGGCATCCCTGTCTTGTGCCCGTTTTCAAAGGGAATGCTTCCAGTTTTTGCCCATTCAGTATGATATTGGCTGTGGGTTTGTCATAGATAGCTCTTATTATTTTGAAATACGTCCCATCAATACCTAATTTATTGACATTTAGAAGACATTTATGCAGCCAAAAAACACATGAAAAAATGCTCATCATCACTGGCCATCAGAGAAATGCAAATCAAAACCACAATGAGATACCATCTCACACCAGTTAGAATGGCAATCATTAAAAAGTCAGGAAACAACAGGTGCTGGAGAGGATGTGAAGAAATAGGAACACTTTTACACTGTTGGTGGGACTGTAAACTAGTTCAACCATTGTGGAAGTCAGTGTGGCGATTCCTCAGGGATCTAGAACTACAAATACCATTTGACCCAGCCATCCCATTACTGGGTATATACCCAAAGGACTACAAATCATGCTGCTATAAAGACACATGCACACGTATGTTTATTGCGGCATTATTCACAATAGCAAAGACTTGGAACCAACCCAAATGTCCAACAATGATAGACTGGATTAAGAAAATGTGGCACATATACACCATGGAATACTGTGCAGCCATAAAAAATGATGAGTTCATGTCCTTTGTAGGGACATGGATGAAATTGGAAAACATCATTCTCAGTAAACTATCGCAAGAACAAAAAACCAAACACCGCATATTCTCACTCATAGGTGGGAATTGAACAATGAGATCACATGGACACAGGAAGGGGAATATCACACTCTGGGGACTGTTGTGGGGTGGGGGGAGGGGGGAGGGATAGCATTGGGAGATATACCTAATGCTAGATAACGAGTTAGTGGGTGCAGTGCACCAGCATGGCACATGTATACATATGTAACTAACCTGCACAATGTGCACATGTACCCTAAAACTTAAAGTATAATTTAAAAAAAAAAGAAAAAAAAAGATTACAAAACTGAGAGTTTAGATGATGGCAACTGGGTCAAAATGAAAGTAAGTTGGGAATAAGTGAAGAGGGGGGTTAGGGGGTGTCATCTTAACAGTCCTGAAGCTGGGAGGGACCAGAGCTTAAAACTAGCACCAGGTGTTAGAAGGAGCAGGAAAGCACAGCCACCAGAAGGTCCACCATTCCCCAGATGTCCCCTACAGTCTGCCTTTGCATACAGAGTAAATCTTAACTCTCTTTGCAAGCTCCCTTCACATGCTGCCTCCTTCATGGAACTGGTTTCCTCCTCTGTGCCTCTATGATAATTTTTAGGACATTTTGCCTTACTTATATTATAAACAGGCATACACACACACACACACACACACAGAATGAAGACTGTCTTGCTCATTTTTTCATGTCCCCTATCTCCAGTGCAATGACGGCTCATGGTAGTTCATCACCATATTCTCTGAACTACAAAAGCACTTTCTCTATACCTCCCTAGGGGTATGTCCACAATAAGAAACCAATACAAATAAGAATAATAGTAGCTATTACTTATTGAGCACTTGCTATAAACCAGACACTGACACTGACACTAGCCTCTTTACCTCTCTTTTCCACCTGGAAAACAGGAATAATGACATCTAGTTCATGGAGATGTCATGGTTACACAAAGTGATGCAAGTGAGAGTCTTAGCACTGGGGCTGACAAATATTAAGCATTTCGTAAATATTTTACCACAATATCTATGTGTGTTTTATGGCCAAGAATGTGGTCTATCTTGGTGATTGTTCCGTGTGAACTTGAGAAGAATGTATATTCCACTGTTGTTGGATGCAGAAGTCTATAGATATCAATTATATCCAATTGATTGATGGTGGTGTTGAGTTCAACTATGTCCTTACTGACTTTCCACCTGTTGAACCTGTCCATTTCTGATAAAGGGGTGTTGAAGTCTCTAACTGTAATAACGGATTCATCTATTTCTCCTTGCAGTTCAATCTGTTTTTACCTCACATCTTTTGATGCTATGTGGCTAGGCGCATACATGGTAACAATTGTTACATCTTCTTGGATGATTGACCGCTTTATCATTATGTAATGTCCCTCTTTATTCCTGATAACTTCCCTTGCTTTGAAGTCTCCTCTGTCTGAAAATAACATAGCTACTTCTGCTTTCTTTTCCTTAGTATTAGCATATACATATTTCTCCATTCCTTTACTTTAAATTTATATGTATCTTTATATTTAAAGTGAGTTTTTTTATAGTTTCAACTTTTATTTTGGATTCATGGGGTATATGTGCAGATTTGTTACATGGGTATATTGCATGGTGCGGAGGTTTGGAGTATAGATCCTGTCACCCAGGTAGTGAACATACTACCCAACAGGTAATTTTTCCACCCACATATCCATCCTTCCCTCTCCTTCTAGTAGTCTACAGTGTCTATTGCCCCCATCTTTATGTCCATGTGTATTCAATGTTTAGCTCCCACTTATAAGTGACAACGTGCAGTATTTGGTTTTCTGTGCCTGTGTTAATTTGCTTAGGATTATGGTCTCCAGCTGCATCCATGTTGTTGCAAAGGACATGATTTCATTCTTTTTTATTGTTGCATAGTATTCCATGGTGTATATGTACCACATTTTCATATCCAACCCACCATTGATGGGAACCTAGGTTGATCTCCCATCTTTGCTATTGTGAACAGTGATGCAATGAGCATACAAGTGCATGTACCTTCTTGGTAGAACAATTTCTTTTCCTTTGGGTATATACCCAGTAATGGAATTGCTGGGTTGAATGGTAGCTATGTTTTAAGTTCTTTGAGAAATCTCCAAACTGCTTTCCACACTGGCTAAACCAATTTATATTCCTACCAGCAGTGTGTAAGCTTTCCCTTTTTTCCACAGCCTCACCACCATCTGTTATTTTTTGACTTTTTAATGATATTACTTCTTTTAATGGCAATTGCCGTTACTTTTAATGGCAAAAACTGCAATTACTTTTGCACCAGCCTAATAGCTATTCTGGGTGGTGGAGACGGTATTTCACGGTGGTTTTGATTTGCATTTCTCTGATGATTCGTGAAGATGAACATTATTTCATACTTTTTTTGGCCGCTTATATGTCTTCTTTTGAGAAGTGTCTCTACTCATGTCCTTTGCTCATTTTTAATGGGGTTGTTTTCAGCTTGTTGATTTGTTTAAGTTCTTTACAGATTCTGGATATTAGACCTTTCTCAGATGCATAGTTTGTGAATACTTTCTCCCATTCTATAGGTGTTCTGTTTTTTGATCATTTCTTTTGCTATGCGGAAGCTGTTTCATTTAATTAGGTCCCAATTGTCAAATTTTATTTTTGTTACAATTCTTGTTTTTTTTTTGTAAGAATTTTTCACTTTATCATCAGGTAAGGCCAATGTTGAGAAGGATCTTTCCTGGATTTTTTTTCTAGGATTTTTATTGTTTGAGGTCTTACATTCAAATCTTTAATCCATCTTTTTTTGTATGTGCTGAAAGGTAGGAGTCTAGTTTCATTCTTCTGCATATGGATAGCCAGTTATCCCAGCACCATTTATTACATAGGGAATTGTTGGGAGCAGCCCCCGCAAAATCTGGCCACAAACTGGCCCCAAAACTGGCCATAAACAAAATTTCTGCAGCACTGTGACATGTTCATAATGGCCATAATGCCCACGCTGGAAGGTTGTGGGTTTACGGGAATGAGGGCAAGGAACATCTGGCCCGCCCAGGGTGGAAAACCGCTTAAAGGCATTCTTAAGCCACAAACAATCGCATGAGCGATCTGTGCCTTAAGGACATGCTCCTGCTGCAGTTAACTAACCCAACCTATCCCTTTAATTCAGCCCATCCCTTCGTTTCCCATAAGGGCTACTTTTAGTTAATTTAATATCTATAGAAACCATGCTAATGGCTGGTTTGCTGTTAATAAATACGTGGGTAAATCTCTGTTCAGAGCTCTCAGCTCTGAAGGCTATGAGACCCCTGATTTCCCACTTCGCACCTCTATATTTCTGTGTGTGTGTCTTTAATTCCTCTAGCTCCTCTGAGTTAAGGTCTCCCTGACCAAGCTGGAGCTGGTCTTGGCAGGGAGTCCTTTCCCCATGGCTTGTTTTTGTTAGCTTCACCAAAGATCAGATGGTTGGCTGGGCGCATTGGCTCAGGCCTGTAATCCCAGCATTTTGAGAGGCCAAGGTGCGTGGATCACCTGAGGTTGTGAGTTCGAGACCAGTCTGACCAATATGGAGAAACCCTGTCTCTACTAAAAATACAAAAATTAGCTAGGCATGATGGTGGGTGCCTGTAATCCCAGCTACTCAGGAGGCTGAGGCAGGAAAATCACTTGAACCCGGGCGGCAGAGGTTGCAGTGAGCCAAGATCAGGCCATTGCACTCCAGCCTGGGCAGCAAGAGTGAAACTCCGTCTCAAAAAAAAAAAAAAAATCAGATGGTTGTAGATGTGCTGCTTTATTTCTGGGTTCTCTATTCTATTTCATTGGTCTTTGTGTCTATTTTTGTACCAGTCCCATGCTGTTTTGGTTACTGCAGCCTTATAGTATAGTTTGAAGTCAGGTAGTGTGATGCCTCTGGCTTTGTTCTTTTTGCTTAGGAATTCTTTGGCTATTTGGGCTCTTTTTTGTTCCACACAAATTTTAGAATAGTTTTTTCTAATTCTGTGAAAAATGATGTTGATACCTTGATACAAATAGCGATTGAATCTGTAGATTGCTTTGGGCAGTATGGCCATTTTAATGATATTGATTCTTCCAATCTATGAACATGTAATGTTTTCCCATTATTTGTGTCATGTCTGATTTCCTTCAGCAGTATTTTGTAGTTCTCCTTGGTCACTTGCATTCCTAGGTATTTCTTTTTTTTGTGGCTATTGTAAATGGAATTGCTTTCTTGATTTGGCTCTCAGCTTGAACATTACTGGTGTATAGAAATGGTACTGATTTTTGTACCTTAATTTGGTATCCTGGAACTTTACTGAAATAATTTTTCAGTTCTAGGAGCCTTTTGGTATAGTCTTCAGGGTTTTCTAGGTATACAGTCATATCAACAACGAAGAGAGATAGTTGGACTTATTTTCCTATTTGAATGCCTTTAATTTCTTTCTCTTGCCTGATTGCTCTGACTAGGACTTTCAGTTCTGTGTTAAATAGGAATGGTGAGAGAGGGCATCCTTGTCTTGTGCCAGTTCTCAAGAAGAATGGTTCCAGCTAAGCTTTTACACTGTTGGTGGGAGTGTAAATTAGTTCAACCATTGTGGAAAACAGTGTGGTGATTCCTCAAGGATCTAGAACTAGAAATACCGTTTGACCCAGCAATCCCATTACTGGGTATATACCCAAAGGATTATAAATCATGCTACTATAAAGACCCATGCAAATGTATGTTTATTGCAGCACTATTCACAATAGCAAAGACTTGGAACCAACCCAAATGTCCATTAATAATTGACTGAATAAAGAAAATGTGGCAAATATACACCATGGAATACTATGCAGCCATAAAAAAGGATGAGTTCATGTCCTTTGCAGGGACATGGATGAAAGTGGAAACCATCATTCTCAGCAAAATATCACAAGGACAGAAAACCAAACACTGCATGTTCTCACTCATAAGTGGGAGTTGAACAATGAGAACACATGGACACGAGGAGGGGAACATCACACACCAGGGCCTGTTGGAGGGTGGGGGGCTGGGGGAGGAATAGCATTAGGAGAAATACTAATGTAAACGATGAGTTGATGGGTGCAGCAAACCAACATGGCACATGTATACCTATGTAACAAACCTGCACACTGTGCACACGTACCCTAGAACTTAAAGTATAATTAAAAAAAAAAAAAAAGAAGAAGAATGATTCCAGCTTTGCCCATTCAGTCTGATGTTGGCTGTGGATTTGTCATAGATGGCTGTTATTATTTTGAGGGATGTTCCTTTGATCCCTAGTCTGTTGATGTTTTTTATCATGAAGGGATTTCAGATTTTATCAAAAGATTTTTCTGTGTCTATTGAGATTATCATACGGTTTTTGGCTTTAGTTCTATTTATGTGGTGAATCACATTCATTGATTTGCATATGTTGAGCCAGCTGTGCACCCCAGGAATAAAGCCTACTTGATCATGGTGTATTAACTTTTTGATGTGCTGCTGGATTCAGATTGTTAGTATTTTGTTGAAGATTTTTGCATCTATGTTCATCAGGGATATTGGCCTGAAGTTTTCTTTTGTCATGTGTCTCTGTCAGATTTTGGTATCAGGCTGAAGCTGGCTTCATAGAATGAGTTAGGGAAGAGTCTCTACTTCTCACATTTTTTGAATGGTTTCGGTAGGATTGGTACCAGTCCTTCTTTGTACATCTGGTAGAACTGAGCTATGAATCCATCTGGTCCAGGGATTTTGTTGGTTGGTAGGTTTTTTATTACTGATTCAATTTCATAACTTGTTATTGATCTGTTCAGGTTTCTACTTTCTTCCTGGTTCAATCCTTGTATATTTCCAGGAATTTATCCATTTCCTCTAGATTTTTTATTTTGTATGCACAGAGTTGTTCATAATAGTCTCTGGGGATCTTTTGTATTTCTCTGGGATCTGTTGTAATGACATCTTTGTCATTTCTGATTGCACTTATTTCTATGTTCTAGCAATCTTGTTTATTTTTCCAAAAACAAACTCTTGGTTTCATTAATCTTCTGCATATTCGTGTTTCAGTTTCATTCAGTTCTTGTCTAATCTTCTTTTCTTTTCTTCTGCCAGCTTTGGGGTTGGTTTTTTTCTTTCTTTCTAGTTCTTCTAGGTACAAAGTTAGATTGTTCATTTGAGATTTTTCTACCTTCTTGATGAAGGCACTTAGCACTATAAACTTTTCTTTTAACACTGCTTTAGATGCATCCCACAGATTTTGGTAAGTTGTGTCCCTATTTTCATTAATTTCAAAGAATTTTTTTATTTCTCCCTTAGTTTCATTGTTCATCCAGGAGTTACTCAGGAGCAAGTTGTTTAATTTCCATATATTTGTGTGGTTTTGAGAGATTTGCTTGATATTGATTTCTATTTTTATTGCATTGTGGTCCAAGAGTGTGCTTGGTATAATTTTGACTTTTTAAAAAAATTCCCTGAGACTTGTTTTATGACTGAGCACATGTTCAATCTTCAAATATGTTCTGTGTGCAGATGAGAAGAACATATATTCTGTGGTTGTTGGGTGGCATATTCTATAGATGTCTATTAGGTCCAATTGGTCAAGTGTTGAATTTAAGTCTAGAATTTCTTTGTTCATTTTCTGCCTCAATGATCTGTCTAATGTTGTCAATGGGGTTTTGAAGTCTCCAACTATTATTGTCTGGCTGTCTAAGCCTTTTTATAGGTCAAGAAGAACTTGTTTTATGAATCTGGATGCTTTTATGTTGAGCGTGTATATTTTTAGGATAGTTAAGTCTTCCTGTTGAATTGTACTCTTTTATCATTATGTAATGCCCTTCTTGTCCTTCTTGATTGTTGTAGGTCTAAAGTCTGTTTTATCTGATATAAGAATAATGAATCCTGCTTTTTTCTGTTTTCGTTTGCATGGTTGATCTTTCTCCATCCCTTTACTTTGGGCCTGTGGTTGTCATTACATGTGAGATGGATCTCTTGAAGACAGCGGATGATGGGGTCTTGTCATTTTATCCATCTTGTCATTCTCTGTCTTTTAATTCCCTCACCATTTGCTTGTCTGAGAAGTATTTTATTTCTCATTTGCTTATGCATCTTAGTTTGGCTGTATATAAAAGTCTGGGTTGGAATTTCTTTTCTTTAAGAACACTGAAAATAGGTCCCCAATCTTTTCTGGCTTGTAAGGTTTCTCCTGAGAAGGCTGCTGCTAGCCTGGTGGGGTTTCCTTGTATGTGACCTGACCCTTCTCTCCAGCTACTTTTATAATTTTTTATTTCCCAGTGACCTTGGTGAATATGATGATTATGTGCCTTAGGGATGGTCATTTTGTAGAGTATCTAGCAGGGGTCCTCTGTCTTTCTTGAATTTGCATGTCAACCTCTCTAGGATTGGGGAAATTTTCATGGACTCTGTCCTTAAATATATTTTTAATATATTTAAAAATACAGAAATATAAATATATATTTTAATATATTAAAAATATATAAATATAAATATATTTTAATATATTTAAAAATATATAAATATAAATATATTTTCCAAGTTACTTACTCTCTCTCCTTCTCTCTCAGAAATGCTAAAAGTCATAGGTTTCGTCTCTTTACATAGTCCCATATTTCTTGGAGGTTTTGTTCAATTCTTTCTTTATTTTTGTCAGACTGGGTTGATTTGAGGAACCCGTCTTCAAGCTCTGAGATTCTTTCCGCAGCTCGGTCTATTCTGCTGTTAATATTTCCAAGTATAAAATTCTTATAGTGAATTTTTCAGTGCCAGAAATTCAGTTTGATTCTTTCTTAAAATGGCTATTTTGTCTTTCAGCTCTTGGATTGTTTCACCGGATTCCTTGGATTCCTTGGATTGGGTTTCAGCTTTCTCCTGAGTCTCAATGAGCTTCATTGCCATCCAGATTCTGAATTCGATGTCTGTCATTTCAGCCTGGTTAAAAACCATTGTAGGAAAGCTAATGTGATTATTTGAAGGTAAGATACTCTGACTTTTAGAGTTGCCAGAGTTCTTGCACTGATTCTTTCTCATCTGTGAGGGCTGCTGTTCTCAGTCATTATAGTTTCAAATATGTCTTCTGTTTCTTTCTATTCTCCTTCTGGTGTTTTCATTACATATTTGTAGTTGTCCCGCAGTCTTTGGACATTGTGTTCTGTTTTTTCAGTCTTTGTCCTCTTTGCTTTTTGGGTTTGACAGTTTCTATTGATACATCCTCAGGCCCAGAGATTCTTTGCTCAGCTATCTTTATTCTACTAATGATCCCATTGAAGACATTCTTCATTTCTGCTACAGTGGTTTTGATCTCTAGAATTTCTGTTTCTTTCTTTCTTCCTTCCTTCCCTCCTTCCTTCCTTCCTTCCTTTCTTTGGATTTCTGTCTCTCTGCTTACATTGTCCATCTGCTCTTGCATGCTGTCTACTTTTTCCATTAGGTCCCTTAACAAATTAATCCTAGTAGTTTTGAACTCACAGTCCGATAATTCCAACATCCCTGCCATATCTGAGTCTAGTTCTGGTTATTTGCTCTTTTTGAATGGTGTTTTTTGCCTTTTAGTGTGTCTTGTAATTTTTTCTTGATAGCTGGCCATGATGTACTGGGTAAAAGAAGCCGCTGTAAATAGGCCTTTATTAATGTAGTGGTGAAGTGTGGAAGAGGGGGAAGTGTTCTATAGTCCTATGATTAGGTCTCAGTCTTTTAGTGAGCCTGTATCTCTGGAGTGTGAACTCCCACAGGTGTTTTTTAAATTTTTTTCCTCCACATTCTCCCTTAAGTGGGACAGGATAGCTAGAAAAGGCTGGAATTGGGTATTTCCCTTCTGCCAGGTCAGTTAGGCTCTGACAAAACTCCAGAGGTTAGGCTCTGATCAAATAGTTTCTTCTTCGGGCAGTCTATGTTAAGA
The DNA here is from genome assembly GCF_000001405.40 of Homo sapiens. Classification (NCBI taxonomy): domain Eukaryota; kingdom Metazoa; phylum Chordata; class Mammalia; order Primates; family Hominidae; genus Homo; species Homo sapiens. The sequence continues at coordinate 16,346,628 of NC_000023.11, forward strand.
ACAGAGTGCTCTAACAGTTTTCAAAATTCTTCCTTTTCCTCTTCTCCTGCCAGAAGCACAAGGGCATTTTCCTCCAACATTTACTGTGAGAACCTGGAGGTAAAACTTACAACAGCATAAAAGACCATCCCCTCCATGACTGGATCCCCTGGAGTTTTTAACTCTCAGTCTTGTCCTCGCCTAGCCTCCAGCAATTTAATTACAGCTCAGGTTTTCCTACCCTGGCACTGGTCCCTGTGGCGGTTTCTACTCCAGTATGTCATGGTACACTGTATCTGCCAGTCTGTTTCTCCAGTTTTGGAAACAGCAGTTGTCCCTGTTGATGGGTCTAAGATTGTTGATTTTTCACTTTGTTCAGATTTTTACTTGTTAGTATGAAATGGTGATGTCCCAGCTCCTTACTGTAGAACCAGAAACTGGAATGGCACTACTTTTTTTTTTTTTTTTTTGATGGAGTCTCGCTCTGTTGCCAGGCTGGAGTGCAGTGGCACTATCTTGGTTCACTGCAACCTCCGCCTCCTGGGTTCAAGCAATTCTCCTGCCTCAGCCTCCCGAGTAGCCAGGACTACAGGTGCACACCACCACGCCTGTCTAATTTTTTGTATTTTCAGTAGAGACGGGGTTTCACCATGTTGTCCAGGATGGTCTCTATCTCTTGACCTCATGATCCGCCCGTCTTGGCCTCCCAAAGTGCTGGGATTACAGGCATGAGCCACCACGCCCGGCCGACACTACCTTTTTAGTAAGTAACAGAAACACTGCTTTTGCTACTACTTTGACCATTAATCATCTGAGGGCTTGTGTTATAGACTGAATGTTTTATGTTCCCTCAAAATTCATATATTAAAGCCCTAATCCCCAGTGTGATGGTATTTGGAGAGGGGACCTTTGAGAGGTAATTAGTTCATGAGGGTAAGGCTTGGTCTTATGAAATTAGTGCTCTTTTAAGAAGAGACACAAGAGAGCTTGCACACACACACACACACACACACACACACACTTTCTCTCTCTCTCACTGCCATGTGAGGACACAGTGAGAAGGCAGCCATCTGCAAGTCAGGAGGACAGCATTCACCAGAACTCAACTATGCTGGCACCCTGATCTTGAACTTCCATCCTCCAGAACTGTGAGAAAAGGCATTTCTTTTGTTTAAGCATCCAATCTATGGTATTTTTTTTTAACGGAAGCTTGAGAAAACTAAGACTGCTTTCATCAAGGAATGCTGCTCACAAGATTTTTGCATAAGGAAGAGGCAATGTATTCAACAACAATTTGTTGAGCATGTGGATACCAAGCACGGTGCTAAGCACTGGGGATACAGTGGTGAACAAGACAGCATCTTGCCTTCACGGATATTTCAGTGTCAAAGGAGAGGTAACTAAACAAGTAAGGGAGAGAAGTTCATCACACAGACTCTCTCTCTCTCTAGCACACACGCACACACACACACACACACACACCCATACAGACACACACTGTGTGCACAGAGAGAGACAGAGGGATATAAAGAGAGACAGAGAGGCAACACTACAAAGGAAAGTCCTCCACTGGGTGCAATTTGGACCAGATAACTTTGGAATCCCTTTCAATTTTCCATTAGGCGTCGATTTGCTTAAGCCACAGTTCAAAAGCCTTGCCTGAGAGAAGGAGGTCTGGGGGCCTGGAGAGCTTTGGGACAAAGCTCCACTGGCTAAACATTCTTCCCAGGCTCTGATGAGTGACTGGCCAACCACTCCTAATGATTTAATGAAGCTGATGGTGAAATAGAAAAGTATATCTTTGCTTAGGCTCATCTAAGCTCTGTTTCCATCACACTTATGTGTGTATATCATTAGATTACATTTCTCAATCCTTGCAGCCTGCATGAAATTTTATGTCTTTAAATTGTTTCCATCTGTAAATTATTCAGCACTTCAGAACCAGAGATCAACTGTTAGTGGGTAACTGGTGTTGAACCACATGATTCACTGGGATAATGTATGATGTACCTTGCAGCCTGAAAATGCCAAAGGTCCAGACAGCTTATTCTTAGAATGTTAGGAAGCATGGAAAAGGCTATTTCTCATTGCAGAATAAAGCTTGGAAATGGAAGTAAGTCATCCGTTTGTGCTAACACACAGCAGTTTCATCACTGAAAACACCAGAGGCATCAAAAGACAACAGTACTGCCCTTTGACTTTCATTGAAAAGCTACATATATCAGTTCCCTGCTCAGATTCTCCAGTGACCTTCCTTCTGATGCAAAGAAGCAGCCAATGTTCAGTCAATAACCTACAAGGACTTAAGTGGCCTCTTTCACCCAGGTTCTCTGTGCTTTCCCTTGCAGCCTCCTCTTCCTGGAAATTTCTTCCACCACATATCTGGGTGGTTCACTCTCTCACATCTTCCTGACCAGTGTTCAAATGTCTCTTTCTCAGAGAGGCTTTCCTGGACCTCCCTTACTAATAAAAAACAAACAAACAAACAAACAAAAAAATAGATTCCACCTCACAGTCAGGACCCCCTTAGCCTGCTTTATTTTACATGATACCAGTCATTACCACCTGAGATGTGTGTGTTTATTTATTTTCTTTCTCCCTCAACCATGGTTTGCAAGGTCTACATGGGCTCAGAGTTGGTCTGATTTGTTCACTACTGTATCCTCAGAATTCAGAAGCCTGTTTGACTAGAGTAAGTACTCAATACATACTTGTTCTAAAAATGATAGGGAAGTAGAAAGGCCTCTGAATGATCATGACATTCTTAATGATAAAGAGCAAGAATGGGACTTGCCCCATCAGATATCAAGACTTAATATAAAGCTATACTTCTTCAGGCAGTATGATACTGATGCAAATACAGAATAGACCAATGGAACAGAATAGAGAGCCCTAAAATAGATGCTTGTGTATCCAGACACAGTTTGTAACCAAGGAAGGTCAGTGGGGAAGGGATGGACTCTTCAGTAAACACAATTCAACAGCTGTTCATAAATGCAGGGGAAAAAAGAAAGAAAGCCAGTACCTTACCTTATGTGTACACAAAAATCAGTTTTAGATGGATTAAGACCTAAATTTGAAAGGCAAAATTAAAAAGCACTTATATGGTAATGTAGAATATCTTTATGTACTCTAAATAGAGAAAGGTTTCTTAATATGGTAGAAAATATATTTTCCACAAAGGAAATAATTGATAAATTAGACTACTTTAATAAAAAGGAATTCCATTTACCAAAAGAAATCATAACGAGAGTTAAGTAAAAACATAAGATGGGAAAAACTACTTGCTACACATATAACTAACAAATAATTAGTGTTCAGGACATATAACTGCACCTTAGGAATGCTTTTCTTTCTTTCTTTCTTTTTTTTGAGACAGATTCTCGCTCGCTCTGTTGCTCAGGCTGAAGTGCAGTGGCATGATCTCGCCTCACTGTAGCCTCCACCTCCCTGCAGCCTCCGCCTCCCAGGTTCAAGTGATTCTCATGCCTCAGCCTCCCAAATAGCTGGGATTACAGACACGTGTCACCACTCCTGGCTAATTTTTGTATTTGTAGTAATGATGGGGTTTCACCATGTTGGCCAAGCTGGTCTCGAACTCCTGGCATCAAGTGATCCTCCTGCCTCGGACTCCCAGTGTTGGGATTACAGGTGTGAGCCACCATGCCCAACCACAGGAATCTTTAATAACAAAGACACAACTATTTGAAAAGTGAGGGAAACAGTAGAACAGACATATTACAAAATAGGAAATTTGAATGTGTTCACATGTATTAATAATATGGAAATGCAAATTAATACCACAATAATATCAATTCCATGCACATTTTAACAAAATCAAAAGTTACAATTCCAGATATTGGTATGAATGTGGAGCAACCAGAACTCTCATACATGGCTGTTTGGAATATGAACTGGCACAACCATTTCTGGAGTAGAGCTTGGTCTTTCCTAGTAAAATAGAACATGTTCTATAACCCAGTAATTCCACTTCTATATGTACATTCTAAAGAAGCTCATGCCCATGTGGTCCAAGAAGAACATACAAGAATAGTCAACACCACAATATTTATATCATCTGAAAGAGGAAACGATTCAAGTGTTCATCCATAATAGAATCAGTAAGTAAACTGTGTTATAACCAGAAAATGAAATATTCCATAGCATGAAAATTGATGAAATAGAGCTATATTGGATAAATCACAAAAGTCACAAAAGAAAACATTCTCTGTAATTTAAACTATATTAAATTCTAAAACAAGCAAAATAAGTACATTTTATTGGAGGATGCATGCATATTTACAAATATAAAGAAAAGAAAGAAAATCATTACCCAAAACTCAGGCTTGGGCTAACTCAGCAAATACAGGAATGGAAGCAGGGCCTGATACTTTATCATATATTTTGGCATTAAACAACAAAACTGAAACTGAGTATATTCTGATGCTCATTAGTTCCATTCTGGGGAATATATCCTCTAAGTCTAGAAAATCTCTTGAATATGTGCATCAGGATACAGATTCAAAAATGTTCTTGCCTATGTTGTTTGTAATCAAAAATATTGGGAACAATCCAACTGACAATTGACAAGAGAATGAGTAAACAGTTGTGGATATTCATCTAATGAAAATTAAAGACCTAGAGCTAGGCATGTCAACTTGGACAACTTTTGCAGCATAATATTGAGGGGAAAATGCAAATCATATTAATAAAATACATGAACTGGTTTCCATTTGTATGAACTCCAAAAATATACAAAACTAAAGACAGTGCTATATGCAGCCACACTGCCCAATATAGTAACCACTGGCCACATGTGGCTAATAAGCATTTGAAAAGTGGATGGTCCAAATTCAGATGTTCTGTACATTTAAAATATGCACAAGATTTCAAAGAATTAGTATGAGAAAAAGGATGTAAAATACCTCATGAATTTTTTGTATTGACTACATAGCGAAATGACAATATTTTGGATAGATTGGGTTAAATAAAATATATTTCTAATGAATTTCACCTGTTTCTTTATACTAATTTAAATGTGGCCACTAGAAAATTCAAAAATTACATGTGGCTTGCATTTGTAGCTTACATCATATTTCTATTGGACAGTGCTGGTACACCAATATCTACATAGATATTAGAGCTTTAAAAGAAACAATAAAAACAAAATTTGGGTTAGAGATTCTTATAGGTGGAGGGAGATGGTGTGTGGAAGGAATACAGGTGGCTTTAAAGTTTTGGTAAGATTCTCTTCTTAAGCTGAGTTGCAGGTATGCAGCTGTTCATTTGATTGTTAATCTGTACTCCTCCCATATATATTACAAATATTTTTCCCATATAATTACGTTTAATATCAATTTTTAAAAAGTATAAATTCTTTTTAAGCCTTATTACCTGAAAATTGAATTTTACATAAGTAAAGCCAAATAAAACTAAAATGAGAATATCAGATGAGTCATCAGGAAGGTCATAAGAATAGAGATTCTAGTGGACTGTGGCAGGCTGAAAAGGAGCCGGTCACAGGGAAAGGAAGAGGTGGAGCATTCCAGGAGAAGGAACAGTGTATGTGAAGACTATGAACTTCATTCTCATGTTTTAAGAACTGAAAGGAAACCAGAGGGATAAGAGGATGATGACTAAGACTAAGATAAAGATGAGGTTGGCAGGGCCAGCACATGCTTATAGGACATAGCAAGGGGCTATATTTTTTTCAAAATGCAATGGAAAGCCACAGAAAGGTTTTAAGCCTGATGACAAATGGATCCTATATTTTCTTTAAAAAGATTAATCTGTCCACTGAGTGGACAATATATTGTAGGTGGAGGTGAGGTCCAGACAAGGATGACAGTGGACTAGGGTGGGAGTGGCAGGAATGGAGAGAAGTGGAGGGATGTGGGATTTAGTTTTGAGATAGAATCAAGAAATGACTGATGAACTGGATGTACTCAGAACAGAACATTGAAAAGTCTCGAATAATTCCCAGATACTCCCAGATTTCTGGCTCAGTCAGATTTCTGACTTGAGAAATTCTCTGCCTGGTGGTGGTCTTTACCGACATGGGGAAAACTTGGTGAGAGAAAGGAGTAAAATCAAGTATTTGTTGAATATTTTAAACTTAGCTTGAGACATTCAAGTGGATGTATCAAATAAGAAGGTGGATATATGTAACTAGAATTCAGAGGAGAGATCTGGGGTAAAAATAAATGTGGGAGTTGTCAGTAGGTAAAATAGAACTGAAAGCCATGACGATGGGTACCTTCTAGAGCACAAGTCAGCAAACTTTCTCTGTAAAGGCCCAGAAAGTAAATATTTTCAGCTTTATGGGCCATACAGTTTCTGTTGAAAAAAACTCAGTACTGTCATTGTAGGGAGAAAGCAGTCATAGACAATGTGCAGATTAATGGTAATGACTGTGTTCCGATAAATCTTTATTTACAAAAACAGGCGATAGGCTAGAGTTGGCCCACAGGCCATAATTTGCCAAGGCCTGTACTAGAGAGAGAAGAGGAAAGGGCCCAGACTAAGACCTAGAAAACACCAATCATGATAGCGGAAGCAAAATATGGACACAGTCTCCTCCTAGGAGAGACATGTTAGCTCCAAGAGCAGTCATACACAACTGATATTTATGTTAATTATTCACGTTTCAGTATCAGTGGGATATTTAGTAAATATGCTCTCGCTAAGTTACCTGGTTATCACTCATATTTCCAGGTTTTGGTGCAATACTCCATTTAGAAATATTAATTTACTCTTCTATCTCTTGAAGGCCAGTTTAACTATGGGTAAGGAATTGTTGAATTTCCAGAACATATGAGCTGTGGGAAAGAAAGATGTGGTGGAAAGTGTCATGGCATCCTTGCTACTCCCCACTGGAGGAATGTGCCTTCAGCTCAGGCCTCAATATGAAAAATACTCTTTCCAACAGAGAATGAGCACAATAAAACTCACTCCTCTGCAGTTCAGCAGATGCCATGGAAAATAAGTTACAGGCATCTAGTCATAGTCCAAGCAGTTCAAACTAAGAAAGCTACTGAAAACTGTGCTGGAGAGAAAAGCCAACAGCAGGCTTTCTGACATGGGTTGAACAGGTATTAGATGAAGCAGCCTCATTAGAAATCAACTGGTAATATAAACCTCAGAAATTATGGATGAGGGGACTGATAATTTTGCAAAAAATGTTAATAAGAGATGTAAAATTGGAAAACAATTTCAGCAAGGACTTGCATGTGGGAAAAATAAAATGTTTTCATTTTTCCATTACTTCAAAAATAGGTAATGGGTCAGACTATTTTTGTAAACAAAGTTTTATTGGAAAACAGCCACACCCATTCATTCATATATTGTCTAAGGATGCTTTCTCTCTACAATGGCAGAGTGGAGTAGTTGCAACAGACATCTTATGGCTCACAAGGCCTAAAATATTTACTATCTGGGCTCTTACAGGAAAAGCTTCCAGGCCTCTGATACAGGATATTTAGAAGAAAATCAGCAGAATGTTTCCAGAAAAAGGAAAGAACTCCTAAATAGAGAAAATCTCTCAGCCACATATAGTAAGGATTGTTACCAATTTCTTAATGAAAAGGGAACAGGAAATAAACAACAGAACCTCACCATATGTCACTATGTCACATGTAGTTTTTTTGTTTTAACAATTGATCATAGGTAAACTGTATAAAGTGCTTATTCTATAATTTTGGAACAGAAATAACTTCCATCTAATCCTTTTGAAGTTTTCATAGGTGTAGATTTTAAGAACCACCATCTGTTACACACATTTATGCAAGTCGAATGGGTGAACTCTCCCTAAGTATTGCAAGCAAAGTTAGTATCCAAAATAGGAAAAACCAAGACCACAATTCTCTGATGCTTACAGAAGGGCTGGTTGAACCAGGATTATCTTAGCAAGTATATGAAACACATTATGGAAGTTCTAACCCACCCTTTCACTTCCATTTAACCTCCTTTCTTCCATGATAAAAATCAAAAGCTGTGCTAAAGTAGAAATTTACTATTCATTAAAATGTTATTGCATAGAGGATGATTTAGCACAGAGAAATAGAAATAGGTATCAAAAGGTTTTCATCATATAACTCTCTCTACCACCAACCAGGTCCATGTTCTCAATCCATGATTATACACTATATTGTAACATTTTCTAATTATGTCCCACATAGGTTTGCTTATCCTACGTGGGACATAATTACATTTTATGCTCCATAAAGGCTGGGACTATGGATTAAATCTTTTTTATTTATTCCTTAGCATCTATCAAAAAGGAAGAAATTAATTTGATAAAGTCTTTGTTACATAGATATCTGACTGTAAACATTTTCCAGACATTAAACCTACTTTATAATTATCAGCTAAGACACTGAACACTGATTGGATGGGTGAGAAGAGAGAAACAGGCATTCCACAACAGATGTGCATGTATGCATGTACGTACACACACACACACACACACACACACACACACACACACACACATACTGAATGCTTAGTTTAACTCTAATTTTCAGAAATACATAATTTTCTGAATTACAAATATTAATTGTTAGAAATATAACCAGAGAAGAGGGCAAGAGCCAGGAGACCCTGGCAAAAGGGTGAACCCAAGAGACTGAACCACTCCAAGATGGGAGAAAAAAAGATAAATTATTGAGTGGGGATATGAGGGACAAAGGGTAAGATATTGCATATCTTGGATATGGGGAGATAGCTAAGCTGAAAAAGACCAGCAGATTCCCAAGGTTAAGAGAGGCAGCATCAAATGTAGAAGGCTTAGCTAAGGCAGGACAGAGCAGATAGGTGCTCCCATATTTTAAATGTCTAGTAGAAAAAGACAAATTAAGAAGGTAGAAAGATTATGCTTTTTGGGCCTTATAATATAATGTTAATAGATGATAGAGAAAGCAACCTTATTCAACCCAAAGCTATTTTCTTATTCTTCTCTGTTAAAAAGAATGATCTTTGGACTAGGGAATATAAATCAAACAGTGTTAAGAGTGAAGTGAAGACAAAGATGGGTGAGAAGAATGCAGGAAAGTAACAAGTCTTTTTCTTTATTTTAAATTCTTCAGCTTGAATCAGTTATATCCCAGGACTCTGAAAAACTTAAACATGAGATTATATTCAATAAGTTTGAAGAGTCATAAAGTATGGGAGAGATGCTAAATGCATGAACAGATAAGGTGGTCCTAATTCTTAAAAGAGTAAAGGAGAATTCTTTTTCTATAGCCTAATGAACAATTTGTAGAACAAGATTCTAGAGCAGGCTATTGGAAGGACTATTTATGAAGACAAGTAGTGCTCATCATGGGGAAAGATTTATTCAGGAAAAGTAACATCTGGCCATTTGATTCTCATTTCTGATGGTGACATCTGAGTGGTAGATCAGAGAATGTGGTAGCCAAAGAGAACCTGAAGACTAGCAAATAATTGACAAAGCCTGTCAAGATGTCCTTGGGAACAGGCTAAATGAAAGTTGGATGGATGTTTAATGGTTGAACATCCTTACCTCATAGGATCTCATTGCTGGGTCAAGTCAACACAGGGGAAAATTCCTAGTGATCTCCAAAAGGCTCTATTTGCACCTCTCACTATTCAACATATTGATCACAGATTTGGAAGATAATGTTGGTCATATGCTAACCAAACATGTGTGACAGGAAGCTGGGCATATTAGTACACTAGGTGGCATAATTCAGATCCAAAGAAGCTTCAACAGACTAGATTTTATTTTATTTTTTTTTTGAGATTAAGTCTCGCTCTGTCACCCAGGCTGGAGTGCAGTGGCGCGATCTCAGCTCACTGCAACCTCTGCATCCTGGGTTCAAACGATTCTCCTGCCTTAGCCTCCTGAGTAGCTGGGATTACAGGCACGCGCCACCACGCCCAGCTAATTTTTGTATTTTTAGTAGAGATGGAGTTTCACCGTGTTGGTCAGACTGGTCAACAGACTAGATTTTAAATCATTTCATTACAGGCTCCCTATCTTTGCATTCCTCTGGTACTTATCTCAGTGCCTTACACTAGATTCTCAATGAATGTTTTGTGAATGAACAAATGAATTAATTAATTAACAATAGGAAGAGTCTAAGGGGAAGAGGTTAGTAGTAAAAATGATAGTTGACTACCAAAATCTGTCCTCCCCTTCTTACATAGAAATAGAGTTGTGTCTAGTACATGATTGCTAACTAGACCATATTCCCCAGCCTCCTTTGCAGTTAGCCATGGTCATGTGACTGAGTTCTCACTCATCAAATGTTGGCACATATGATGAGTTCTACTTCCAACTCTCTTTTAAGATGTTAAGGACCTCTTATATGCTCCCTTTCCTTTCCCACTGGCTGAAACTGGGACAGACTTGACAGTAGCCCAGCCTCAAGAATGTAGATAAAGACAGTGCCCCAGGAGAATGACTGAGCTGCAAGGTGGGAGCTAGCCTGGGTCCCTAGATGGCCATATGGGGCAAAGTTTCTCTGATGACCAGAACTGCTCACATCAGAACTGTTATATGAAATATAAGCCAATTTACAGAGGGCTTCTTTTTTAATTTTTAATTTTTGTGGGTACATGGTAGGTACATACACGTATGGGGTAGATTAGCTGTTTTAATACAAGCATGCAATGCATAATTATCACATCATGGAAAGTGGGGTATCCATCCTCTCATGCATTTATCCTTTGTGTTACAAACACTTCAATTGTACTCTTTTAGTTATTTTTAAATGTACAATGAAATTATTGTTGACTGTGGTCACCCTGTTGTGCTATCAATTACTATCATTCTTTCTATTTTTTGTACCCATTAACCATCCCCACCTCCCCCTCACCCGCCCCTCAACTACCCTTCCCAGCCTCTGGTAACCATCATTATATTCTCTATCTCTATGAGTTCAATTGTTTTGATGTTTAGATCCCACAAATAAGTGAGAACACGCAGTGTTTCTCTTTTGGTGTCTGGCTTCTTTCACTTAGCATAATAACCTCCGGTTCCATTCATGTTGTTGCAAATGACTGAATCTCATTCTTTTTTACGGCTTATACTCCATTGTGTATAAGTACCACATTTTCTTTATCTATTTATCTGTTGGTGGACACTTAGTTGGCTTCCAAATATTGGCTATTGTGAACAGAGCTGCAACAAACATGGGAGTGCAGATATCCCTTCGATGTATTGATTTCCTTTCTTGTGGGTATATACCCAGCAGTGGAATTGCTGGGTCCTATGATAGCTCTATTTTAGTTTTTTGAGGAAAGTCCAAACTGTTCTCCATAGTGATTGTACTAATTTACACTCCCACAAACAGTGTACAAGGGTTCCCTTTTCTCCACATCCTCATTAGCATTTATTATTGCCTGTCTTTTGGATATAAGCCATTTTAACTAGGGTGAGATGATATCACAGTGTAGTTTTTACTTGCATTTCTCTGATGATCAATGATATTGAGCACCTTTTTTGTATGCCTGTTTGCCATTTGTCTTCTTTTGAGAAATGTCTATTCAGCTCTTTTGGCTATTATTTAATCAGAGTACTAGATTTTTTTCCCATAGAGTTGTTTGAGCTTCTTGTATGTTCTGGTTATTAATCCCTTGTCAGACAGATAGTTTGCAAATATCTTCTCCCATTGTATGGGTTGTCTCTTCACTTTGTTGATTGTTTCCTTTGCTGCACAGAAGCTTTTTAACTTGATATTATTCCCTTTGTCCATTTTTGCTTTGGTTGCCTGTGCTAGTGGGCATTACTCAAGAAATCTTTGCCCAGACCAAGGTCCTGGAGAGTTTCCCCAGTGTTTTCTTGTAGTAGTTTCATAGTTTTAGGTCTTATATTTGATTCTTTAATCCTTTTTTTTTTAATTTATGTATGTGGTGAGAGATAGAGGTCTAGTTTCATTCTTCTGCATATGGATATCCAGTTTCCCCAGCACCATTTATTGAAGAGACTGTCTTTTCCCCATGTATATTCTTGTCACCTTAGTTGAATATAAGTTCACTGTAGGTGTGTGGATTTGTTCCTGGGTTCTCTATTCTATTCCATTGGTCTATGTGTCTGTTTTTATGTCAGTACCATGCTGTTTTGGTTACTATAGCTCTGTAGTACAATTTGAAGTCAGGTAATGTGATTCTAGAGGGTTTCTTTTTATATTTGCTTAGTCTTGATCCTAAGAAGAGATTCAATGTGAGGTTGTCCAGCCAATAAGCAGTGTATTAGGGGTAAATGTCATGGAGTGCCCTTATGTCTAAAGAAAAGCCTAATGATTTCACAAATATGGAATAGGGGGACTCTAGCTTAACTGCCTCATGTGTGAAAAGACTTGGAGATTTTTTTGTTACCTAAAGGATGAATATGACATGGAGTTCCCTTATGTCTAAAGAAAAACTAATGATTTCACAAATACGGAATAGAGGGACTCTAGCTTAACTGCCTCATGTGTGAAAAGACTTGGAGATTTTTTGGTTAACTAAAGGATGAATATGATTCAACAGTGTGCCATAACTGGGGGTGGCAGTAGTGAATATAGTCCTAGCAGTGTGCCATGTAGAACGAAGGCAGTGATGGTTGGACTTAAGTCTTTCTGCCCTTGTCAGACCATGGCTGGCAAACTTCAGATCACAGTGCAGACTCATTTCTTCAACAAGACTTATCAAGTACGTTATGGGAATATGATTACATCTTAGTGGTCCATGAGTGCTAACAAATTCGGTTAAACTTTTTATTTTTGCTTACAATTCTCAGGTGGACTGCATCTGAGTCAGACAATCTGGATGCCTCCAGCAAAGCCTATTCAGAGGAGATAAATCAGGATGGTGAACACATTAAAAATTAAGTCCTATAAGGAGTATTTGTTGGTCTTGAATAGGAAGAAAGTGACTCATCACAATGCAGAGGAACCCTAGGGGGACAAAATAGCAGATGTCTTCAAGTATTTGTAGGACCCTTCACAAGGAAGAGGAATGAGACATGTTCTGAATGGTATCTGAAAAATTTGAACTTGAAACTGCATGCAAAAAAAAGCAATACTCCATATAACCCTAATGTATAAACATCTACATTTTTCTAAAATTAAGAGATGCCCATTTATATTTACAGAAGAATCCTTCCCTTCATAAAAGGATTTTAATTGTGATTTCTTCTATGCATTTAAGATTTTTTTTTTCTTTTTTGACCGAGTCTCACTCTGTTGCCCAGGCTGGAGTGCAGTGGCACAATCTCAGCTCACTGCAACCTCCGCCTCCCTGGTTCAAGTGATTCTCTTGCCTCAGCCTCCCGAGTAGCTGGGATTACAGGCGCCTGCCACCATGCTTGGCTAATTTTTGTATTTTCAGTAGAGACAGGGTTTCACCACGTGGCCCAGGCTGGTCTCAAACTCCTGATCTCAGGTGATCCACCCGCCTCGGCCGGCCAGAGCGCTGGGATTACAGGTGTGAGCCACTGTGACCACCTGCATTTAAGATTTTTTACTGGGAGGGGCAGCCAAGATGGCTGAATAGGAACAGCTCTGGTCTACAGCTCCCAGCGTGAGCGATGCAGAAGACGAGTGATTTCTGCATTTCCATCTGAGGTACCAGGTTCATCTCACTAGGGAGTGCCAGAGAGTGGGCGCAGGATAGTGGGTGCAGTGCACCGTGCGTGAGATGAAGCAGGGTGAGGCATTGCCTCACTCGGGAAGCGCAAGGGATCAGGGAGTTCCCTTTCCTAATCAAAGAAAGGGGTGACAGACAGCACCTGGAAAATCAGGTCACTCCCACCCTAATACTGCGCTTTTCCGACAGGATTAAAAAAACGGTGCACCAGGAGATTATATCCCGCACGTGGCTCAGAGGGTCCTACGCACACGGAGTCTCGCTGATTGCTAGCACAGCAGTCTGAGATCAAACTGCAAGGCGGCAGTGAGGCTGGGGGAGGGGCGCCCACCAATGCCCAGGCTCACTTAGGTAAACAAAGCCAGGAAGCTCAAACTGGGTGGAGCCCACCACAGCTCAAGGAGGCCTGCCTGCCTCTGTAGGCTCCACCTCTGGGGGAAGGGCACAGACAAACAAAAACACAGCAGTAACCTCTGCAGACTTAAATGTTCCCGTCTGACAGCTTTCAAGAGAGCAGTGGTTCTCCCAGCATGCAGCTGGAGATCTGAGAACAGGCAGACTGCCTCCTCAAGTGGGTCCCTGAGCAGCCTAACTGGAAGGCACCCCCCAGTAGGGGCAGATGACACCTCACACGGCCGGGTACTCCTCTGAGACAAAACTTCCAGAGGAACGATCAGAGAGCAGCCTTCGCGGTTCACGAAAATCCACCGTTCTGCAGCCACCGCTGCTGAAACCCAGGCAAACAGGGTCTGGAGTGGACCTCTAGCAAACTCCAATAGACCTGCAGCTGAGGGTCCTGTCTGTTAGAAGGAAAACTAACAAACAGAAAGGACATCCACACCAAAAACCCATCTGTACATCACCATCATCAAAGACCAAAAGTAGATAAAACCACAAAGATGGGGAAAAAACAGAGCAGAAAAACTGGAAACTCTAAAAAGCAGAGCACCTCTCCTCCTCCAAAGGAACGCAGTTCCTCACCAGCAACGGAACAAAGCTGGACGGAGAATGACTTTGACAAGTTGAGAGAAGAAGTCTTCACACGATCAAACTACTCCGAGCTACAGGAGGAAATTCAACCCAAAGGCAAAGAAGTTAAAAACTTTGAAAAAAATTTAGAAGAATGTATAACTAGAATAACCAATACAGAGAAGTGCTTAAAGGAGCTGATGGACCTGAAAGCCAAGGCTCGAGAACTACGTGAAGAATGCAGAAGCCTCCGGAGCCGATGCGATCAACTGGAAGAAAGGGTATCAGTGATGGAACATGAAATGAATGAAATGAAGCGACAAGGGAAGTTTAGAGAAAAAGGAATAAAAAGAAACAAACAAAGCCTCCAAGAAATATGGGACTATGTGAAAAGACCAAATCTACGTCTGATTGGTGTACCTGAAAGTGACGGGGAGAATGGAACCAAGTCGGAAAACACTCTGCAAGATATTATCCAGGAGAACTTCCCCAATCTAGCAAGGCAGGCCAACATTCAGATTCAGGAAATACAGAGAACACCACAAAGATACTCCTCGAGAAGAACAACTCCAAGACACATAATTGTCAGATTCACCAAAGTTGAAATGAAGGAAAAAAATGGTAAGGGCAGCCAGAGAGAAAGGTCAGGTTACCCACAAAGGGAAGCCCATCAGACTAACAGCAGATCTCTTGGCAGAAACTCTACAAGCCAGAAGAGAGTGGGGGCCAATATTCAACATTCTTAAAGAAAAGAATTTTCAACCCAGAATTTCATATCCAGCCACACTAAGCTTCATAAGTGAAGGAGAAATAAAATACTTTACAGACAAGCAAATGCTGAGAGATTTTGTCACACCAGGCCTGCCCTAAAAGAGCTCCTGAAGGAAGCACTAAACATGGAAAGGAACAAGCAGTACCAGCCGCTGCAAAATCATGCCAAATTGTAAAGACTATCGAGGCTAGGAAGAAACTGCATCAACTAACAAGCAAAATAACCAGCTAACATCATAATGACAGGATCAAATTCGCACATAACAACATTAACTTTAAATGTAAATGGACTAAATGCTCCAATTAAAAGACACAGACTGGCAAATTGGATAAAGAGTCAAATCCCATCAGTGTGCTGTATTCAGGAAACCCATCTCACGTGCAGAGACACACATAGGCTCAAAATAAAAGGATGGAGGAAGATCTACCAAGCAAATGGAAAACAAAAAAAGGCAGGGGTTGCAATCCTAGTCTC
This sequence comes from Homo sapiens, assembly GCF_000001405.40. Classification (NCBI taxonomy): domain Eukaryota; kingdom Metazoa; phylum Chordata; class Mammalia; order Primates; family Hominidae; genus Homo; species Homo sapiens. The sequence continues at coordinate 16,362,412 of NC_000023.11, forward strand.
TGATAAAACAGACTTTAAACCAACAAAGATCAAAAGAGACAAAGAAGGCCATTACATAATGGTAAAGGGATCAATTCAACAAGAAGAGCTAACTATCCTAAATATATATGCACCCAATACAGGAGCACCCAGATTCATAAAGCAAGTCCTGAGTGACCTACAAAGAGACTTAGACTCCCACACAATACTAATGGGAGACTTTAACACCCCACTGTCAACATTAGACAGATCAACGAGACAGAAAGTTCACAAGGATACCCAGGAATTGAACTCAGCTCTGCACCAAGCAGACCTAATAGACATGTACAGAACTCTCCACCCCAAATCAACAGAATATACATTTTTTTCAGCACCTCACCACACCTATTCCAAAATGGACCACATACTTGGAAGTAAAGCTCTCCTCATCAAATGTAAAACAACAGAAATTATAACAAACTGTCTCTCAGACCACAGTGCAATCAAACTAGAGCTCAGGGTTAAGAAACTCACTCAAAACTGCTCAACTACATGGAAACTGAACAACCTGCTCCTGAATGACTACTGGGTACATAACGAAATGAAGGCAGAAATAAAGATGTTCTTTGAAACCAATGAGAACAAAGACACAACATACCAGAATCTCTGGGACACATTCAAAGCAGTGTGTAGAGGGAAATTTACAGCACTAAATGCCCACAAGAGAAAGCAGGAAAGATCCAAAATTGACACCCTAACATCACAATTAAAAGAACTAGAAAAGCAAGAGCAAACACATTCACAAGCTAGCAGAAGGCAAGAAATAACTAAAATCAGAGCAGAACTGAAGGAAATAGAGGCAAAAAAAACCGTTCAAAAAATTAATGAATCCAGGAGCTGGTTTTTTGAAAGGATCAACAAAATTGATTGACCGCTAGCAAGACTAATAAAGAAGAAAAGAGAGAAGAATCAAATAGACGCAATAAAAAATGATAAAGGGGATATCACCACCGATCCCACAGAAATACAAATTACCATCAGAGAATACTACAAACACCTCTACTCAAATAAACTAGAAAATCTAGAAGAAATGGATAAATTCCTTGACACATACACCCTCCCAAGACTAAACCAGGAAGAAGTTGAATCTCTGAATAGACCAATAACAGGCTCTGAAATTGTGGCAATAGTCAATAGCTTACCAACCAAAAAGAGTCCAGGACCAGATGGATTCACAGCCGAATTCTACCAGAGGTACAAGGAGGAACTGGTACCATTCCTTCTGAAACTCTTGCAATCAATAGAAAAAGAGGGAATCTTCCCTAACTCATTTTATGAGGCCAGCATCATCCTGATACCAAAGCCGGGCAGAGACACAACCAAAAAAGAGAATATTAGACCAATATCCTTGATGAAAACTGATGTAAAAATCCTCAACAAAATACTGGCAAACTGAATCCACCAGCACATCAAAAAGCTTATCCACCATGATCAAGTGGGCTTCATCCCTGGGATGCAAGGCTGGTTCAATATACGCAAATCAATAAATGTAATCCAGCATATAAACAGAACCAAAGACAAAAACCACATGATTATCTCAATAGATGCAGAAAAGGCCTTTGACAAAATTCAACAACCCTTCATGCTAAAAACTCTCAATAAATTAGGTATTGATGGGACGTATCTCAAAATAATAAGAGCTATCGATGATAAACCCACAGCCAATATCATACTGAATGGGCAAAAACTGGAAGCATTCCCTTTGAAAACTGGCACAAGACAGGGATGCCCTCTCTCATCATTCCTATTCAACACAGTGTTGGAAGTTCTGGCCAGGACAATTAGGCAGGAGAAGGAAATAAAGGGTATTCAATTAGGAAAAGAGGAAGTCAAATTGTCCCTGTTTGCAGATGACATGATTGTAGATCTAGAAAACCACATTGTCTCAGCCCAAAATCTCCTTAAGCTGATAAGCAACTTCAGCAAAGTCTCAGGATACAAAACCAATGTACAAAAATCACAAGCATTCTTATACACCAATAACAGACAAACAGAGAGCCAAATCATGAGTGAACTCCCATTCACAATTGCTTCAAAGAGAATAAAATACCTAGGAATCCAACTTACAAGGGACGTGAAGGACCTCTTCAAGGAGAACTACAAACCACTGCTCAATGAAATAAAAGAGGATACAAACAAATGGAAGAACATTCCATGCTCATGGGTAGGAAGAATCAATATCGTGAAAATGGCCATACTGCCCAAGGTAACTGATAGATTCAATGCCATCCCCATCAAGCTACCAATGACTTTCTTCACAGAATTGGAAAAAACTACTTTAAAGTTCATATGGAAGCAAAAAAGAGCCCGCATGGCCAAGTCAATCCTAAGCCAAAAGAACAAAGCTGGAGGCATCACGCTAACTGACTTCAAACTATACTACAAGGCTGCAGTAACCAAAACAGCATGGTACTGGTACCAAAACAGAGATATAGATCAATGGAACAGAACAGAGCCCTCAGAAATAACGCCACATATCTACAACTATCTGATCTTTGACAAACCTGAGAAAACCAAGCAATGGGGAAAGGATTCCCTATTTAATAAATGGTGCTGGGAAAACTGGCTAGCCATATGGAGAAAGCTGAAACTGGATCCCTTCCTTACACCTTATACAAAAATTAATTCAAGATGGATTAAAGACTTAAACGTTAGACCTAAAGCCATAAAAACCCTAGAAGAAAACCTAGGCTTTACCATTCAGGACATAGGCATGGGCAAGGACTTCATGTCTAAAACACCAAAAGCAATGGCAACAAAAGCCAAAATTGACAAATGGGATCTAATTCAACTAAAGAGCTTCTGCACAGCAAAAGAAACTACCATCAGAGTGAACAGGCAACCTACAAAATGGGAGAAAATTTTCGCAACCTACTCATCTGACAAAGGGCTAATATCCAGAATCTACGATGAGCTCAAACAAATTTACAAGAAAAAAAAAACAACCCCATAAAAAAGTGGGCGAAGGACATGAACAGACACTTCTCAAAAGAAGACATTTATGCAGCCAAAAAACACATGAAAAAATGCTCACCATCACTGGCCATCAGAGAAATGCAAATCAAAACCACAATGAGATACCATCTCACACCAGTTAGAATGGCAATCATTAAAAAGTCAGGAAACAACACGTGCTGGAGAGGATGTGGAGAAATAGGAACACTTTTAAACTGTTGGTGGGACTGTCAACTAGTTCAACCATTGTGGAAGTCAGTGTGGCAATTCCTCAGGGATCTAGAACTAGAAATACCATTTGACCCAGCCATCCCATTACTGGGTATATACCCAAAGGACTATAAATCATGCTGCTATAAAGACACATGCACACGTATGTTTATTGCGGCTCTATTCACAGTAGCAAAGACTTGGAACCAACCCAAATGTCCAACAATGATAGACTGGATTAAGAAAATGTGGCACATATACACCATGGAATACTATGCAGCCATAAAAAATGATGAGTTCATGTCCTTTGTAGGGACATGGATGAAATTGGAAATCATCATTCTCAGTAAACTATCACAAGAACAAAAAACCAAACACCGCATATTCTCACTCATAGGTGGGAATTGAACAATGAGAACACATGGACACAGGAAGGGGAACATCACACTCTGGGGGCCGTTGTGGGGTGGGGGGAGGGGGGAGGGATAGCATTAGGAAATATACCTAATGCTAAATGAGGAGTTGATGGGTGCAGCACACCAGCATGGCACATGTATGCATATGTAACTAACCTGCACATTGTGCACATGTACCCTAAAACTTAAAGTATAATAATAATAAAAATAAAATGAAAAAGATTTTTTATTTGCAAAATAACCTTACAGGAATACTGAATCCCTCAGCTCCATGGCACAGCACAATTAGCAAGGCTAATATGAGGCAAGTTTAATAAAGAAACTATTGACAAATGTGTGGGAGGCAATAGAGAAATCACAAGGAGTGGCAAAGAATCCCAGGGCTAGTGACAACAGGGCACTGAAGGGCCAAGGGAAAGGCAGTTACTGGAACTTGCAGACAGTGAGCATTGAAAGTTGAGTGAAATTGGCTGCATGCTGAGGGATGCACCTTATGATGACCCTACAGGATGCAGCTGGGGGAATAATACTTTGAACTTCACTGTCTTCCCTTCTTGCAATCTGCCATGGCTTCCCATTGACTGAACCCAACCAGAAGCCAGAGGTCAGGAAAGCACATTTATGGAATCCATGCAGATCAGCCCTTCAGTGCATAAAGCAGAGTAGAAAGGATCTGCAGTAGCAAATAGAAGCCATCAAGGAAATGTAATGTGAATCTGAATGTTCTGCTTTATGTATCAATGTTCCTATCATATATCTTTTCATTTTATTCCATGTACGAGCAATACCAATGAAACCTCAGTGATAGCAGTCTCCAAAACAAGTAGTGTGAGCTGATATAAAATGAAAATGAAAATCCAGTATACTGGAAGTGAAGCTGGTGTTTTCTCATCTCCCTCCACTCACATGGATGAGTGAGCTCTCCATTTTTAAACACCATTTGCAGACTGATACGCCTCTATTATATACTAAACCTATGGTAAATCAAAAAAGGAAAATAAATCTTGCCTCTGTAAAGAATGCCTCCAACAGTAAGATGAAGATTTTGTTTTCATAAAGCATCAAATGATCCACTGTAAAAATCTGACTAGGTCAGAATTCTAAAAACAAATCTAGCTGCATAAAGTTAAAGTCCTGGGGAAAAAAAAAAAAAGATAAGATACAGTAATACTCTCGGGCCTAAACATTTTGTTTGGGTTTTGAATTAGACATATGTTCATTCATCATCCTCATTTGTGCAAAGAGTAAAACCTGTCTCATTGGTAATTTTTATTTCAACATGACTCCCTTCTGTAAATGCCCTCTCTCAGTTATAGCACATGGTTTTTTTTAAGCCTTGGGCAGACTCACACATTTTCTGCTGCTGCTGTTGCTCCCACAGCACTTTTTTCTTCCCTTTCTTACAGCACAGATCATTTTGTATCATAATTATTGAACATATCTGACTCCCTTGGTAGACTGTGAGCCCCCAGGAGGAAAGACCATGCCTTACTCATCTTTGCATCCTGCAGTCCCAGGAGCTCCTTCCCCAGGGTACACACCCAATGAATACTTGTCAAATAAGTATTTTTTGCGGCTTCAGTGATGAAGCATCTTTACCTTCTGTCTTTTCTCTCTCGAGGAGCAGGATTCTTGAACTAAGAGAGAACACCATCCTTCCTACACATTCTCCAGAGTGAAGCTTGTGGTTTGGGTTTTCTTCTTAACTATTCTGTATTTGTATTTGCATGTACTATACAAGCAAATGTAAGGTTTTGTTAAACTGAATCACTTAGAGTTGAGATCAGCAGACTTTTTTTTTAAGGGCCAGAGAGTATAACTATTTTAGGTCTGACCTTGTAGCGCCATTGACAATACGTAAATGATAGGGCGTGACTGTGTTCCAATGAAACAGGCCTCCATTACCAGACACTAGGTTGTGAGCAATGCTGCAATGAGTAACCTTGTACACATAGCCTTTCTTTCTTGTGCATATGTATCTGTAGGATCAATGACAAAATGTGGGATTGCTGGGGAAAGAATAACTACATCTGTAAATTTGGTAGATACGGCCAAATTTGTGCACTTGTTGATTAAAAAAATTAACTGAGAAAAGAAAGAAACATGATCTCACAATCAAACTATTCATGGCTTCTAAAGTTAGAATCAGAACAGGAATTAAATAGTCAGCGTTTATTGAATATCTATCATCTCTGCCTTCTTGATACACTAATGTATTGGGAAAAACAACACATGGGAAAAACAAATGTCTCTTCACTCAGAAACTATAAAGTCTGGTCAATGTAAATCGACTACAATGATTTTTTGACTTGAGGTCATTTTTAAGTAAATTAATTAATCATTTAACTAATAAGAAAATATCTGTTCAAAATTTATTACCATTATGGCTTAAGATACCCATGGCTAAAAGAGGTCGTCTGGACTAATATAACACTTTATCTTTGCATCTTTAGAATCTCTTTTTCATGTTTTACCTTATATTAAGAATATCTATATATTTTTTATGTCCCTTACCTAATGAACATACATGGGCTCTTGGTCATTTACCTTTTTTGCTTGGTCAGTCCATCAACACAAAGTCTGCAGAAAGCACAAAGTACCCTAAATAGTTACTCTCTGGTCCTTTTTTAAAAGGAAGTTTGCTGACCCCAACTCTAAATGATTCCATTTAACAAAATCTTACATTTGCTAGTGAATCCTTTTTTAAGGAGGGACTCCATGTTCAGCATTTTTATCATACACAGAAGACCATTCAGATCATCTTTCTAGCTATGTCAGTTAAATTCCACAGATGATGAATAGATTAGACCTTGCATAATTCACGTAACATTAGGCATGCTGTTGTAAGGAGACAGTACCTTTCCTTTGCTTGTACCTGCTGGCCTCAGAATTCCTCCGAGGATATAAAAACAAATGTGGGAGTGGCCAAAAGTTAAGAGACCCTGGGAGAAACCACAAGGCTGCTGAATGCATCATCACATGGATTTTCTCCAATGCCTGTGGTCACCTTGTTGTCCCCTCTCAGACCAATATTCATGGATTATCTTGTCAGAAAGCTTTACCACTGGATTCTCATGTCACATAGCAATATGCCCTCCACTCAGCAGATTAGAGTCTGAACAGCCAGAAAGTTCAAATAACCAGAACTGGCTTTGATCACACACATACACACACACACACACACACACACACACACACACACAAATACGCTGAATTAGCCCACAAGACCCAACAACCGTAACTAGTTTGATGTGCTTAAAACCTTTGCAACATCTAAAAGTGTTTTGTGAATTATCAAAGAAAGATTTAAATAAGGACAATATAGCTTTAGTTTTAATTATATCACATTGTTGTATAAACTCTTGGAATTGGTTTAGTTAAATGAAAATCTTTCATCTGTAAGTTTTTTGAATTATTTTCATGTCTTTATTAAAACATGGTAATATTATGTAGTCTACAGGGAATTTGTTGATTGTGTGGATTTTTTTGATTACACTATAATTATTGCTGATTACTTAGAAGTTTAAAATATGTAACAGTAACACTAGCAGTATAAACTAAATATTTAGAGTAAGCTGATTAATACTCAAACCAGAAAATTAGTTAACTAGACTACCTAACTCTCCCAGATTTCTGGAATAATCAGTTTACTTACATGGTATGGGTCTCTGGGAACTCTCTTAAACATGCTGAGTTGAGCAAAGCTGACTCTTCATTGGCCTTCTATATTAATTTCAACCATAAACTGGGTAGCTTAAGACAACAGTAAATTAAGAAATTTATTCTCTCACAGGTCTGGAGGCTGGAATTTCAAAATCAAGTTGTCAGCAAGGCCACACTCCCTCTGAGGGCTCTAGGGGAGAATCTTTCCTTGCGTCTTCCTAGCTTCTGGTGGTTGCCAGCAATCCTTAGCATTCTTTGGCTTATAGATGCCTCATTCCAGTCTCCACCTCTGTGGTCTCGTGGGGCTCCGCCTGTGTGTCTGTCTCTGTGTTTTCTCCTCTTTCCATAAGAACACCAGCCATACTGGCTTAAGGGCCCATTCTAGTCCAGTATGAACTTATCTCGACTTAATTAATTATATCTTCAATGACCCAGTTTCCAAATAGGGTCACATTCTAAGGTATTGGGAATTAGAACTTCAACGTATCTTTCGGGGACATAATTCAACCCATAACCCTTCGCATTGGCAGGTACCCTAATTTAGTCCCAACAAACACCTGTCCATCCATGGACTGAAGAGAAAAAAATCATTTTTTATTTAACGTTCAGTGATGCATGGCAAGGGGATTGGACAGCATTGGGATTGGCTCTGGGCTTTCTGCAGCAGTGACCACTTTCCACTCTTGAATTCTTCCCAGTCCAGGTTTAAATAGCTGTAAACTGGGAGGAAGCATGCACAAAGCCAGGCCTCCCACTGATGACTCTGGAAGGGTCCACTGAGTCCTGATGACAGTGGCAGTGGTCCTTTGGTTTTGAGACCCCTACCAGGACAAGAATAATGCATGAAAAGGACTCCTGAAAGTTCCAACTCTGCTCTGTGCCCTGTACAAGCAACGAGCACTGAATGTCCTCCAGATATTCCTTATGGGGTAATCAATGCCAAGTACCAAATCTATTTCTTCCTGGTTAGTTGATCATCATCTCGACTCTGACCAGACCTTCCTGTGCTTCAAGAGGTTATCTTTTATCATCTTTGGCTAGAGTTGCTAGTGAGTAACATCAGTTTTCAAGCCCAGCCCCCTCAGCCTTTTCTTTGCCTACTGTCAGGGTAGCAAAGCAAAGTCTATAAAGCACAGGAAGGAAGAAGGAAAGATGGGAATTAATTTATCAGTCAGGTGGATCTTATTAAGACATAAAACATAAAACTGAAGCAAGCAAGCAAGCTTATAAACATTAGGCACCTCATATAACTTCATCTGTGTCAATGTAGAGGAAAAACTGACCCAAAGCAATACCAACATCAATCATGAATGCATATATATGTGATAAAATTATAAACACACAGACTGGATATTGCCAAATTCATAGTGGAGGTTGCTTCTGGGGATGAAGAGAAGGAAAGAGAAAGGGAGAAAAGGGATAGGTTTGGGGCAGAGAAAATAAGACATTTCAATTTTATCTGTTAAAAGAAAAGATAACATTAAAAGAAAATGTGGAAAATATTAACATTTATCAATTCTAGATGGCTTGTATACACAGGTATTTGTCATATAATCTGCAATTGTTTCTGAATGTTTTTAACTTTTAAAAACAAAAAAGTAAGATAATTGTTGTTGAATAATATGGAGCTGGGTGTAAATGAGCAAGAGGTCGTTTCTTTCTTTTTTTGTTTGTTATTTGCTTTTTGAGATGGAGTCTGGCTCTGTCACCTAAGTTGGAGTGCAGTGGTGTGATCTCGACTTACTGCAACCAGCAAGAGGTCATTTCTTTCTATTTCTACATTATGGTTAATCACCTGAAGGGGATTTTCTCAGCTTTGACTAGGATGGCTGGTAATATTTAGTTTCAGTAGCATTGTCTTCCATTCTGAATTAACTGTATAAAAGATTACCCTTGGAAATGGAAAGAAACACAATTTTTTTACAAGATGATCCTATCCTACTCTCTCTCTAACATCTCTTAGCAGTGGTTCTCACACTTGGGTGTGCATCAGGATCACCAATGGGGCTTGTTTAAACACAGGTTGCTGGGCCCCACCACCAGAGTTTCTGATTCAGTAGCTCTGGACCAGGAATCTGCATCTCTAACAAGTTCCCAGGTGATGCTGATACTGCTGGTCTGGGGGCCGCACTTTAAGAACCACTGATCTAAAGAAAAAAGAAAGAAACAAAAGCTTTACTGAAATCAAGGCTGATTTTAATGTGGACAATTTATAACTGATAAAGTGTTAAATCAATGGTAGAGGCCTTTTATATAATCATTTTAGATGAGAAAATAATATTGGTTTTATTGAAATATTCATTTATTTATTTGGGGCCAAATAGGTCCAAGGAAAATAAAGAGTCCTAGGCAGGGTTAAGAATACCAAGTGTTGCATTTGTTTAATACAAATGCAAAATATTTCTAGAAAGATGTATGTAACATGCAATACAAACCATAAATCAATGACTAGTGTCCTGTTCATCTGTTTTGGTAACAAATAAAGACAGAAAACCCCGAGTTCTTACCTTGCTGCCCCTCGTCCTACTACCTACACCTAATTAATGCTCCCATCTAATTCCACCTGATCCACTGCTCATGTACCCTGTAACCTGCCACCCCACAAGGTATCCTCCCAACTCATGCCTGTCAACATTTCTGGATGTTCTTACTTCATATGTTGCTGCTGGTTGTTCAAGATGCCCTATCATTATTTAAACTACTGCAATATGCAAACTTTGATGATGCTTTCTGAAAAGAAGCATCTTGCTCTTGGTACTGTTTCAAAAAGCCCAGTTTCATAATTCGTATTTCCGTGGACATTTATTTTCAAAACCATTTGATGGATAAATCATCTTCATAAAGTTATGTTTTTGTTTCTCATTGCAACCCAAAAATCTTTGAAGACTCCATGCATGAATATCCAGGGCTCAAAATATAAAAGTCAACAATTATCTGCCTTTAAAACACCATCTTCACAAAGCTAATTTATCAGGTTTCTTCCAATGTTTTCCATGGACAGCAAAGGCAAAACAACTATGTCAACTGAATAGCAGTTGTTGCTGCTTTTCCCCCAGCATAGCAGCCAATGCAACTAGAACTCTTATCAAATTAAGCACTATGAAATGAGAATGAAGGAAAAGTAGTGACAACCTCCATCAAAGTTTCTCAGTTTCAATAAAATAGGACTTCAGCAAGAAGTCTTTTCACAGCATACCACTTACTTCTCCTTTCCCCTGAACATAGATTCTGGATGTTCAAATCATCACAGCATAGCAGCAGCCCACTAAAAATTATAGTAGGTGGGCATCATTCAAGATTGTATAGCCCTGGGATCTAATTCAACAAAATGATTTCTACATTAATTCAAGAATTTCCCCCTCTGGTTATAGAATGAAGTCTTAAGATCATCAGCTAAAAAGCATTATCCCACACCCCTGGGCTCCAAAACACTGTGGTTGGTGCAAGAAAAGATAAGAGAAGGAAGTTGCAGTCTGTGACCTAGGTCAACATAAAAGAAAAAAAATGAGCTCGTGAAAGCTTACAAAACATTGGCATAATCAAATGTCAACCAATGTTGCTACTATAAGAGTTAAAGAAAGACGAAAAGAAATACAAAACACAGCTCGGCAGTCAAAGACAGGTTTTCTTTAGATAAAACCTGAGAAGGACTTCTGGCCGATTTTGGCCAGGAGTCCTTTCTCTTACAGACTAAGAGTATATATTGGTTTTAGGATGAGGGGGCTTATCAGAAGCTTGGAATGTTTATGTGTGAGGAGAAGTTTATGGCAGGGTTGGAATCTCTCTGAGAGAAGGGGAGGTTATCTTGGGGCAGACATCTTTCTGGCCCAGAGAGGGGTTATCTTGGGGCTAGCATCTTCCAGGCTGGAGGGGGCTTATCTAGGAGCTAGCATGTCTCTGGTCTGGGAGGACTTTGAAATGTTTCTGATTGGAGATGTTATTTGTGGTTTATGGTCATGCTGACCTTAGCCATTAGGCTGATGCCCTTTGGATTTAGGCAGTTTTTTTTTAATCAAGGTGAACTTTAGAATGAGGGGCTTGTCCAAGATGGCGATGCTCCCTCTCTGTCAGCTACATAAAAAGGGTAGTAATAATATAGTCTTAGTCTCAAGTAACTGGAATGGGCTATTATAGCTAATGCAGTTTTCTATTCCAAGAAAGGCTAAGCAGATGCTTTTCTTCTTAATTTTCCAATATTGTTGCTAGCACATGGTAGTAGTGGGTTTTGTGGACTGGATTCCTCAACTCTGTTCCAACCTTATTCTGTGCCTTCTAGGATTACAGAGACTTGAAAGCAACAAGCTCTGTTTTCCAAGTTCCCTTACAGCTAGAACTGTGGAAGAGATTTAGATTCTGCATAACAGATGCACTCTTATAATACTTGGATTTGAAACCAAGTTACGTGGGAAAAGAGGCCAGGTGTGAGAAATCCATTTTGTGGGTGCAAATTATACCTAAAGCAGCCAGGTTCCAATGCCATCGTTTGAGGCTGTGGCTTCCTGACTTAGCAGAGGTGGCTTCCCTATCACAGCAGAGGCAATGCAGCTCCTGAGCCAGCACTTTAGGGGTCGTGACCCATTCAAAAGGCAGGTTTTAGACTGCGGCAGAAACAGCGGTGACACTGGAGGTCCCATTTTGTGGTTTGCTTTGAAAATCGCTCCTGGCAGTTCAGCTCACAGCCTGTCTCTTCAGGCCTTCTAATGATATTGTCACTTAATACTCCATATTTGTCCCTTTATGTTTAAGCCATTTATATTTTATTCTGTCTCTGTAAGTGATCCCCAATGAATACAGTAGATGTTCACTTCCCTGCCTTAATAAATACAGTGTAATAAACGTACTTGATGATTAAGTACCTTAAAATTCCTCAAAGTTATTGTTAGGATAATAAAGAAAAAGAGTTTTGTTCAAATGAAATTAATGAGTGCCAAATCACCTTGAACTTGAACTTCCAGGAATAACTTAATTTTGTGTGAACAAAAATCTCCTTTCACACTCTTATAGTAAGTAAAATATTAGAGGTATAGAAGAATAAGGAAATCAAGTGAAGAGAATATTGAAAGCATAACATACAGTTAAATGAGTAAATAAGGCTGTGTGTTGGCAGTGGGTTTAATATAATATCTCAATAGTAAAATGGCAGAGACTCCAGCAGCAGCCCAGGAAAAGACAGTGTGGGCTTGGATTGGGGTGGTAAGAAAGAGATGGAGACTAGAGCAAAGATGGTGAGTATCATAATTTGAATTTCCCCAGAAGCAAACCTTGAGAGGACAATTTGAACGCAAGTGGTTTTTTTAAGAGACAAAAACCAATAGGGGAGTTGGGAAAGTGTATAGTTTTCTATTGCTGCTGTAACAAATCACCACAAATTTGTATGAATGTATTCTCTCACAGTTCTGAGGGTCAAAAGTCCAAATCCGTTTCATTTGGCTAAAATCAATGTGTCAGCAGGACTGGTTCCTTGTAAGGCTCCAGGGGAGAATCCATTTCCTTTCCTCTTCCAGCTTCTAGAGGGCACCAGCATTCCTTGGCTTGTAGTCCCTTCCTCCACCTTCAAAGCACATCATTTCAGTCTCTGCTTCTATCATCACATTACCTTCTCTTCTCACTCTGACTCCTGCTGAGTCCCTCTTAGAAAGGAGTGATGTAGTTACATCAAGCCCATTCAGATAATCCAGGATAATCTCCCCATTTAAATATTCTCAAATTAATCCCATCTGTGAAGTCCCTTTTGCCTATTTTATTACCTGTAATGTAATAATCACAGGTTCCACAGATCAGAATATTTGAGAAGCCCTTATTCAGCCTACCTACCACAGGAAGTGAGAGTGTGAAGGGGAGGAAGTCAGTAAAGTGTATATTAATTGAGCCAGTTTTCATGGTGGACCACTGGAGCTCAATCCCACTGGGGAACTCTGGGAGACTGTGGAGAGCAGAGCTTCTCAAGCTTCAGTGTGCATCCCCCCTGGGGATCTTATTAAAATGCAGATTCTGATTCAGTAGGTTTGAGGTAGAGCCTGAGATTCTGCATTTCCAACAAGTTTCCAGGTGACACCAATGCTGTTGATCTGGTACCATGCTTTAAATAACAATGATGTAGAATGTGCCTCAAAGCTATCCCAAATCAGGGGCAAGGAGGTTGGGATATTTATTCACCAACTCCCTGTTCTTCATTAGTGGAAAGCTGCTTTCAGGCCACTTCCTGATTGCCCTGTATGTGGGTGGAGAATGGTCCTGAGGCAAAAAAAAAAAAAAAAAAAAAAGTTCCAGGTGGAGTCATAGTTGTTTACAATGAACAACCTTCATTGTATGAAGGTGAGTGCAAAGAGAATAGGGACAGGACACCAACAACATGTGCTACAGTGACTGACTAGTTATAGAAAGACAAGGAGGAAGAATAGGATGGAGGACAGAAGAAGAAAAAGCATGCTAATGAGAAAGGAGATTCATCCAGTTTGGAATCTGAGACACTGGGAAAACACTGGTAGCATGAATAAATAATTGTGAGGGTCAAGATGACTTTATTTCCATCCAGACGCTCAAATGCCTGACTTAATGCTATGCTGACTCTTTGGTCATTTAGAGTGTACAGAGCTGCATCAAAGCCCCTGAGTGTCTGCTTGCAGCCTATCAAAACAATCTCTCCCCTGAACCCCTAAGCCCTCGGTTCCCTCTCCACATATAATTCTCTTCCAACCTGGAGGTTACTCTGGAAACAAGCCCTCTGCAAATTCCAAGAAACAGATAATAAGAGCTTGGAGGAGGATTGTGGTTACAAGAATAGAAGCATGAGATGTAAGAAATATTCCAGAGGACATACTTCAAAGGAGGCAGGATATTTAAGTGCTGAAATTGTGCTGAAGTGAATGTCACAATTTAAAGCCAATGTAATTTTAGTTTGATTACCGATTCTCTAAGTGTCCTTAGGTATAAGTCATCTGTTGGCCAGCAGTTTACAATGCATTAGCTGTTGACACACACTATATGTGAAACTTGGAAGTATTGCCATGTAAACAAAATAAGATTTGCCTGCCACTTTGCATTATATCAAAAGAGCATAAATAAAAATTAAGGTGCACTTCTTTCCAGTTATATTGCTATTGTTCTTTCTAACAAAGCAATTTCTAGAAATGTAGGATGTTACCTGAAATATCTTCTTTGTTCAAACACACAGAAGTAATAACTGACTTTCAGAGACATGTGTGTACTATCCATTTTGAGTCTCCATCATTCATTGTCACACACTATTACTACTGTAGCCTTTAGAGAATTTTCATTTTTCCGTGGATATAACTGATGTGACCTATCAGCTACAAGAAATTCCTGGCACCAAGTCATCTTGAGCAGCACATGTCTTAGAAGGCACCAGGTTATCAAGGAAAGAGGGATTTGGAGTTATAAGTCTTAATTCCACAACCAGCTTTCCCCAGATTGTTAACTGAATGGCCTCAGATTAATTGAATTCAAAGCCCTTTTCTATGCCAAAATTTTAGGTTTTTGATAAATATTTTTGGTGTATATATATACATCATCATATATATCATTTTTGGTATATATAATATATATTATTGGTATATATATAATATATAGGTATATATATAATATATATATATCATTGCCAGTAACATATATATATCATATATAACATATATATCATATATATAAAACATATATCATATATAAAACATATATCATATATATAAAACATATACATCATATATATAAAACATATATCATATAACACATATATCATATGTATATAACATATATACGATATATAACATATATACGATATATAACATATATACGATATATAACATATATACGATATGTAACATATATCTCATATGTAACATATACGATATGTAACATATATCTCATATGTAACATATATACGATATGTAACATATATCTCATATGTAACATATATACGATATGTAACATATATCTCATATGTAACATATATACGATATGTAACATATATCTCATATGTAACATATATACGATATGTAACATATATCTCATATGTAACATATATACGATATGTAACATATCTCATATGTAACATATATACGATATGTAACATATATCTCATATGTAACATATATACGATATGTAACATATATCTCATATGTAACATATATACGATATGTAACATATATCTCATATGTAACATATATACGATATGTAACATATATCTCATATGTAACATATATACGATATGTAACATATATCTCATATGTAACATATATACGATATGTAACATATATCTCATATGTAACATATATACGATATGTAACATATCTCATATGTAACATATATACGATATGTAACATATATCTCATATGTAACATATATACGATATGTAACATATATCTCATATGTAACATATATACGATATGTAACATATATCTCATATGTAACATATATACGATATGTAACATATATCTCATATGTAACATATATACGATATGTAACATATATCTCATATGTAACATATATACGATATGTAACATATATCTCATATGTAACATATATACGATATGTAACATATATCTCATATGTAACATATATACGATATGTAACATATATCTCATATGTAACATATATACGATATGTAACATATATCTCATATGTAACATATATACGATATGTAACATATATCTCATATGTAACATATATACGATATGTAACATATATATGTTATATATATGATATATATCTCATATATAACATATATATCATATATATATCATATCATTAATATAGAACCAGATTAATTTAAATGCTTTCCACCAATTGCTCACATTCCTCTACTCTGAGTTCACTGCTTCCCTTCCATACATTCCATACATTCATTTCAGTAACTCTCCTTCCACTTGTAGGATGGAAAAACAGTCAGATGTTTAAAAAAAAAAAACTCAGCTAATAAAATCCCAATAAAGTCTGGAGTCTAATTAAGAGTCATATAACGATGTGTTAGTGTTGACAAATGTCCCATAGTCATGCAAGATGTTAACATTGGGGAAACGGGGTAAAGGGTATATGGGAAGACCCCGCGCTATCTTTGCAACTTCTCTATAAATCTAAAATTACTCCAAAATAAAAAGCTTATTACAAGAATAAGCAAACTTGGGTTTGGAAATCTACCCCCTCAAACCTTGTATTCACTAGCTGTGTGATTTGAAAAAAAGTGATTAAATGCTCTCAGCAACAGTTTCCTCATTTGTAAAATATGAACGGTACCATCCACTTTTCTGGAGAAGTCAGGATTCAAGATCAGATTAGATACTTTATACATAGTTTTGGTGTTACTTTTACTAAATTTTAAAGGATCTGGGGTAACTTAGAGTAAAAAGCAACAGAGTAGCCAGAAAAGGGCACCACCATCAACATTCTCCTTGGTAAGTTGCCCAAATGAGTTCTGCAAGTTAATTCTGATTTCCTTAAAGGTGGCACTTTCATAAACATAAAATGAATATATTATAAAAGAGCTAAGGAAGACAGAGGAATTGATCAATCCAAAATCTAAATTCTTGAAAAACAAATACCACAGAAAAACTTGTAGAAAATCAAATCAAGGGGAAAAAATATATAAGAACACTGCAGTTGCACGTTAGCAAAATTCTAAACTTTAACAAAATTGATGTTTTTAAAATTTTTTGTTTTTAATTGTTATGGATACACAATAGTTCTATATATTTATGTGATATTTTGATACAAGCATACAATGTGTGATGATCAAATTAGGGTAACTAGGATATCCATCACCTCAAGCATTTATCATTTCTTCATGTAAAAACATTCCAGTTCCACTCTTTTATTTTGAAATATGCAATATAAACTGATCTCACTTTAAAATATGGATATGAAAATCCAGTTAATTTATACTAATTTAATGAAACTAACATTTCCTTTAAGTAATAATCTATCATAACTAAATCCATTTTATTATTCTTACAAAAATGGAAGAATGACTTAATATGAAAATGTTTGGTAACATATAGTAAATCAAAACAATTAAAAGACCAACTAAAAAAAGCATATGGAGCCAGGCATGGTGGCTCATGCCTGTAATCCCATCACTTTGGGAGGCCAAGGTGGGTGGATCGCTGGAGCTCAGGAGTTCAAAAGCAGCTTGGGCAACATGGCGAAACCCCACCTCTATTAAAAATACAAAAATTAGCCAGGTGTGATGGTGCACACCTGTAATCCCAGCTGCTGAGGTGGCTGAAGCAG